>NC_000002.12:229913860-230216890 GCF_000001405.40 Homo sapiens | reverse complement strand
TTCAGCACTTCATGCACCAGAAGCTGGGGATCGCCTATGCCATACACAAGCCATTTCCCTTCTTTGAAGGCCTCCTAGACAACTCCATCATCACTAAGAGAATGTACATGGTGAGTCATGTTGAACCCTTCCATGGCAGCCCAGCCCCCACCAATATGCCTGATTATTAAAGTCTCAAACCACAAACCACCAGGGCTTCCAGAGTTTGGAAGGCCCAGCCCAGGCATGTTCATTATCACAGAAGGTGGGGGTAGTTAGGAGAGAGGGTGTCATAGGGGCTATGTTGGTTTCTAGGGTGTCATAAGGACTGCTGTAACAATGACTACAAACCAGGTAGCTTAAAACAACAGAAATATATTCTCTCAGGTGTGGAGGCCAGAAGTCCAAAATCAAGGTGTTGACAGGGTTGGTTCCTTCTAGAGGCCCTGAGGAGAATCCGATAGCTGCCTATCTCCTAGCTTCTGGTAGCTGTTGGAAATCCTTAGTGTTCCTTGCCTTGTAGATGCATCACTCTGATATGTTTTCATCTCTACATCACCTCTCTTTTGAGTCTTCTACCTAATCTTCTGAGGACACTTGGATTTAGGGTCACCCTAATCAAAGATGATTTTATCTCAAGATCCTTAACTTAATTACAACTGCAAAGACACTTTTTCCAAATAAGTTCACATTCACAGATTCTAGATGGATATATCTTGGCTGAGATATATCCATCCAACATTCAACTCACTACAGGCATCATCCCAATTTATAACAGCTAATATTGCTCACAGTGCATTCTGATGTGAGACAGGCAGGCACTGGGAGATATGCTATGTGGACAAAAGTGGACCTATTTTTATATAATTTTGGTTTTTAAAAGCATTAATTGAGCCCTAGACTCAAGGAAGTGCCAATAATCTTCCCTTAGTCTTAGTCTGGTTGGCCCCAACTCCCTCTTCAGATCACAGCCCAGAGAGCACTCCTCAGAGACATCTCCTTGGCCAACTCATCTCATGAAGACCCCTTAGTTATTCAGTTCCATAGCAATCTATGCTTTCCCTCCGTAACACTACTCTCAATTGTAAATGGGTATTTATTTGTGTTTATTAATGCTCATCTTCTCCACTTGACAGTGCCTACCCTGACCCCCAAATATAGGCAACTCCATGTTGGTCTTATTCAGTGCTGTGTACCCAAAGACTCGCTGACCGAGCCTAGTAGATGTTCAATAATTATTTGCAATCAGTTCTCTCTTGCCGTATTTCTCCTTTTGTCCATCCTCTAGGCAAGGAAAATTCTCAGGGTGACTTCTCTGTGGCTGGAATCCATTCAGGCTTATCTCAAGTTTGAGAGACACAGAGAGAGACTGAGCAGAGGCTCACAAGCAACCAGCAGAATTGCCTCTGTGACCATCACTAGAACCATTGCTGAAGTATCCTGCCCACAGCTTTAAAGAATCAATTACATAGTAGCATCCTTTAACCCCACTTTCCTTCCTTCAAATTTCTCTCGTCTCAAATGTGCCTGAAAGTTGGATTCAGAATATAGACTTACTTTAAGAAAGCTAAATTATTTATTTTTGTTGCTAGTCATCCAAATATGTGTAAAGTTTCAAAAATAAGCATGTAAAACTGTGACCGCTCTACCTTAGAGAATGTGACTATATATTTTATGTTGAATTTCTTCTTAAAAGAGTAAGGTAGCTTTCTTAAAACTTAGAAAACCATAAATGTATAACTTCCCATTCAATTTTATAGTCATTTATAAAAACCTTCACTCCATTTTTATAGGAATCTCTGGAAGCCTGTAGAAATTTGATCCCTGTATCCAGAGTGGTGCACAACATTCTCACCCAACTGGAGAGGACTTTTAACCTGTCTCTTCTGGTGACATTGTTCAGTCAAATTAACCTGCGTGAATATCCCAATCTGGTGACGATTTACAGAAGCTTCAAACGTGGTAATGAGATTTCTCAAGTGCTTTTTGCATTTAAAAAGTTGCTATGGTAAAAGTCTGGGTTTACTTCTAGCCCTGTGGAATATGCACGTTAATCCCCCGCCTTCTCTCTGGGGTGGAATGGACCATATTCTCTCATTGGTACAGCTGCAGGAGCAGCCCCTTGCTAAAGCTGATCCCAACTCTCTAAGATGAACTTCTAGAGGACATAAACATTTCTTATGTGTTCTATGAATTTGGAAAAAAATCATACAATTTGGCATACTGGAAAATCTATAGGGAATGCATAAGGTGACAGAAATGCAAAGTTACAAAGATCAGGTCTGGTGGAAGGACAAGGAGAGCCAGGGAGGAAGAAAAAATGAATGTGGACGGATAATAATAAGTATCTTTTTTTGGTGCCTTATCGCAAACACTTTATTTGATTATCTCACATCATCTTTAAAACAACCCTTTGAAGTCATTTTTAACCCCATTTGACTGACAGAGAAATTAAAGCCCAGAGGTAATCTTCCCAAAATTACTTGTTGGTTAAGAAGCAGAGCAAGAGTCCTACTTGGGTCTCCCAATACCAGGGCCCAAGATTTTAACCACTAGTCCGGACAAGGACAGCTGGAAGGCAGATTGTAAAGCCAGAGAAGGGAAAAAAGGTAGCTACAGAGAAAGGGAGTGAATCGCAAACATAGCCACAGAAAGAGAGGGTCTGAGAAAGAATGGATCATGAAGTACGTAGAGAAAGAAAAGAGACTGGATAAATAAAGGAGTAGGAAAAAGAACAGTGGCAGAGTTGGGAAGAAATCAGCCAGGGAAAGAGAGAGGCAGTAAAGTCATTTTAGGTTGGAAGTAAAACACTGTGGCCAAATCACATGTTCACTTACCTCAGAACAACAAGCAAAGGACCACCAGCTCACATTGGATATTTTCATTAGTGGAATCACCATTGTTGACAGTTCCTCCTTTGCTCTCTGACACTTCACCATCAAAAGGCTTCCCCCTGAAGGGAGAGATGATTTCTTGAGCTACATGGACAGTGAAAGGGGCAAGTCCACCTCCAGGTAGGGGCAGCTACAGAGGGCCCACTGTCCTGGCAGCATCTGGGCAATACTAGGAGAGGCATGGCCTTAAAGGCTATGGTAAGAACATCTGAGAACCATGGGGACCCACACACTGATGTGCCCCTGACCTGGCTGAGCTTCAGTCATCTTCCGGGATCTTCAACCTGATGATTTTGTTCTGAATCCCTTTCCAAAATTTGAAGTTACTTTCCTTTTTCCATTCACTGGTTGAGACCATTTACTTCTGAAATAAATGATGGAGAAGAATCTTAAGAGAAACCCAGCACTAGCCATGCAAGGGAATAGCATGCAGAAAGCCAAGGGTCTGGGGTATTGTGGATGGGAGAGAAAGCTGGGTGTGACCAGATCACAGGGTACAATAGAAGGCACAGAAGCTGACTCTGCAGAAATGAGCAGAAACCAGAATATAAATGTCCTAATACACCCTGCTAAGGAATTTTTATTTTCTCTTATTTGCTTCGGGGAAGTATGATCTGTTTATTTATTAAAACAGAGACCTCTTTTAAAACTATAGCATGTTCATTATTGACTAAATTATATGACACCAAGATTAAAGAAAAGTTAAACCCCTGGGTACAAACCCAAACTCAACTTTTATGTGTGAAACCATTTTGGTATTAGATCAGGGCTTAGATGCACTTATTGTAGCACTCAATGCCCAAACCAGATAAATAAAATATTAAGGGGCCACAAATGGATAATGATGACAATGAATCAGTTCTCTGCACCTGGGGGACAATGAATAGCTCCATGCCCCCATCCTATTGGAAGGCATGTATTAAGAAATCCCCTTCCCCAAGTAATTCTGAGTCTCCAGGGTACTGATGTGTGTCCCTTCACCAATCCCAGTTGGTGCTTCCTATGAATGGCAGAGCAGAGACACACCAATCCTACTTGAAGCCCCAACTGGCCTAGCAGAAGGAAGCTCCCTCCATACCCCACTGGCGCTGCCCCCACCACAACCCCCTCAACCAAGCTGTTCACCCTGTGCGCCAAGAGTCAGTGAGCCTGGAACATCCTCCCAGCAAAGCGATGAGATCCTGAGTGAGTCGCCCAGCCCATCTGACCCTGTCCTGCCTCTCCCTGCACTCATCCAGGAAGGAAGAAGCACTTCAGGTGAGAAACAGATCCCATCCAACACCTGTATATCCTCAGCCTAAGGTGCCTGTGCCATGTTGCCGCCAATCCCAGCATCTTGACTTTTATTGTCCTAGTTCTTCTCTTGCACCCATCTACCCAAACACAACCCTTTTCAAGAGGGATTATGAGCACTGCCGGGGGGTGGGTAAGACCTAGAGTCCAGAACACCTGCTTCCCACTCCCGGGACATTCCAACCCTCTGCCCTTGTGCCTTGATGCTCTATCTGCCCCAGGCACTTTTAACATTCACTCTTCTCCCTGACATCCAGTCCCTGCAATCTGTAATAATTTCCTTTCCTCCTTCAGTGACCAATGACAAGTTAACATCCAAAATGAATGCGGAAGAAGACTCAGAAGAGATGCCCAGCCTCCTCACTAGCACTGTGCAAGGTAACACTGACTGGGGCTGATACCGCTTAGCTCAAGGTGACTGTGAAGGGAGAACATGCGTCTGCCAACCAAGAGGCTATGGTGGGAACCCTGGGAAAAAGAACTGAGCAATACAAAGGAAAAGAAACAGAAGGGGCCAATTCACCAACGCAGCAATGCAAAACAAACCAACAACCAAAACACCATTCTGAATTGACAAGTAACCTGCGTAACACTCACACTAGTGACCCTTAGCTGATTCCTCACCCCCACCTGATTATGGGGGCCTTAGAGTTTCAACATTCTTCATTTTTATATGGTTTGGATTCTAAGAACAATGTTATCAAAATTACTAGAAAAGATGATAAAATGTTTAAAGGTCTGCTAGACCTAATATTTAGCTTCTCAAATTGTATCACTTGTCCTCCCCAAACCATCATCATAATGGAGTTTGATTACATTAAACGTAAGAATGGTATGATATTGGGCATTGTCAAAAATGATACCATGGATTCTGAGCTCTCCAGTACTGAGAAGAGGGGTCCTCTTCGATCCAAATAATATTGCATCCACTCCTCTAATACCTACCATCCAAAAAGGTTAACATAATCAGGAAGCTAACAGCAATGGAAGAACAAGTGGCTAATTGAGAGTGAATGGTTGCTTACTTTCCCACTCTATGCCATCCTTTCCCAGGCCTTGGTTGCTGTTACCCCGTCATTTTTACTTGTTGGAATAGAGCATTCTCTTTTCTCCTCATTCTGGTCCCTGCTTGCTGTTCCTGAGATCTAAAACTTTTTCTTCCTCCATTCAGTGGCCAGTGACAACCTGATCCCCCAAATAAGAGATAAAGAAGACCCTCAAGAGATGCCCCACTCTCCCTTGGGCTCTATGCCAGGTAATCTTGGTTTGGTCAACCTAAAAGCTTGCCTTTGTTTCTGTGTTTACTAAGAGGAAAAGCCATTCGGATCTTCTAGAGAGGGGGCTCTCCTCCTGCCTCTCAGCAATCTTGGCCCAGCTTCCAGTTCACCCAGCACTTGGGAGCTTGAACAGGCAGGAGACCCGACCTCTGAATGGATACAGAGTCCCTGGGGGAGGGCAAAGGAGGCAAGTCTGGAAAAGGTAGACTTGGATAGGGCCACGGATGATGATGGACAGAGCCCCACCAGTGCCTGTAGGTTTGGACTCCAAATGCCACAAAGCGCCTGAAAGGGAAACATTCACCTGCCACAAAGGGTTGTGGCAGGAACCCCAGGGGAAAGCAAGGGAACTGAGTCAGGCTGGACTGTTTGACAGAGCCACTCTTCTGAGGCCACTTCAATAAAGTAGTGCTCAAAACGGCTCTGTCAAAATGCAAAGCAAATGAACAAAAACACTGTGTGGCCCTAATAGTGAATTGCTGCAGCAGACATGGATGGTCCTCCTTCCAAGCCCCCACCTGACTGTGGGGAATTTTCACTTTCAACCCTGGTCATTTCTATATCACTTGGAGTTTAAGAGTTGATATTATGAATATAACTTGAAAGGTAATAAATTATTCCAAAGATCTAATGACTGCTTGCCACCTGCCTCAGTCACCTATTCCTAAGCAGGCCAGCATTTGAGACCAATCTCAATGCAGTGTGTAAAGAAAAAGGTGACAGCTTCATGTGAGATGAGCCTTTATTTGTTATGGCTTCAAGTTCTCTGTCTTTCTTTGTGCAGCAAAAACTAGCAGAGCTTTATATGTCTTTGCTGTTAACAGGTGCTAGCAAGCACAGGCTAGCTCCTGCTTTCTTCAAACAATCCTTATATACAGAAATATATAAGGCATTTAGCCTTCTCCACTATTTCTCCAAGTAAAATAACCACAGATAGAGCAGTTAAAGAATATCCACACATAGACGTCAAAGCAATAAGATGTATTTTTCATACAGCAAAGACATTCCCCTTCATCATGGACATCAGATTTCAATATCACCACTTTCCGCTCTCAGCTTCATTCCTTGAGCAGGGGCTGCTGGGAGCAGAAACCATGTGACTATAGTCATGATACCCAGCACAGTTTATTCCTGCAATTTCCATTCATTGCACCTTCTTCACTCACTTCTCTTCCATCCATAAGATAATCTCTCTAAAAGGATCAGACTGAGCCTCTGCTGTGGGGCAGTTGTGCCCTAGTTCCCTGTGATGGTCGCACAGGTAACAATAACCACAAGTTGGCAAAAATCAAGACAGAGCCAGGGAATTCTTAGGGCAAGCAGATTCCCGGCCCTGGGCTGCATGTACTTTCTACTTTTCTAGTTCTTGCATTGACTTCCCTCAGCACTTTCTCTTCACTGGATCTGAGCTCTGAAATGACTTATATTTCTTTTGTCAGAGATAAGAGATAATTCTCCAGAACCAAATGACCCAGAAGAGCCCCAGGAGGTGTCCAGCACACCTTCAGACAAGAAAGGTAAGAAAAGCCTTTCTTCTGTAGAGGTCAGAAGGGTGAATTCAGAGTTGCTTTCTGTTTTTCTGACTGTATCTTGTCAAGAGCACCACTATGTGACCACAGTCCTGATGCCACACACAGTTCGTTTCTGCAGTTTCCATTTGCTGCATCTTCCAAAAAGGCCTTTATGAAAATTATCAGGAAACCAGAAGGCATTTGGGGGTATTGAAATATGCCATTGGAATTGCCTGTTCTGAAAAAATCAATCTCCTATATTCACAACTTCTTAGAGTGTTAATTGCACTTCCCTCTTTAACTGAAAGTTGGTTCCCCAGAGAGGAACCCACTTCCTCTTAAGACATGGCTAGGCATTCTCTGCCATCCATCACTCACACCTCATGGTGAGAGACAGGTTAGATGTCTGTCCTTTGCTGCCTACTGGCCCCATCCAGCCCCTTCCTCCCTGATCCTCTCCTTTGAGTCTTAACCATTCAATTAAAATGTTCACTCACTCATCATCAATATCATCCAATAATTTCCCCAATAATCCTTTCAAAAGCTGCTTTTCTGTCATTTCAAGTCCCAGCATCATCCTAGATGCCTTCAGGGTACACACGGATAACAGACAACTCTGTTATCCAATACTCTGGCCCCTCAAATCCTTCATCTTCTCATTTTCCATGACTTTTTCCTCCACCAATTCTTGGCCTCCCATACCCAAAGGCAAGCTATAGACCCTATCGTCATTCAAACCTGGCTCGATTTCCCAACAGTTAATTTCAGAATTCCTTTTTTGATACCTGTCCTTGAGCTTTTCTCCTTTTATAGCTATCATTCAACCTCTGATCACTCTTTCCCAGCCCAATCCTAACAAAAGAAAAAGAATCAAAAATATATTTTTCTGTGCTTATTTATTTGTTGTTTCCTCTGAAGTTGTCCTTCAACCTCATTTGGATCACCAGTCCACTGGCCTTTCCTCCTTCCAAGCCATCATCTGCTTTTCTTTGCTTCCCAGCTTTTTAACATTGACACTAACTCACAGTCCAAGATTCATCATTTCAGTAATCTATTGCCATTATCTTAAACCTGCCTTTCCTCTCTGCCTTTTCCTAGAACTCTCTGGCAAGTCTTGGAAGACCCTACTTACCTACTTCCTGTACACTGCATCTGAAAGCCAGCAGTGCTGGAGAGAGTTCCACAGCAGGGCAGAGTGCACTCACTGGTCTTCATGGTTCCAGCACAAATCATCTCTCCTTACTGTGTGACAATGCTACTTCCTGCAATAATCCTTTCAAACCTCAAGCCCTATTTTTCAAACCTCTGACCCCCTCACCTCCTGCTTTTTGCTCAATCAGTGACTTTCCCTCCTGCACCATAAGGAGATATCAGATGAGAATCCCCTTATTTGTGCTGCTAGTCCTACAAACCCTAACTACATCTGTCTCCCTCCTCTCCGAGTTCCCTCCTTCTCTTCTAAGACAATCCTTCTGCCTCATCTTATAGTATCCATGATCCCTTCTCTCTCAAGTATTCATTAAAGCAGTATGTCTCACACAAGAATCTGCATTACATGTATCACAGCTCATTAAAAAATGCTTTTTCTTGATTCTCATCTCACTTCAACTACTTCCATATCTCTCTCCTTCATTTCACAACCAAACTTCTAGAAATGAGCTACCTAAACTCCCTGTCTCTATTTCTTCGTTTCTCCTTTTCCTCTGTCATTTTAGAGTCCTTCTTCCCCTATTACTCCCTGAAGTACCATCACCTAAGGTCACCAATGAACTTCTAGCAATGTGGTTTGAAGACCAAAAGTAAAAGCTGAATATCATTGACATACAAGATTGGGAGATCAATGTTTGTAACTATAAAACATTATCCTTTCTTTTTAGGAAAGAAAAGAAAAAGATGTATCTGGTCAACTCCAAAAAGGAGACATAAGAAAAAAAGCCTCCCAGGAGGTAAGATGAGAGTACAAGAGGAAGCTGGAGGCTGGAAACAGCTCATGCAGGGCTTGTAGGTCAAGCTGTGGAGGGTTGAATTTTATTCTAAATGCAATGGGAAGCCATTGAAGAGATTTAGTCAGTGAAGTGACACAATGTAAGCTCAATTTTGCTACGGTGTAAAGAATGAGTTGGAGCTGGGAAAGAATGGAGGCAGGGCAGCCATTTTGGGGCAGATGCCATGAGAGTTCTTGGTGGCTTGGATTCAGATCTGACAGTGGAGATGCAGAGAAGAGTGCCAATTCAAGATCAGTTTTGCAGGTATTGTTGACAGGATTTGACATATTATTAGCTACAGATGAGAAAGAGAAAAATCAAGGCCCACTCTTCAATTTCTGGCTTGAACAAGTAAGTGGTAATGCCCATTGCTGAGGGAAGATGCAAATATATTGGGGGATAACTCTTAGAGTTCAATTATTGACCTGTTCCTTTAGAGGTTTCTGCTAGCCATCTATGCAGCTGTGTATAGATGTGTGTTTTGTCAAGAACTGTAAAGGGTCTAAGATGTTACTCCACTTGCATTGGTATCTCCTTATATATATGAGTGCTGCAGGAACACAAGGTATCTGGTCAGGGAAAATAATTCTTTACTGATATTCACAACCAGCTTATCAGCCAGAGCAATATTGCAGCGTCTGTCTCCCATACACAAACCCAAAGGCAATGCTAAGAGAGCTAATGGAATCTTTCTATTCAAAATAGACTACAACTCATGTATAAGGGATGTAGAATGATGGATTTTTCTGTTTAGATACATGAGAGGGATAGCCATCATCCTTTCCTCCTGAAAGGAAAAGAAAAAACTTTGCTGCTTTGAGATAAAATGGAAAAGATCCTCGTTCCAAAGCTCTCCATCCTAACCTTTGGAATTTAAATGCATCTTTCCAAAGGCCAGAGAAACTCTAGGTGTTGCTGGCTTTTACAACCTAAAGATGTCTCCAAGTTCTGGGCTTTACCCCTTGTGATATATAAATACCTAGGGAAAGACCACTCCAGTTTTCCTGGTACTTTAGGATTTAACCTAGGAAGCTAGTCCTGGGTGAACCCATTTGGCCATCTCAGGAGATAAGAGAGGTTCTATTCTCCCTCTAGATCAGAGTAATTAACTAGAAAAATAGCTATAGCTCTAATTCTCATGGTGTGGGAAGAGGAAAATGTTTCTGGGGAAGTGAAAGCAAGTATTTCCTATATTTATATTGCATACATTTCTGTGTCTCCGGGACTAGGGCTTTTTACAGGAACACTGAGAAATCAGGAAGTTATATTCCCCACAATATGGCAATTTGGCACTCACTGAAAAAGTGTGGTCCATATATATATATATATATATATATATATATATATATATATATAAAATCTGGACCAGATAATATATAATATCTGGACCAGATATATGTATATATATGAGTTATCAATAAAATAAAGGTATTCTGATCTATGGGAGAAGAAAAGAGAACCACAGACCTAGCCCTGCTCTAAGTAATCCCAGTGGAAGAGGAATCTAGCAAGACAGACTGAGGGAACGAGACCAGTGAAGACAGAGGAGCACCAAGAAAGAACATGTTAGCAAGCCAAGAGGGAATGGTTGACTATACTGAGAGACTAAGATAAATTCAGAGAAGAGGGCCTTGAGTTTGGTCACAAAGAATCACTGGAAAATTTAAGAAAAATTTTGGTGATGGAGGCAGGAGCCAGTTGTGTGGGAAGGATAATGAATGGGAGGTGATAACATATGTAGACAACTCTAGCTGTAAAAGGAAACAGAGCAATAGATGGCAGCCTAAGCCAGTGGCTTAAAGCTCCTCTTCCCTGACTTAGTTTATCATTAGTATGATCCCAGTGTCCAAAATCACAGGGCTGGTGTCCTTTTAAGACACTTAACAGAAATGATTCCATTCTAAGAAAAGTAAGTGACCTTCCTGGGCAGGAAGGAGAGACAAGCTGCTTTCTCCCCCATTCTACTTATTAGTCAATGCCCTCTCACCATGTTATGTGTATTCTCTATGGGCCTCCTTGGTTCATTGTAAACTAGTCAGATTATTCAACTCACACTTCTGAGCTTTGTCAATCACTCTCACAACTTCAATTACCACCTTTATACTGATGGCTCCCAACTCTACGTCTTCAACTCAGGTTTGTCTTCAAGAAACACATAGCCAGCTGCACACTGGGCGTCTTTGTTTGCAAGTCTCCCATTGACACTACAGTCTCAATATGCCTGAAATTAACTTCACCTTCTTTACCAAAAACCTAGTCTTCTAAGTACCATTCAGACATTTATTCCAACAAATATGCAGTGAGCACTAACTGTATATACCCATTCTGAAAGCTGAAGACAGATTTTTTTTTTAAAGAGAGAAAGTAAGAAAGTAAGCAAAAAACAAAGGGGAAAGCTCATGGAGGTTACATCCTGGCTGGGGGAAGGAAAGAATATAAACTAGAAAGCACATAAACAAGATAATTTCAAGTACTGATGACAGGATGAAAGAAAATAATGGATAGGATTACAATAGTGACTTGCAGGTTGGGGTGGGAGTCACTTTGGATTGGATGGTCCAGGCAGAGGGACTCAAAAGTGCAAAGAACCTGAGGCAGAGAGGAAAGACCAGTGTTGTTGGTGATGATGAAGAAAGAAGGTGGTAGGAAGTGAAAAAGTAAACAAGAATCAGATTATGTAGGGTTTCACAGGCCCTTGGGAGCCTGTTGTAGTTTAACTTGAAATGAGGAACTTAATCTACCCAGGTGCCAAGCAAAAACCTTAGTCATCCGTGACTAACTGAACTCTATTAGCATATTGACAAGGTCTATTGGTTCACCCTCTTCTTTTCTACATTAAAATCTAATTAGTTTATTTCCATGCTTAAATCTTGTCCATGGCCTCCTATTGCCCTTAGGGTAATGTTCACTGTCCTTAATGTGATTGTTAAAGTTCTATCCAGTCTAACTCATGCCTTACCCTCCAACTATTAATATATCTCTTTCCACTCAAAACTCCAGTCAACCACTCTGAACTTTCATTTCTTCCCATTTCATTTCTCTCCCCTTTGATCCTTGGCATGTGCTATTCTCTTTGGATGCTATATTCTGAACCTACACTACTCCCCATAAATGTTTAGTTATCTCCTTTTCATCAGTCGTGTTGACTTATGTCTATCTCAGGAATACATACTCTGACCCCTAAATTAGCCAAGCTGGTCCCATAATTTCTACAGCACCCAGCACTGGCTCTTTTGGAAGGTTCCAAATACTCTATTGTAATTACTTACATAATGTGTCTCTTCTAGGCTAGATGGTAATGTCCTGGCACAAATTAGCTATTAATTTTTTTTTAATGAAAAAAAAATGAAAGAAACCATACTTTCTGTAACCCAAAATTTGAATAATGATCTGACAAAGGATAGTTTATGAATTCATTATTGTGTTATGAAAAGGGGTCATAGACATTATGGGCACCACGTGGTGTAGATACAAACTAAAGGTTATTGGAGGGAAATTTCCAATACAATTCTCCAAATTCTTATTATCCCATATTTAGGGCAGACATACGTACTCTGCACACCCCGTGGCCAGCAGCCCAGTAGTGAGATGCCCACTCTCACAATGCTCTACACGTTATAGGATTAGGGAGACAGGGAATGTCTATGCAACTATACAATTATGAACACTCCCTGGTCAGAGAAGTGACTTTGTTAGAGAGGGGAAACCTCTGGAGTCAGTGTCAGATGGTCAGTTCTGTTGAGGTAACTCTGACCTTTTGACATCTCTCTGCCAAGCTACCGAAAGGAGTAGACTCCAGTCCCTTCCAGATTTGCCTTTCTTCATATTGTATTTAAATGAAATTTTTCAGGTTTTTTAAAAGAATCGTTTTATTTTAAATGTGACAGATGATGTGCTTTTAATTTTCTTTTTTCCAATTTTCCAATTTTTTACCTGGGTAAAATACACATGACATAAAATTTATCATCTCAACCATTTTTAGGTGCATAGCTCAATGGTATTAAAATACATTCACAATGTTGTGCAACCATCACCACCATCCATCTCCAGGACTCTTTTATCTTGTAAAACTAAAACCCTGTACCCATTAAACAACTCCCCATTCCTCCCTGCCCGCAGCCCAACAGAGATATTTTTAAGAGTCATATTATTTTACATTTAATTAATCAGCTTTATTTTTTACAAAACAAAACACATAAAAAGATGTTTCAAAATTGTAAGAGAAAAATATATATAGTAGTGCTGAAAATATACATACCACACTCTCATATTTTCTGTAAGTGTTCTCATCTCCGAAACCCTCCTTTAGTTATGCAGAAAAAAAACCCTAAACTTGGCAATGAAAGGCAAGTTTTAGGCTCTATCAGGCTGCCCCACCTCTTCTGGATAAATATTCAGTAACTTCCGTGTTTGAACTTCCCGCCAGCCCTGGGTCCCACCGGGCTTTCGCTTCCGCCCCCTCTTAAGGGTTCACCCATGCCTTTTCCTCCGGAAGTGGCCTGCGGATATCACCGCACTTGCGTGCGGGAAGCATGGCTGCACACTCTGTGTCCTTTCTAACCTGCAGAGAAACGTTCTTGTTCAACAGGACAGCGGTCATCCTGTGGGATCAGCTTCTAAAGTCAACAGCCGGTGAAAATTGTGTTCTTTTTCCACAATGAAGCAAACTCACCTCTGCACCCTCTGGCATTGCACCTCCTCTGGGTCTCAGCCTCACCTTCCATCTCTCCCTCATGGTAGCCGCCTTCTTGGCAGGGTCCTTCCCTCTCAGTTTTTTTAATACCTTGCACTTTGCCCACTGAAGGCACCTAGAAACTTTTGGAAATCTCTTGTACCACACACAGGCCGTGGGGGAACCTGGAGAGGTGCTTTATAAGACACCTCCTCTCCACCTAGACGAGACTGTGTGGCCACCTCGTGGTGCAGGCCGACACAAACGAAAATCAGGAAATAAGCTCTAGGATTTCCCCAGCTTTATCTAGTTGATTGCAACAGGTCATACCAGGAGTGAAAGCAGATGGTAATTTGGGGAGGCAAAGAAAGGTACACATAAGAAGAAGGATATAATTATAGAGAAGTAGGAGGAGAAAAGTGAGGTACAGGGGTACAGAGATCTGAAAGAGTGGGAGTTAGGGGCATGAGAAGGGAAGTCACTGATTGGGACTGTAGGAGGCTCACTGAAGACCCCAATTTAAACTATTAACAAGTCATTATTTGGTCCAGGGACAGCCTCATCTAGACACGGAATCCAAAAGAAGCTCAAAAGGGTGGATCAGGTTCCTCAAAAGAAAGATGACTCAACTTGTAACTCCACGGTAGAGACAAGGGCCCAAAAGGCGAGAACTGAATGTGCCCGAAAGTCGAGATCAGAGGGTAAGGCTGATGATGGAATCTGCCATTTGAATGGCTCAGTGTGGGAGGGTCTCTCCTGAAGCAGGTACAGAGTTAAGTAGATATGTAAAGTCAATAGTAAAAGGAAAAAGTACAGAGAATGAGGATGGGGTATAACAAGAGGAACAAAGAGAGCAAGCATCTGTTGCATCTGAAAAGTTTTGTGGAAGAAACAGACGTGTTCACAGGGACAGCTGTGGCCTGGGGCAGCAGCTCTCAAATTTTTTGGTCTCAGGACTCCTTTATGCTCTCAAAAATTATTGAGGACCCTAAGGAGCTTCTGTTTATGTTGTTTATGTCTATCTACATGTACCTGATTAGAAATTAAAACTAATAATTTTAAAATATTAATTCATGTAAAAGTAACAATAATAAACCAATTGCCTGTTAACATAAATAGCATTATTTTATGAAAAGTAAATATATTTTCTAAAACAAAAAAAATTAGTGAAAAGAGTGACATCATTTTATGTTTGTGCAAATCTCTTTGATTGTGAGTGAGCTTTATAAAAAGACAGCTGGATTCCTACAACTGTTTCTGCATTCAGTTGTGATATGTTGCTTTGATTGAAGGATAGAAAGAAAATCTGGCCTTACACAGATATCTAGTTTAAAAGGGTGAGGTAATTTAACAGTCTTTTGAGATATCTGTGGATATTCACCTTTAATACTACACCAACACTCAACAAGTGATAGTTTCTTAAATATTAGTTGTAATGTAAAATTTGAAACCATATCAATTAACTTCATACTCTGTTACAATAAAATACATTAATCCACCTTGCATTTTGAATGGACCTTCTACTAATGCAAGATTTTATAATAGTACAGCTGTTTGGAAAATATACATTTGGAATTATACAGTGAGCTTGTATCTCAATCACACAAGTGTTTTCTTGAGGCCACTGTGGTACTTCAGGATGCAATAGAAGTGCTTTATATGTGCTCTTCAGTTTTTCACATAGAATATTAAGATGTCAGATATGTACTCAAGGGTAGAAATTTAATAAAATTAATAATTTTTACTGGCTCACCAAAAACATTCTCAAGTGAATCTTGCTTTTATTTTTATTTTTTTTGGTACAGTGAGTAGGTGGCAATAAAGGATGCAGTGATTCCTGCTGAGATTTGGGGACACTGCTTTGATGTGTCTTAAGGCACCAGCAGTTTTATCTGCCATTGCTCTTGCTCAATCTGTACAAAGGTTGAAATAGTGAAAAAGGCAAATAACATCATATTATGAAAACAATTTGACCTTGCAAATTTTCTGAAACGGTTTGACAGACCCCCTAGGGGCTCACAGACCTTACTTTGAGAGACTCTGGCCAAGGGGTTCAGATGGCTGCACCCCACTGTGGATGTCTCCATTGGTAGAGTAACCACTGCTAACCAACTGCGGTCTGCTCCTCCCCTGAGTGGCAGACAGGCACAGTGTCATGAGCAGCACCAAATCTCTTGGTAGATGCATTGTTAGGAGGGTAAGACCTGGAGCCTCCAAGACTCAACTTCAGAGTGTGCAAGGGCCTTCCTGGGTCTCTGGGAGATTCTCCATGGTGTTTCCCAAGGGGCATTTACTAAGATCTTTCATTTTCCAGAGATCATTGATGGCACTTCAGAAATGAATGAAGGAAAGAGGTCCCAGAAGACGCCTAGTACACCACGAAGGGTCACACAAGGTAAAACTTGGAGATTGCTGGTCTCAGAGTACAGTCACCAGGAATCTAAATTCAGAGCTGTCTTACACTGAGGCAATATTTCTTAACTTTTTTTTTTCATTATTACTGTGCTAGAGAGCCCTTCTGGATTTTTTTTTCTTAATCAAGACCCTTCCCATGATATTTACTACTACAAATATATGTCCATTTTATGTAATGTGTCCATATGTATGTATGTATATCTGCACTATATAAGATTTTTCTCAGCACTCAAGAATGAGTTTTTCCACTACTGGCAGCAATATCACCATTACTGAGAATGAGTGTCCTAAGTATATTCATGGTACTATACTGAAAGTACAGCTTGTCGAAAGTGCAGCTTGATCCAACCCATGGATCAAGCTTTTTCCTAGAATTCCAATCTCCATATTTCTCATGTGGCCTTTCTGAGAAAATTGAGAAGCGAAAAACTCATTAAAACACACATGTGACACTATGACTGAGCATGTACAACTGGTGGAGTTGTGGGCATGTGCTGGTAAAATTGTGCATGTTAATTCACCCCTCACTATCGCTACCATTATTCACATTTCTGGAGTAAGTTGATAACACTATCCTTAGAGGGGAAAAAACAGCTAGATATTCGTCTGTTTGCTGGTGATATGGTCATTGTCACAAAAATCACAGAACTCTCACATGACAAATGTGATTTTCAAACAACAAATATCTAATTATTGTCAGGAAAAATGGATTAAATTTTACCACCTTAAAATCTAAATTATCATTTTAACAGTTTCTCCTATATTGCACTGGCTTATCTAGTAGTATTTCAACTTTTCTCATGGATAATTTTATTTTATTTTCACAACCACCCTTGGAGAAGATTGAATGACCTATTCCAATTTAGCAGATGAGGAAATTAAGATATGGAAAGGATTAATGGATTTTTTTCAGGATCCCCTGGGTAAGGGCTGGCTGCCACCGGGTTAACAACCTGGTCCCCAGGAACTCTTTTCAGGAGCCATCGTTCTCCATAGAAAGGAAGGGGCAGAAAGAATACTGTCAAACCTTTGTCAATTCACTATTGCCCAAAATAGAAAACTGCTTATTCAAAAATTACTTTCTCATTACTTCCAAGATCCTATGGATAATGGAAATAAACTCTCTCTGGGAAAATCTCCCAGGGCAGAGCATAAGTGTGAAGAAGAAACTATTTGGTCTCTGTGGTGTGGATTGATGTTACCTTACTGTTATTATGCCATTCTAGGCCATAAAAGACATCCAAGCCAGAAAAAGCGTTATGCTTTTTAAAATCATGATTTCACTTTTTTTCAACATAGAAAAGTTCCTGGACTTTTCTAAAAGCAGTGTGCTGTCACCATTAGGATTATGTTGCTGGCCCAGCACAGTGGCTCATGCCTATAATCCCAGCACTTTGGGAAGCTGAGGTAGGTGAATCACTTGAGGCCAGGAGTTCGAGACCAGCCTGGCCAGCATGATGAAACCCTGTCTCTACTAAAAATACAAAAACTAGCCAGGCGTGGTGGTGGGCGCCTGTAATCCCAGCTACATGGGAGGCTGAGGAAGGAGAATCGCTTGAACCCAGGAGGCAGAGGTTGCAGCGAGCCAAGATCACACCACTACACTCTAGCCTAGGTGACAGAGTGAGACTCTGTCTCAAAAAAAAAAAAAAAAAAAAAGAGGATTATGTTGCTGTGTGTGACAGCAAACCTCACCCCACTAAAAAAAAAAAAAAATAATAATAATAATAATAATAGTAGCTAAAGCAAGAGAGGTAGGTGGTCAAGAGCTGGTGTCATACACTGTAGGGTCCTGGGCTTATTCTTGCTTGTTGCTCCATCATCCTCAGCATGTGGCTCCATCATCCTCAGCATGTGGCATCCCCTTTATTGAGGTCCAGCCAGCATGTCTATGTTCCAGCTAAAGAGAAAATGGCAAAGTCAAAGAAGGGCACACCTCCTCCACTGAAGGACTCTAAATGCTTCCGGTCACAGATAGTAATTTGCTATCATTAATAATTTGCTATTGGGAGGCCGAGGTGGGTGGATCACTTCAGGTTGGAAGTTCAAGACCAGTCTGGCCAACATGGTGAAACCCCATCTCTGCTAAAAATACAAAAAAAATTAGCTGAGCCTGGTGGTGTGCACCTGTAATCCCAGCTACTCAGGAGGCTGAGACAGGAGAATTGCTTGAACCCAGGAGGCAGAGGTTGCAGTGAGCCAAGATCATGCCACTGCACTCCAGCCTGGGCAACAGAGCAAGACTCCATCTCAAAAAAGAAAAAAAAATTCTATCATTTTATTGCCAGGACTGGTTGCACGGCCACACCTGACTTCAAAGGAGGCTGGGAAATGTAATCTTTAATCTATAAGAATAAGGGGCTCAGAATCAGGGGCTTTATTACTAAAGAAAAAGGGAGACCAGAGAAAGAGGAACAACTAGCAGTGCTCACCCTGCCCATGTTTATGGTGGGCATTATGACTGCCCTCCTCTAGTTCCAATTCTTCTCCCCTTCCCAGACACTTGGAAAGCTCCATTATCATCCCCCTTGCAGGAGGCAGCTCTGCTATACTAGCTCTGGCAAATAAGCCAGAGAGATGGGTGTCACTTCTGGGTCACAGCATGTAAGAGCCCATTGCAGCTCTCCACATTCTTTTCCCGCCTGTGGAAGTGTGTGGAAGAGGGAGGCGCCAGAAGGCCAAAGCAGCATGACCTACCACATAGAGGACAGCAGCCCTGGAGGGCCCTACAGAGGACTTCCAGTCCTACAGAGGGTCCTATTGTCCTACAGAGAACTTCATGTGATAGAGAAATACACTTTTCAATGTTAAACCACCAAAATTTGGTTTCATTTGTTACTGCAGCACAGCCTACCCTGTCTTGTGTGATACAATATTCCTAATAAAATCTTCAGTGTAGAAAATTGTAAATCAGGCTAGGCATGGTAGCTCACACCTGTAATCCCAGCACTTTGGGAGGCCAACATGGGAGAATTGCTTGAGCCCAGGAGTTTGAAACCAGCTTGACAATGTAGTAAGACCCTGTCTCAAAACAAAGAAAAAGAAAATTATATGGGGAAAGGATTCCCTATTTAATAAATGGTGCTGGGAAAACTGGCTAGCCATATGTAGAAAGCTGAAACTGGATCCCTTCCTTACACCTTATACAAAAATTAATTCAAGATGGATTAAAGACTTACATGTTAGACCTAAAACCATAAAAACCCTAGAAGAAAACCTAAGCAATACCATTCAGGATATAGGCATGGGCAAGGACTTCATGTCTAAAACACCAAAAGCAATGGCAACAAAAGACAAAATTGACAAATGGGATCTAATTAAACTAAAGAGCTTCTGCACAGCAAAAGAAACTACCATCAGAGTGAACAGGCAACCTACAAAATGGGAGAAAATTTTCGCAACCTACTCATCTGACAAAGGGCTAATATCCAGAATCTACAATTAACTCAAACAAATTTACAAGAAAAAAACAAACAACCCCATCAAAAAGTGGGCGAAGGATATGAACAGACACTTCTCAAAAGAAGACATTTATGCAGCCAAAAAACACATGAAAAAATGCTCATCATCACTGGCCATCAGAGAAATGCAAATCAAAACCACAATGAGATACCATCTCACACCAGTTAGAATGGCAATCATTAAAAAGTCAGGAAACAACAGGTGCTGGAGAGGATGTGGAGAAATAGGAACACTTTTACACTGTTGGTGGGACTGTACACTAGTTCAACCATTGTGGAAATCGGTGTGGTGATTCCTCAGGGATCTGGGACTAGAAATACCATTTGACCCAGCCATCCCATTACCGGGTATATACCCAAAGGATTATAAATCATGCTGCTATAAAGACACATGCACACGTATGTTTATTGTGGCACTATTCACAATAGCAAAGACTTGGAACCAACCCAAATGTCCAACAACGATAGACTGGATTAAGAAAATGTGGCATATATACACCATGGAATACTATGCAGCCATAAAAAATGATGAGTTCATGTCCTTTGTAGGGACATGGATGAAACTGGAAACCATCATTCTCTGCAAACTATTGCAAGGACAAAAAACCAAACACTGCATGTTCTCACTCATAGGTGGGAATTGAACAATGAGAGCACATGGACACAGGAAGGGGAACATCACACTCTGGGGACTGTTGTGGGGTGCGGGGAGGAGGGAGGGATAGCATTAGGAGATATACCTAATGCTAAATGACGAGTTAATGGGTGCAGCATACCAACATGGCACATGTATACATATGTAACAAACCTGCACATTGTGCACATGTACCCTAAAACTTAAAATATAATAATAAAATTTTAAAAAAAAGAAAATTATAAATCATAAAGTTAAACATCTATTTAATCTGCTTCCCCCACTTTATTTTTGTATAAGTATGCATACATTTTTCTTTTTATATATAAGCTCATACTATATAGTCTATTCTATAAATCACTTTTTTCATTGTGTATCATCTCTGTATCAATGTTATCTATTTTTTTAACTGCATGGCACGTTACGTATGATTCACCGCAATTTGTTTAAATAATCACCTACTAGTGGACAGTTTATTTCTTATTTTTATATGAAAATAGAAATCAGGTTTGTGTGTATTTGTATCTTTGCACACTTGTCCAATAATTTCCTTAGAATTGATTCTTAAACACAAGCTTACTTGGTTAAAATCTATATCTTAATTATACATGTTACCAATTTGCTGTCCAGAAAACATAATGATTTATATTCCCTTTAACAATATATGAGTATTCATTTCCTACATCCTCAATGCTGGATGTAATAAAACTTTTTAAATGTTTAGGTATCCTTAACATCCAAACAATGAGTTTCTTTGATTAGTAGTAATATAGAGATGATTTCTAAATAAATTTGTCATCTTCATTTCCTCCTTGAGCATTTTTAACTTATATTTTTTGCTTATTTTCCTAGATTACCATTCATCTTTTGCTTTATCTAATAAGGATATTAACCTTCTATATGCTATGTATATTTAAATTTTGTTTTTGCTTTAATAGTGTCGGGGTGTTTTTTGAACTGTGAACAGTTTTTTTCAGTCCTGCTCCTTCTGTATATTTTTAATTTTTTAAACATTCAAATCTGTTTATCTCATAACTGTGTAATTTCTGGCCCTGAATTTTGGCTAGGAAACCTTTTAATATCCATGGTTTATAACAATCTTTGTCTAGTCTTGAAAAACTGCTTATTAATTTTAAAATTAATAAGGCATGCCGGCTCATGCCTGTAATCCCAGCACCTTGGGAGGCTGAGGCAGGAGGTTCACTTGAGTCCAGGAGTTCAAGACCAGCCTGGCCAACATGGTGAAACCCCGTCTCTACTAAAAATGCAAAAGTTAGCCTGGGGGTGCATACCTGTTATGCCAGCTACTCAGGAGGCTGAGGTGCGATAATCACTTGGACCCAGGATGTGGAGATTGCAGTGAGCTGAGATTATGCCACTGCACTCCAGCCTGCATAACAGAACAAGACTCTGTCCCCAAAAAACTTTTTAAATGACATATATTAAATGTTAGTCCTCTAGTATATTCCTGATCCATCTTTATTCAATCCCCTAATTCAATTTCCAGCTAAAATGGAGTACTTTTTTCACATAGGTCACATGGTTTTCTTGCCTTCTCAAAGTCAGGGAAAACAGGAAAAAAATTACTTAAAAAAGTAATGACATTGCAGGTTTGTAGATCAATATTTGTAGCCATAAAAGATGTGGGTTTTTTCTTTTTTAGAAAAAAGGAGAAAAGAATATGGCCAAGTTCAAAAAGAAAACAGAAAAAAAAAATGCCCAAGACATAAGGAAGAAAAGTGAAATTGTTACTCTCTTGGTGTTTATCAGGCCCCTCACCTGACCAGCTGGCATGACCTCCTCTCCAGCCACATGTGCCTGGAGCACAGCCAGCCCCAACCTTGTCCCCTAGGCCACCCCATCAGTAGACTCCCCAACAAAGGAAGAGCAAACCTAACACCAACTTGGTTTATACCTAGTCTTCTTTTCTCTTATCATAGGGAGGGAATGGGGTTGAGGTGGACATGAGGCATCAGACAATTTTGAGATTAGAATTGTTTCCTGTCTAGGGTCAGAGCCCAGAAGAATAGACACAAGAAACCTAAATCCCCAAGCAGGATTCAGACTTTCAGTTCCAAACTGGATTAGATTTGGAGTCATAGAGTGTTCAGAACTACCTCAGTCAACCCATGCTTGCTTGCATGCCTGCATGCATGTGTCTACTCCAGTGCACAAACTGTGTTACTTGCAGAATAAGAAACAAAAAAGCTGCATTTTTCTGGTTCCTCTGCTTCATCCCACTTTTCTTTTTCTCCTCTGTATTCTCTCCCTCTTCCCTTTCTGTTCCTTTCTTTTTCCCTTTTTCTTTTTTTAATTTATTTTGTAAATTTTTTGTATAGACCAGGTCTTGCTATGTTGTCCAGGCTGGTCTTGAAATCCTGGCCTCAAGTGATCCTCTTGCCCTAGCCTCCCAAAGTTCTCGGATACAGGTGTGAGCCCCTGCACCTGGCCCCTTTTTCTTTATTCTTTTACTCAAAATTATTCACAAAGGGCCTAAGATATGCCGGTCAGTGGGGATTCTCTTGGATTCTGTACCTTTATGGGAGCCAGCCTGGGAAGAGATCTTGTCCCAGCTCCCAAACATGAATTAGGACATGAGGCTCACTGCTTTGGAAAGCCCTCTAATTTTTCTGCTTGTTCCCAGCATGCCTCAATCTTGGGGTTTGGCCTAGAAGGAAAGTCATATCTGCCTGCTTGCACTTCCCCTCCCTGGCCTCTTCTTCCTAGTTCCCCACCCCACTGCCTCCCTAGGCTGGAGGAAACATACTCTCTGTCATTTGCTGAGTGTTCACTACCAATGACTTATAGGAAAACTTGACATTCAGACCTCCAAAGTTTTCTTTTGATAGGTACAGGTAATTTTTGGAATTTATAAATTCCTCTTTGCTCCCAACAAATACTGTGCTTCAAGATTTTGTCTAAGCTTGCCAAAATGGCCCCAACTGAGCAGTGGCTTCTCAATTCTAGCAAGCATCTGCCCTCCCCCTGAAACCTATTGATGTAATAGTCAGGGAAATCTTTACTATTTGCAAGGATGAAAAATACATGATTCCTCAGCAGAAACCTTACAAGCTGGAAGGGATTGGAGTCTTATCTTTAGTCTCCTTAAACAGAATAACTCTCAGCCAAGAATTTTGTATCTGGCAAAGCTAAGTTTTATGAATGAAGGAGAAATAAAGTCATTTTTAGACAAACAAATGCTGAGGGAATTTGTCACTACCAGACCAGCTTTATAAGAAATGCCAAAAGGAGTTCTAACTCTTGAAACGAAAGATTGATATGCACCAGAATACAAACTCTTGAAAGCATAAAACTCACAAGGTCTATAAAACAATAACACAATGAAGAAAACAACGTATGTAGGTAACAATTAACATGATGACTGAAACAGTACCTCACATCTTGATATTAATGTTCAACATAAATGGGCCTAAATGCTCCACTTAAAAGATACAGATTGGCAGAATGGATACAAAATCACAAACCAAATATCTGCTATCTTCAAGAGACTCACTTAACACACAAGGACCCATATAAATTCAAGGTATAAGGGTGAAAAAAGATATTCCATGCAAATGGAAACCAAAAGTAAACAGGAGTAGCTTTTCTCATATCAGATAAAACAGACTTTAAAGCAACAACAGTAAAAAAAGGCAAAGAAGGTCATTATATAATGATAAAAGGATCAATCTAACAGGAAGATATTACAGTCCTAAATTTAGATGTAGCTAACACTGGAGCTCCCAGATTCATAAGACATTTACTACTAGACCTAAGAAAAGAGATAAGACAACAACACAATAATAGTGGGGAACTTCAGTATTCCACTGTCAGCACCAGAGAGATCATTGAGACAGAAAGTCAAAAAAGAAACAATAGATGTAAACTACACTCTAGAACAAATGGACCTAATAGATATTTACAGAAGATTACATTCTTCTCATCAGCACATGGAACATTCTCCAAGATAGACCATATGATAGCCACAAAACAAGTCTCAATAAATTTTTATAAATTGAAATTATAGTTTGATGGGAATAACATTGAATCTATAAATTACTTTGGGCAGTATGGCCATTTCCAAGATATTGATTCTTCTTATCCATGAAGATGGAATGTTTTTCCATTTGTGTCCTCTCTTATTTCCTTGAGGAGTGGTTTGTAGTTCTCCTTGAAGAGGTCCTTCCCATCCTCTGTTAGCTGTATTCCTAGGTATTTTATTCTCTTTGTAGTGATTGTGAATGGTAGTTCATCATGATTTGGCTCTCTGCTTGCCTATTGTTGGTGTAAAGGCATACTTGTGATTTTTGCACATTGATTTTGTATCCTGAGACTTTGTTGAAGTTGCTTATCAGTTCGAGAAGTTTTTGGGCTGAGATGATGGGGTTTTCTAAGTATATAATCATGTCATCTGCAAACAGAAACAACTTGACTTCCTCTCTTCCTATTTGAATACGCTTTATTTCTTTCTCTTGCCTGATTGTGCTGGCCAGAACTTCTAATACTATGTTGAATAGGAATGGTGAGAGAGGGCATCCTTGTCTTGTACTGGTTTTCAAAGGGAATGCTTCCAGCTTTTGCCCATTTTATATGATATTGGCTGTGGGTTTGTCATAAATAGCTCTTATTATTTTGAGATATGTTCCATCAATACCTAGTTTATTGAGAGTTTTTAACATGAAGGGATGTAGAATTTTATCAAAGGCCTTTTCTGCATCTATCAAGATAATCATGTGGTTTTTGTCTTGGTTCTGTTTATGTGATGGATTATGCTTATTGATTTGTGTATGTTGAACCAACCTTGCATCTCAGAGATGAAACCGACTTGATCATGGTGAATAAGTTTTTTGATGTGCTGCTGGATTTGGCTTGCCATTATTTTATTGAGGATTTTCGTATTGATGTTCATCAGGGATATTGGCCTGAAATTTTCTTTTTTTTTGTTGTGTCTCTTCCCAGTTTTGGTATCAGGATGATGCTGGCTTCATAAAATGAGTTAAGGAGGAGTTCCCTCCTTTTCAATTGTTTGGAATAGTTTCAGAAGTAATGGTACCAGCTCCTCTTTGTATTTCTGGTAGAATCAGCTGTGAATCCATCTGGTCCTGGGTTTTGTGTTGTTGGTAGGCTATTAATTACTGCCTCAATTTCAGAGCTTGTTATTGGTCTATTCAGGGATTCAACTTCTTCCTGGTTTAGTCTTGATAGGGTGTATGTGTCCAGGAATTTATCCATTTCTTCTAGATTTTCTAGTTCATTTGTGTAGAGGTGTTTATAGTATTCTCTGATGGTAGTTTGTATTTCTGTGGGATCAGTGATGATATTCCCCCTTATCATTTTTATTCTGTCTATTTGATTCTTCTCTCTCTTCTTTATTAATATGGCTAGTGATCTATTTTGTTAATTTTTTCAAAAAACCAGCTCCTGGATTCATTGATTTTTTGAGGGTTTTTTGTGTCTCTATCTCCTTCAATTTTTCTCTGATCTTACTTATTTCTTGTCTTCTGCTAGCTTTTGGATTAGCTTGCTCTTGCCTCTCTAGCTCTTTTAATTGTGATGTTAGGGTGTCCATTTGAGATCTTTCTAGCTTCCTGATGTGGGCATTTAGTGCTACAAGTTTTCCTCTTAACACTGCTTTAGCTGTGTCCCAGAGATTCTGGTATATTGTCTCTACATTCTTCACAGAATTAGAAAAAAAAACTATTTTAAATTTCATATGGAATCGAAGAAGATCCCATATAGCTAGGACAATCCTAAGCAAAAAGGATAAAACGGGATGCATCCCACTACCTGACTTTGAACAATACGACAAGGCTACAGTAACCAAAACAGCACGGTACTGGTACCAAAACAGACATATAGACCATGGAGCAGAACAGAGACCTCAGAAATAACACGACACATCTACAACCATCTGTTCTTCAACAAACCTGACAAAAACAAGCAATGGCAAAAGGATTCCCCATTTAATAAATGGTGCCAGGAAAACTGGCTATCCATATGCAGAAAACTGAAACTGGACCCCTTCCTCACATCTTATACAAAAAATAACTGAAGATGGATTAAAGACTTAAATGTAAAACCCAAAACCATAAAAACCCTAGAAGAAAACTGAAGCAATATCATTCAAGACATAGGCATGGGCAAAGTCTTCATGATAAAAAAGCCAAAAGCTATTACAACAAAAGCCAAGATTGACAAATGGGAATTAATTAAACTAAACAGCTACAGCACAGCAAAAGAAACTAGAAATAGAGTGAACAGGCAACCTACAGAATGGGAGAAAAATTTTGCAATCCACCCATCTGACAAAGGTTTAATATCCAGAATTTACAAGGAACTTAAACATATTTACAAGAAAAAAACAAACAACTCCATCAAAAAATGGGCAAAGGATATGAACAGACACTTCTCAAAAAAAAAAAAATTTACGTAGCCAACAAACATATGGAAAAACGCTCAACATCACTGATCATCAGAGAATTGCAAATCAAAACTGCAATGAGAGACCATCTCATGCCAGTCAGAATGACAATTATTAAGAAGTCAGAAAACAATAGATGCTGGTGAGGCTGTGGAGAAATAGGAATACTTTTACACTGTTGGTGGGAGTGTAAATTAGTTCAACCATTGTGGAAGACAGTGTGGTGATTCCTCAAGGATGTAGAACCAGAAATACCATTTGACACAGCAATCCCATTACTGGGTATATATCCAAAGGAATATAAATCATTCTACTGTAAAGACACATGCACATGTATGTTTATCGCAGCAGTATTTACCATAGCAAAGACGTGGAACCAACCCAAATGCTGGATAAAGAATCCAGCATTTAGACTGGATAAAGAATATGTGGTACATATACATCATGGAACACTATGCAGCCATAAAAAGTAATAAGATCATGTCCTTTGCAGGTACATGGATGAAGCTGGAACCCATCATCCTCAGCAAAGTAACACAGGAACAGAAAACCAAACACCGCATGTTCTCACTCATAAGTGGGAGTTGATCATTGAGAACACATGGACACAGAGAGGGGAACAACACACACCAGGGCCTGTTGGGGTGTGGGTGGTGAGGGGAGGGAACTTAGAGGATGGGTCAATAGGTGCAGCAAGCCACCATGGCACATGCATACCTATGTAAGAAACCTGCATGTTCTGCACGTGTGTCCCATTTTGGGGGGTTTTTTAGAAGAAAAAAATTGAAATTATATTAAGTATCTCCTCAGATCACAGTGGAATAAAACTAGAAATCAACTCCAAAAGGAACTTTCAAAACCATAACAAATAAATGGAAATTAAATAATCTGCTCCTGAATGATTTATGGGTTAACACTGAAATTAAGACGGAAATTAGAAAATTATTTGAAATGAATGGTAACAGTGACATAAATTATCAAAACTTCTAGGATACAGCAAAAGCAGTGCTTTTAAGAGGAAAGTTCATAGCGCTAAATGCCTACATCAAAAAGTCTGAAAGATCACAAATTGACAACCTAATGTCATGCCTCAAGGAACTAGAGAAACCCAAAGCTAGCAGAAAAAAAGAAAGATGAGAGAAGAATGAAATAAAATTGAAACAAAAAATAAAAAAGATCAATTAAACAAAAAGCTGGTTCTTTGAAAAGATAAACAAAATTGATAGAACATTAGCCAGAGTAACCAAAAAAAAAGAGAGAAGTTTCAAATAAACTCAACTAGAAATGAAACTGGAGACATTACAACTGACACCACAGAAATACAAAAGATCATTCAGGACTACTATGAACACCTCTATGCACAAAAACTAGAAAAATCTAGAGGAAATAAATAAATTCCTGGAGACATACACCCCTCCTAGATTAAATTGGGAATAAATAGAAACCATGAACAGACCAATAACAAACAGTGAGATTGAATCCAGCAGCCCATCAAAAATATAATACACCATGATCAAGTGGATTTAATCCCAGGGATTTAGGGATGGTTTAACACATGCAAGTCAATAATGTGGTACATCACAAAAACAGAATTAAAAACCATAGATCATTTCAATAGATGCAGAAAAAACATTTGATAAAATCCAGCATCCCTTTAGATAAAGATCCTCAACAAACTAGGCATAGAAGGGGCTTACCTCAAAGTTATAAAAGTCATATATGACAAACCCACAGCCAATGTGATACTAAATGGGAAAAAATCTAATGCATTCCCCTGGAGAACTGGAATAAGACAAGGATGCCCACTTTCACCACTTCTATTCAACATAGTACTAGAAGTCCTAGCCAGAACAATCAGAAAAGAGAAAGAAATAAATGACATCCAAATTGGAAAAGAAATCAAAGTATCACTGTTCCCTGATTATATGATCATATACCTAGAAAACCCTAAAGACTCCTTCAGAAGACTCCTAGATTTGATAAATGAATCCAGTAAAGTCTCAGGTTACAAAATCAAATGTACACAAATTAGCACTGCTATACACCTACAGTGACCAAGCTGAGAATCAAAGCAAGAACTCAATCCCTTTTAAAACAACTTCAACAAAATAAAATAAAATACCTAGGAATATACTTATCCAAGGAGATGAAAGATTTCTACAGGGAGAACTACAAAACACTGCTGAAAGAAATCATAGATGACACAAACATATAGAAACACATCCCATGTTCATGGATTGGAAGAATCAATATGAAAATGATCACACTGCCCAAGGCAATCTACAGATTGAATGCAATTCTTATCAAATATCAACATCATTTTTCACAGAACTGGAAAAAAAATCTTAAAATTCATATGGAACCAAAAAAGAGCCTGCAAAGCCAAAGCAATCCTAAGCAAAAAGAACAAATCTGGAGGCATCACATTACCAGACTTAAAATTATACTACAAGGCTATAGTTACCAAAACAGCATGATACTGTTATAAAAGTAGATACATCGACCAATGGAACAGAATAGAGAACTCAGAAATAAAGCCAAATACTTAAAACCAACTGATCTTTGACAAAGCATACAAAAACATAAATTGGGGAAATGACACCATATTTAATAAATGGTGCTGGGAAAACTGGTTAGCCACATGTAAAAGAATAAAACTGGATCCCTATTTCCCACCTTATACAAAAATTAACTCAAGATGGATCAAAAATTTAAACCTAAGACCTGAAACCAGAAAAATTCTATAAGAAAACCTAGGAAAAACTCTTCTGGACATTGGCCTAGGCAAAGAATTCATGACTGAGACCCCAAAAGCAAATGCAACAAAAACAAAAATAAATAAATGGGACTTAATTAAACTGAAACGCTTCTTCGTAGCAAAGGAAATAAACATCAGAGTAAACAGACAACCCACAGAATGGGAGAAAATATTTGCAAATTATGCATCCAATGAAGAATTAATATCCAGCGTCTACAAGAAACTCAAACATTATAGAAAAAAATCCCACAAAAAGTGGGCAAATGACATTAATAGACATATTTCAAAAGAAGATATTCAAATGGCCAAGAAACATCTGAAAAAATGCTCAACATCACTAATCATCAGGGAAATGAAGATTAAAACCACAATGAGATACCACCTTACTCCTGCAAGAATGGCCATTATTAAGAAGTCAAAAAAAAATAGATGTTAACATGGACGTGGTGAAAAGGGAATGTTTATACACTGCTGGTGGGAGTGCAAATTAGTACAACCTCTATGGAAAACAGTATGGAGATTTCTTAAATAACTAAAAGTAGATCTACCATTCCATCCAGCAACCCCACTACTAGGTATCAACCCAAAGGAAAATAAGTCATTATATCAAGAAGACACCTACACACATGTTTATTGCTGCATAATTCACAATTGTAAAGATAGGGAACCAACCTCAGTGCCCATTGACCAATGAATGTGTAAAGAAAATGTAGTATATATACACCATGGTGTATTACTCAGCCATAAAAAAAGAATGAAATAATGTCTTTTGCAGCAACTTAAATGGAGCTGGAGGCCATTATTCTAAGTGAGGTGATGGAATGGAAAACCAAATACTGTATGTTCTCACTTATAGGTGGGAGCTAAGATATTAGTACTCAAAGGCATACAGAGTGATATAACGGATTATGGAGACTCAGAAAGGAGAGGGACGGAGGAGGGGGAGTAAAAACCTATGTATTGGGTACAATGTACACTACTCAGACGAAGAGTGCACTAAAGTCTCAGATTTTGCCATTATATAATTCATCCATGTAACCAAAAACCACTTGTACCCCAAAAGCTATTGAAATAAAAACAAATTAAAAAGAAAAATACATTTAATATTTTCAAAACTTTAGTGCCTATTAAACATTCATTCAGCAGTGGAGTGTAAGGTGTGGGCCAGGTATCTGTCCTAGGTCCTGGGAACTCAGCAGTGAGCAAGACAGACACAAATCCCTACACTAGTGGAGCTTGCATTCTAATTGATACACCTGTAATTACTAAACAAAATGAGGACTTGAAAAAGAGAAATAGAAGGAAGTATTATGAGTCTGGGGGGAAGAAAGATACACACAAGAAAAGAGAGAATTATAGAGAAATGGCAAGATAACTCCTGAAAGGGTAGGGGCTGGGAACATGAGAAGGGAGCTCACTAAACTATTCACAAGTCTATTTGGTCCAGGGGCAGCCTCACCTGGGCATGGCATCCAAGAGAAGCTCCAAGTGGTGGATAAGGTGACTCAAAGGAAAGACGACTCAACCTGGAACTCAGAGGTCATGATGAGGGTCCAAAAGGCAAGAACTAAATGTGCCCGAAAGTCCAGATTGAAAGGTAAGGCTAATGATGGAATCTGCTATTTGAATAGCTCAATGTAGGAGGGCCTCTTGGAGCAGTACAGGGTCAGATAGATATGTAAAGTCAATAGTAGAAGGAGGGAGACGTACAGAAAAGAGGGACATGAAGACAGAGCACGGATCTGTTGATGTGACAGTGGTTGTTGGAAGAAGTGTTCTCAGGGTGCAGTTCACCTTGGCTTTGCCATGTGGATTTACATGACTACTCCCCAGTGTCTGCTGTTTTCATTTCTGTTATTAGAGTCACCACTACTCTCTTGAGTTTGGGAGACTCCTTTCTGGTTCTGGCCAACCCAGTCTTGGAAGTGGCACCAATCCTCAAAGTGGACACATTTGCAGGATTGTTTTTTAATGTTTCATTTCTAGAAGTGAAGTTGCTTGGTCAAGTCTGCATTTTTAAGTTAGGACATATTTGTTGTCAAATTGCCTAAATTGTCTGTTTATACTCCCATTACATCATACAGACACCCTTTCCCTCCACTTTCACCAACACTAGAAATAACAAGATGTGTCTATGATGACGGCCAAAGGTGAAGGGTGATATTCCACCGGTGTTTCCCTTTGAATTTCTTTTCACTTGGCAGGTGATCAAACATGCTGTGGTAGCTTGTATTACGGTTCTCCAGTGTTCCAGTGCCCCACCTCCTCAGAAGTCTACAGCCCTGCCTGTGGACTCAGGAATGCCCATGTGATAACTTAGCGAAAGAAATGTGGACCCAAGTTAGAGAGCCACTTTCAGGCCAAGGCTTTAAGAGCCCCTTTGTCTTCTTTCTCTCTGCCCAAGACCAGGGATGTTCTAGACAGAGGCTGCTCTGTCTGCAGAAGCCATGAGTGTCAGTGATGTAGGGCTGAGCCTCATCTAATTTATGATGAACAAACAGCATGAGAGAGAAGTAAACCTTTGCCATTGTAAACCAGAGCTTGGCAAATTTTTTCCAAAAAGGACCAGAAGATGCAACTACTCGACTCTGCCTTTGTAGCGTGACAGCAGCCAGAGGCAAATACGTAAACAAATGGGCGTGGCTGTATTCCAATAAAACTTTATTTACATAAACAGGCAGTAGGCCAATTTGGCCCTTAGACCATAGTTTGCTGACACCTGTAATAAACCACTGAGATTTGGGAGGATCGTGAATTACCACAGCATTACCTAGCCTATCGTTACCAATTTACCTGTTTTTTAAATAAATTTGACATTGGAATTTTTTCTTTTGAGGGTCATCTGTTTGAATTTGCCCATTTTTCTATAAGACTGGCCATTTTTTTTTGTTAAATCCGTTAGGGAAATTAACCCTTTGTTATAATTATTAGTTTTTCTGATTTGGTTTCTGTCTTTGAACTTAAGAAGCTTTTGGTTGTGGAGCCATTTGCTTAGTTAGATAGACAAATCAGTTTACCTTTAGCAGTATGGTTTATGCCAGAGTTTCTCAATCTTGGCATTATTGACATTTTGGACTGAATAATTCTTTGCTTCGGAGGCTGTCGTGTGTGTCATGGGATGTTTAGCGACATCTCTGGCCTCTACCCATTAGATGCCAGTAGCAGCTGCTTCCCCGTCCTGACAAACAAATAGATTTCCAAACATTGCCAGATATCCCCTGAGAGCAAAATCACCCAGTGTTAACCACTGCTTTATGCCCATTACTTCCTCCTTAAAAAGCCCTTCCTATGTGATATTTATAAGGCCATACAGTAGCCCCCCTTTATAAGCAGTTTTTTGATCCATGATTTCAGTTACCTGAAGTCAACTGCAGTTTGAAAATATTAAATGGAAAGTTCCAGAAATAAACAATTTATAAGTTAAAAATGATGCGCTGTTCTGAGTAGCGTGACAAAGTCTTGCACCATCCTGCTGTATCCCACTCGGGGATGCGAATCATCCCTTGGTCCAGTGTGTCCTGCTGTATACGCAGCCCACCCATCAGTCACTTAGTAGCTGTCTTGGTTATCAGATTGAAGAAACATAGTATCTGCAGGGGTGGGCACTACCCATGGTTTCAGGCATCCACTGGAGGGCTTGAAATACATGCCGTGTGGATAAGGGGGGACTCCTGTACATCCCTTTATTCTAGTATTTGTAGTAAATGTATTGACATATATTAATTAGTGGAAATTTGGCTTCTGTAGTATTTTTAGCTTTTCTGCCTATTAACATGAGCTTGCTGTATTTCCTTAGTCAATGCTACAAGGAAGTCCTTTCATAAGGACTCATATGTAACTTGTCTCTCCAAACTGGTAGAAAAACAGGAAAAAATGCTTGAAGATTGTTAACCTATGAGGCTTATAAATCTATGTTTGTAGCTATAAGTGATTATTAATTCTGTGTTTAGAAAAGAAAAAGGAGAAAGATATCTGTTCAAGCTCAAAAAGGAGATTTCAGAAAAATATTCACCGAAGAGGTAAGCAAGCAAGCCACAGCGCCTCCCCACTGGGCTCCCCAGAGCCCTGGCCTCTGCTGGAAGCTCCACCCGCCCTCTCCTTCTTCTCTCTCCCTTCTCCTCCAAAGTTGTTCTCCACCGTCATGGGTACCAGCTGAATTGGGTGCATCAGGAGTGCTGCCAGCCTAACCCACCCCCTTGTGCATGGTGGCCATTTCCATACTTGGAAGGATTCTTTAACACAGAGCTATACAAAGACCCAAAAATGATTAAGGATGATCACTAAACCTTTAAGTCAAATTCTAAAATGAACTTCTATGTCTTCCATTCTAGGAATTAAAGGAAACCCTTATTCAAGCACAGCCTGACAGTGTTCTCGTTCCTTTTCCTGTGTTGGTTGGGACCCTGGGCTTGCTTCAGCCTCTCTGCACCCTCGGCCCTCTTTGCATCTCTGTCCTCTCCCTCCCACTCCTCTTCTTGCATTTATTTTTCTTCTGCTTTTATACCTTGCTTCTTCAGCATCATTTCTTGTCACCCTCTCTTCCTTTTTTAGGCGCCAGCCACACTGGCCCTTTTTATTCATTATCAAAGTATAATAGGTGCTACCCAAGGTGGGGTCCCCAGACTGGTGCCATCTACAAGCATGCTGCTTGGCAGGTCTACAAGAATAAGGAGCTTGTAAACCAACTGTGACGCTAAGCACACTGTTTTCATAGCAAGATTCCTCAGTGGAGACAGCAGTGCATTGATTCTGATCAAGCCCCTGTCGCATCGTAGGCTGGAGCACTGAGTAGCACTGGTGTATGTGCTTGCAGAAAATGGCATGTATCCTAAGAGTACAGCTTGATGGATTCACACACACAGAAAATGCACCCGCACACCCAGCACGCAGCTCAAGACACAGGATGTCACCAACACCCATAAACCACCCCTACCCGTGTCTCTAGGGTCACACCAGCCTGATTCCTCACAGCATAGGTCACCAGATACCGAATGCTCCCACCTCGTTCCTGCTCAGGGCCTCCTCACATGGGCCTCCCAGCTCACCCACCCAACCCCAAAGTGAATCCCCCTATCTTCCTCCCTTTCTTTGCTATACACCCTCAGACCTCACCTTTTTTAAAAATATTTATTTTAAGTTCCAGGATACATGTGCAGGATGTGCAGGCTTGTTACATAGGTAAATGTGTGCCATGGTGGTTTGCTGCACCTATCAACCCATCCCCTAGGTATTAAGCCCAACATGCATTAGCTATTTATCCTGGTGCTCTCCCTCCTGCTCCCCTGATAGGCCCCAATGTGTGCTGTTCTCCTCCCTGTGTCCATGTGTTCTCATTGTTTAACTCCCACTTATAAGTGAGAACCCATGTGGTGTTTAGTTTTCCGTTCCTGCATTAGTTTGCTGAGGATAATGGCTTCCAGCTGTAATCATGCCCCTGCAAAGGACATGACCTTGTTCCTTTTTATGGCTGCATAGTATTCCGTGGTGTATATGTACCACATATTCTTTATCCAGTCTATAATTCATGGATATTTAGGTTGAGCCCATGTCTTTGCTATTGTGAATAGTGCTGCGGTGAACATACACATGCAGGTATATTTATAATAGAATGATTTATATTCCTTTGGGTGTATACCCAGTAATGGGATTGCTTGCTGAGTCAAATGGTATTTCTGGTTCTAGGTCTTTGAGGAATTGCTTCGAGGTCTTTCACAATGGTTAAACTAATTTACATTCCCACCAATAGTATAAAAGTGTTCCTATTTCTCCACAGCCTTGCCAGCATCTGTTGTTTCTTAACTTTTTAATAATCGCCATTCTGACTGGCATGAGATGGTATCTCATTGTGGTTTTGATTTGCAGCTCTCTAATGCTCAGTGATGTGGAGCTTTTTTTCATATCTTTATTGGCCGCATAAATGTCTTCTTTTGAGAAGTGTCTGTTCATGTCCTTTGCCCACTTTTTAAAGGTGTTGTTTGCTTTTTTCTTGTAAATTTGTTTAAGTTCCTTGTAAATTCTGGATATTAGACCTTTGCCCTCAGACCTCACCTTAAATGTCACTTCCACAGGGAAGCATTCTCTCTCCCAGCAGGTAGGGGTGGGTCTCCCTGACATGCCCTTGTGGAGACCTGCATTTTGTCTTCATGGCACTTATCTTAACTGTGATGAATGATCTGTGCACAGCCTGTTCACTGCGTGAAAGTCACGTGAGGTCAGTAAGTGGATGGGTCTTGTGTGTTGCTGTATGTCCAGCTCCCCATGCCTCACACAGCTGGTACTTCTTCAAGTATGAATACCAGTATCTGGGCCTATCTGATGCATGTGTGTGAGTTAGAAAAAGGTGCCCCTTCCTCAATTCACTACCTCATCTGTCAGAGCCAATTCTTGAAACCAAACCCTTTTCTGCCTTCTGCTGGAAGATTGTTGTACTAAGCAGGTAAACTGATTCTGTTTCTAATATGAATTAGAGCACCCCTTAAAGGTGGAGTCCTTGCTCAGGGCACAACCCATACAACTTCATGCAGTGGTCCTGATAACCATATAAATGTGTACATTACTTCACAGTTGGCAAAGCACTTTGATCTACATTTTGCCATTTAATTACCATAATAAGTGAGTGTTATCAGCCCATTTTACAGATTCAATTAAAGGGCAAAAGACTTGAATGAGCTAAAATCAACCTATGTGTTCCAATTTCAAGCCCTTTTTCCTTTACACTAAAAATGTAAATGAACCTAGAAAGCACCTACTCTCAAACACTGGTGGAGGCAGGAGCCCCGGCAAACGTTGACAGTTGTCCCTCAGCATCAGTTTCTTCTCCCTTCTGCACTGTCTGTAACTTCTCATTAAATGCAGAGTATCTGTGCTGTTGTTGCTTGTATGATGTGCAGTCTCGTGGCATTTCTGATGATGTGGAAAGAGCGCTAGATACTGGGTCTGGCATGTGTAAATTCCAGTGCCAGCTCCACCTCATGTAATATGGTGACCACCGGCAATTCTCTCTCCACATCTGACCCCAAGTCCCTCATCTATAAAATGAGGACAGTCATTGCCTTCTCTTTCTTACACATTGTTATGCGGATAGATGACACAGTGCATCTGCTGCTCTTACTGTTTCCTTGACTATCACTTTTCCTCCCACCGCCCCATCTCCACCCCCAATCATCCCCTCCCCAGACCCCTCATGTATACATCATAGAGCTCCCAAATCACTCCCCAGGCCTGTGGTCTTTCCATGCATAATTTCCACCTTGTGCTCCTTCCTCATGTTCTGTAGGAATTCCTGGAGTTGGTCTTCTGGATTATGAATTCGTTTTTTACCATGCCGCTATTCCTCATCTCGATTAGGCTTTTCTTCTTAGTTTTCTCCACCTTGCTTTTCCTTTCCCTGAGCTCTCTGTTCTCTAATTGCTTGCTTTTCACAGCAGGCTCCTCATTGTTTGCTCATGCTTCCTAATGGGGACCTAAACTCACCGCTGCTGCAGCTCACCTTTCAAACAAGCCAGCTGCCGTTAGAGAGCCCCAAGCATCCCCCACCGGGTTCCTGGGGCTGCAGGGTTCCATCCTTCAAGGCCTGGTTGGTAAGATGAGTAGGTGAGGCTGAGCCAGACTTAGCACTATTAGGAACAGGCTGCCCTCAGGCATAGGACAGTTGGCTTTGGAAGTCCTCGGGTCTAAAGGCCCCACCTCACTTGATGGCCTGCCTCCACTGGGTAAGGAAGGGACTGATGTTTGTCCTCACAACTCTGCACATCAGCTTGCTACCCGTGGCCCCCAAAGCCACCCCCTGCTCCCTCATCTGCTTGTGAATGTGTTTGGGACATTTGTGTTCCCTAAAGCTATATTCACCACAGGGAATTAGAGAAGACATTTCTGTGGAGACAGAGAACTGTAGAAGGGAAGGTCCCCAGAGCTGTGCTAATCTCCCTCAAGGTTTGCAATAGTGGTCCAGAGTCACCTGGAGCTCTGCCTTTCCCTCACATTAGGAACCTGCGGCAGCAAATTTCCCACTCAAATTTGATAACAGTAATGCACGCTTAGGTAATCCTTCTAGTAAGTTGCAGAGCCAGGATTACAAGCCCCTCCCACCCCCACTCCTCCCTGCCCCCCAGTCTGGCTCCCAAGGCCACGCTCTCATCTGCTGTTCCATATTTACTGAGTTGAGTCTAGAGACAAATGGTGGAGCTGGCCACTCCATGCAAGAGGGCTGGCTGTTGAAACAAAGTTTTTCCCACCGTAAGTTCCCACACCCCCACTACCCTCCACCCCCATGCCTAGCCTTGCTGCCAGCCCCTGCTCCTGTGAGGCCAGGCATCCTGTAGGGTTCTGTCGGGGGGATCACATCCTCACTTCTCAGGGTCCCTCCTCTCTCAGTCTCACTCTATCTGCCTTGTGTCTTTCCAGAGAAATGAATGGCTTCTTCGCCGCTGATACTGTTCCTTCACCTTTCCGTCAATGCTCTTGTTTTGCCATTTGTTTTCCTTTAGCTCTTTCAATAACTGTTTGAGGCAAGGGAGAGAGTTGGACCAGGTGTTCTCCTAGATTCATTTTAGGTGTAACATCCTCTGTAACTCAACATAAGACATGGACAGCCCCTTCATTTCTCCCCAGAGAAACAGCCCCTGCTGTCTCTCTTTAATGAATTCACCCATAGTGAGGTTGGAGGGGAAGGCAGCAGGAATTGCTGAGATTTATTTTAAACCCTCTTGCAACTGCTTCCCCTGAATCTAAACTCTGGATTTCTACCCAGGGGTTCTGAGTTGCCAGACTGCTCCATGAGCAACTGGGAAATTAGTTCAAAGCTCTCCAGGGTTTTCTTTTATTCATCGAGGAAGAAGCAGGGAAGCAATAAAATGAAAAGAAACAGCAAATAATTAAGACTGACACCATCCCCTCAGTGCCAGCCACCTCACTCACCCAAGTCTTCATTTAAGTCAGGAAATAAGATTATAAATGAAGATTTTTTTTTCCTCTGGCAACATGAATGCAAAGAAACATTTCCATCAGCACAGAGAGATCAGCAGGATGCTTATAGAATAGAAGACTATTCAGTGACAGCCAATTCACTTGCAAATTAAGACACATTCACTGAAGATGCCCTATATGTTCCACTAAAATGTTTTTTTTTTTGATATAGTGTTGGTGGCAGTGGTGGTTTGTTGCAGGCCACTGTGTACACATAGCTTATCTGTCACTCGAGATGAAAGAGTTCCTGCAAACTAACCAGAGAACGTTCCCCAATACCCTGTACATTATTGGAATTCATGGAGGGGAGAATTCAAAAGGAAGATGGAGTGAAGACTGAATAACACAAAACTGTTCTCTTCTACTTTAAGGAAAACCCAAAAGTGACACTGTGGATTTTCACTGTTCTAAGCTCCCCGTGACCTGTGGTGAGGCGAAAGGGATTTTATATAAGAAGAAAATGAAACACGGTGAGTTCCTTGGTCTTCTGCTCTTTGGAATCCCTAGATGAAGGACTCACTAGAAGGGAGGAAAATACCCGTGTGTGTAATTGATCAGGAAATGGACCCTGCTAGCTAGACTGCAGAAGAAACGCTTCTTAGGAAGGAATTTCCAAACTCTTCCACATCATGGTATTTCTGGCAATCAGACCCTCCACTCCCACCTGGAAGTCACCCATGGGCCCTGCTGTACTGACAGCCATGTCCTTGCTGCATGTAGGCACTACACGAATGCACATTCTGTCCCACCCCTCACCACTCAGTCAGGCTTTAGGGCTGGCTTCAGTCCAAGAGAAGAGGCCCGCAGACTCCCCTGCTACTCCTTCCACCTCACAGAGGAAGTCTCTCTTGACCTGGAAAGGTAGAAGGCCACAATTAGGATGAAGAGGTTCAGGGTGAATTCACAGAGGATGGGGGTAGATCCAAGAATGGGCTTTTTCTTACAGGATCCTCAGTGAAGTGCATTCGGAATGAGGATGGAACTTGGTTAACACCAAATGAATTTGAAGTCGAAGGAAAAGGAAGGAACGCAAAGAACTGGAAACGGAATATACGTTGTGAAGGAATGACCCTAGGAGAGCTGCTGAAGGTATTATAATGACGGGACAGATAGGTGACAGGTTTAAATCCTTGAAGGAGAAGTGGAGCTTTAAGAGCAGAAATGTGAAGAGCTCCCGTTAGGATTCAACAGCATGATTTATAAGGAGTTAAATGTTCATAGAAAAAAAACTGTGGGTGACAAAGTTAGGAGCACATATTGTTCCTGATGGTGGAGAACTTTAAATGCAAGTAAAGGAGTACAGGAACTTTAAATGCCGGCAAAGGGCTTTGAGGTGAAGAGAGATGTAAGAACCTAAAAAGAAACTAGCTGAAGACAGATGCCTGCAACCACTCCCCTGCATCCTCTACCTGACATCTACTCAAGGCCCAGCTCATCTGGCCCCCCTGCAGCATTTCCAGGCTGCCCAGTCCGTGGTCTGTCTCTCCGCTGCATGTCCACAGCACACTATTCCTGTCCTGAGAACAACTAGTGTCTATGATGACAGGACCCAACACAAGGCCTCTCTCAGCAACACTCAAGAAATTATCACTAGGATGAAATCCTAAAGATTTTAATCTAGAGAGGGAGAAATGGAAGGAGAAAGGAATGGATGGGAAAGGTTAAGAAAGAAGAACTAGGGTCGTGGGTTTGAGTGACAGGGGAAAAAGTGATTTTATCACTAAGTGAGGTCCAGAAGAAAAACTGACTGGGGGAGGGAGCTAATTTTTCTTTTTGACTTCTTGGGTTTGAGATCCAGTGTGATGTCTGGGTACAGACATTCACTAGGAAGTGGGAAGGCCAGTATCTACAAAAGAAAAACCTCCAGAATAACCTCATTCATTGACTCCTTCTGTCTTTCAGAGTGGACTTTTGCTCTGTCCTCCAAGAATAAATCTCAAGAGAGAGTTAAATAGCAAGTGAATTTCTACTACCCTCTCAGTCACCATGTTGCAGACTTTCCCTGTCTGGAGGCTCACCTTAGAGCTTCTGAGTTTCCAAGCTCTGAGTCACCTCCACATTTGGGCATGGCATCTTCAAAACAATTAATTTGCATAGTTAATTTGGGATGGGGAAGCAAATGACTCTAAAATAAAAATTAAATGAAAAAGCTCATCATGTCCATGTGTTTTAGAAAAAGATCTGGATATTTGGATGGCTATAAACCAAAGGTGTCAGAAATAAAATGCTCTAAGCCTAGGCAACATAGCAAGACCCCATCTCTAACAAATTTTTTTTTAATCAACTAGGAATGGTGGTGTGCACCTGTAGTCCCAGCTAAGGCTGAGGTAGGAGGATTGCTTGAGCCCAGGAGTTCAAGACCAGCCTGAGTGATATAGTGAGACTCTGTATTGCTATACAGAGCGATGTAATCCCAGCACTTTGGGAGACCAAGGTGGGTGGATCCCTTGAGCCCAGGAGTTTGAGACCAGCCTGGGCAACAGGACAAAACCCCTTCTTTACAAAACATACAAAAATTAGCCAGGCATGGTGGCATGCACCTGTAGTCCCAGCTACTCAGGAGGCTGAGGTGGGAGGATCACTTGAGCTCTGGAGGCAGAGGTTGCAGTGAGGCGAGATCATGCCACTGCACTCCAGCTGGGGCAACAGAGCAAGACCCTGTCTCAGAAAAAAAAAAAAAAGAATGCTGCAGCATGAAAAGCAAAAGAAAAGGCATTGAAATAGACAGGAACAGTATATGAAAGGACAAGAGGATCATCCATGATTGCATACTGAGTATTGCTGAATCCTCCATGCTTCTTATTGGTAGCACCAGGATGGAATGACGCCTTTGAACTGAGCTTTGTCTCTACAGGGCATCCCTACAGCTGGAAATGGCAGTCATCTATTGGCTGCACTAACTCCCCCTCCTCAACCTCCTCTACTTGCTTAGATGTGTTCTCCAGACACATCAGCTCCACTCATGAGCTTCCCGTTAGTTGTGAACTTCCAGCAGAGACAATGGTGCCTCCCCCATCTTGCCCTGGAGGCTGGCCTGACCAGGCTGGATTCATTCAAAGTTTAAGGCACTGGTCTCCCAATGCCATCTATTATATAAATCATCTTTCCCATGCTGGTCTGAAATACCCTGAGAATCAGGGGTGCTCAGTGTAACATCATAATAGCAAAAAATTAGGGACGAACACAAGTTCTATCAGTATTGCAGAATAAACTGATACAGCTACAGAATGGTTTTTTTTTAAACTTTTCTTATAGAATATTAGACCTTTGATATAGATATTTGTTTAAATACATGGATTCATAAGTATGGAGTTATCCTTCAATCAATGGAAAGCCACCAAATGGTTTTGTGGTCAGGAGAGCTTCAGGACACTTAATGCTAGTTGTGACGTGTGGGGAAGGAACCCATTGTTGCTTATGTGAACGTGTAGGTAGGTCTATGAGTGAAAAAATAGCCAAAAGAATCAACTGCACTTATTTTGAGATGAGATCACAGGGACATATGCCTTCTGTATTATACCTTTATGTACAATTGGAATTACTATAATGACCATTTGTTACTTTTGCAACCAGAAAAAAAAAAATCTTTAAAATCCAGATCATTAATTAATAGCCCCAACATGGTAATACCCTCTAACTCTCCTAATGCCACATGTCAGCTCATAATAGCCAGGGGCATGCTTGACCCAGCCTCTCAGTCCCACCTTCCAGGGCCAGGTTGGGAGAATAAGATGAAGGTTTACCCGACTGAGAATGAGCCAGTGCGGGCCTTGCCCTCAGCCCCATCATCCAGTGTCACTGCTGCTCGGCAGCACGTCCGTCTGTCTCCACTGCAGTCTCACTTATGTATGTGTACAACAAAGAGACCGATGCTGGTACTCCCAAAATGTGTTTTGTGGTTGCCCTGCAGCGTGCTGCCTCCATGACCCACACATGATGGGCAGCTGGTGTAAAGAGCCACAGACTTGGCCTGTGAGAGCCTCCGTCTCCAGAAGGGCTTGGATGCAGCCAGCAGTTGCCACTCTATCAGCATATAGTGTGAGGCTGAGGAGAACAGCTTTTGGGGTTTTGGTTTTTTTTTGTATCAGAAGCCCATGGCCATCATGGGTGGTCCAGAGATGCCAGGAGGCATGAGAGGAGGTTGCCAAAGCTTCCACAGTGAATGAGACTCAGGAGGGCACTAATGTCTGCTGTATTGCAATTTGACAGATTCTAGAACCTTTTGTTAGAAGGGGCCCCATTCAAAGTGGGCTTATTTTGCAAGTAACAGCGTAAATGGGCTTACCTAAAATCTACAAATGAAGGATGTGTTTCCTTGAACTCAAGAGGCCTGAAGGATGCTGGGAGGTTTATTAGAACACTGTGAGTACTCAGAGGGTCAATAATTATTTTTTGACAGTGTCAGGGATGGAGCATCCCTCAACTGACCAGACAATGGCCAGAAATTGGTGTGGATCCCTGTACTATGCCTGGGGCAGTGGCCCATACTTTTTTGTTTTAGTTTAATCCCACCATGTGGAAACACAAACCCCATCCTTTTCTATGAGTTCTTTGTGAGTAATGTCCTGAGTGTGTCAAATGAATTTGCTGAAAGAAGGGTGTCTTCAGGGTGATGTTACACCTGTACTCCTAGAGAATGTCAGATGCAGTTCAAATCCTGCCTGCAAAGATTGTGTATGGTGGCAGAACTGTCGAGGTACCCCGTGGTAGCCAGATAACGGTCTATTGTGTCCCTTCGGGGGTGAAAGCAACCTGCAGCTGAGATCTGTTGAAATAGGCGCTGAACAGAACACATTAGTCAAATCTATGCCTGCAGAGTATTTACCACTTGCTAAGTGGATGGAGTCAGTAATTTCAATAACATTGGGCCATCACAGGTGGGGTCACAGGATTCAGGTTGTAGTAATTCACCGAGAGGCACCATTCATTCTTTCCAAGCCTAAGAACAGACCAAATTGGGCTGTTAAATGGAGAAACAGTGGGGATAATCACCCTTTCTCTAAATAGATCTTCCATAATGAGTTTCAATCCTTGAAAGCCGTGTTTTAATTCATATTGATCAGTATTAAATATTTTAACAGAGAAGGTCCATAGAGTTCCATTTTGTAAAGCCAATTGTAAGTGCCAAAGGTAACTTAATTTTAATTATTTTAATGTGTTATTTACTGGGTCATAGCATCCATGCCCACTGTGGAACATTTTAGGGCCATGTTATGTTACGACCATGGGGCAGTTAGGCAAGGCACCAGGAACAACAGTTCCCATACTCCTGCACCCAAATGCCAGTTATCATCATTTCTTACTTTGGTCAGTCAGATCTATTAATAGAGGCCTGGTGGGCTCAGCAAATGCGCCCAGAGTGGCCCAGCTCAAAGCACAAGCTTGCCAGCAGGCAGCAGCACAGCTCAAAACGCAGCAGAACCTGTTGGCAAGCCACAGCCAGAGAAGAAAAGTCCTGGTGGCGGCGGTCACCACCCAGACTCTCTGCTTGTTGTGCCATTTGTCTTGCAATTTCCCCCAGGGAGGTGGCATCAGCTCCCCCCATCAAAAATTGGGTTTGGATATCCACTCTGGCACACACAAAAATGATGTGTTCTAGAACCCCACAGGGTCAGCATTCGTGGGTCTCCATGGTCCTAGCGGTGCCCACGTTATCTGCCCTTGCAGCGGAAAAACTCGGATGAATGCGAGGTGTGCTGTCAAGGGGGACAACTTCTCTGCTGCGGTACTTGTCCACGAGTCTTCCATGAGGACTGTCACATCCCCCCTGTGGAAGCCAAGAGGTGAGTGGGATGCAGCCCCGCCTCGGGCACACAGCACTCACCTCCAGATGGAAAGGGCAGGACCTGTGAGCGTCGGGGACGAGGGTGTGACGCAGAGCAGTCTGGTGCCAGAGACTCTGGGCCTCTCTGGGTCTCTGAGACTGCCAGTGAGCCTCTTGGCCCCACACTGCTTCTGCCCCTGGAAGTGCCCTTTCCTAGTATGCTATTCCCTGGACAGCAGGGACTCCTGTCCAAAAGGAGGAGGGGACGGGAAAAGCCAGCTTATGTTCTGTGCCTGTTGAGGAAAGACAGGAAGCACGGCTTGTCACACATTTCACCATAGTCTCACCTGGCTGATGGAGGCCTGAGGTCCCTGCAGGTGAAAGCCCAGATTCTGACACTCAAGCCTGGCAGGCAGGGTTCCTTTGTGCTCCCAGCAGCTCAGACAGGGAAAAGAGAGCCCACACTTAACAGTGACACCACCTTCCTCAGGCTGCCCGCCTGCCGCTACCACTGATGCGAGGGAAGGGCCAATGCTGGAGACCCCATGTGGGGATCTTGGACACTCTGGGAGGTGTCCCACCCTCATGGCTGAGCCCATCCTTCCTGAGGGAAGACAGTGGCAGCCACAGGAATGGTGGCCATTTCCAGGGGCTTTGCCCTCTGCTCACCTTGTGTCCAACCTCTCAGGATGCTGTGGAGTTGCACCTTCTGCAGGATGAAGAGGTCTTCAGGAAGCCAACAGTGCCATCATGTATCTAAGACCCTGGAGAGGCAGATGCAGCCTCAGGACCAGCTGGTGAGTTGGATGCAAACCCCAAACCTATACTTTTCCCTTCTCACACGAGAAGCACAAACAGGCACAGGGTCAGGGCAATGTACCAAAGGGAGCCTTCAATGTCTCCCTTTAAAGGATGACGATTTAATGCCCAAACTCAGAGTCTAAACAAAATCCCACACACCCTGTGCGCCTTGGGAAGCATGGCTGGAATGCTGACTGGGCTTGGCTGCCCCATCCGTGTGCATGTCTAGACACTCGCCTGGCTTCACTGTTTCTAAGCTGCATTTCACTTTCAAGCCCTCTTCACATTTTACAGAAATGTGAGTTCCTCCTCTTGAAGGCCTACTGTCATCCACAAAGCTCCTTTTTTACGGGCATCCCATTTAATGTAAGTCACATTTTACGGTTCTCTTGCATAAAATGCATTTGGAGAAATTTGGGGGCTGATCTGGCAGGTGCTGCAGTTTGCTCAGGAAGCTGGAGAACAGAAGAGAAGGGCAGCGTGGCAGCAGTGGAGCGGGGCAGCAGGGATTTTGCTGCACACTCTGGAGAGGGACTACCTGGTTCAAACTCCACCCCACTGCTCACGGGCTCTGGGATACCGGGCAAGTTGCTTCTCCTCCTGTGTATCTGTTTCATCTTCTCTTTAGGAAGAATGTCTTTCCTACTAGAGATTAAGAGTCACAGATGCCAGCTGGGCTCAGCGGCTCACGCCTGTAATCCCAGCACTTTGGGAGGCCAAGGCGGGCAGATCACTTGAAGTCAGGAGTTTGAGACCAGCTTGGCCAACATGGCAAAACCCCATCTCTACTAAAAATACAAAATTAGCCAGGCATGGTGGCAGGCACCTCTAATCCCAGCTACTCAGGAGGCTGAGGCAGGAGAATCGCTTGAACCCAGGAAGCAGAGGTTGCGGTGAGCCAAGATCGCACCACTGCACTCCAGCCTGGGTGACAAAGCAAGACTCCATCTCAAAAGAAAAAAAAGAGTCATAGATGCCAAACTGTGTGGGTTCCCATCTCAGCTCTACCACTTTCTTGCTGAGACATCTTGGGTAGGTTCCTTGACCTCTCCATCCCTCGGTTTCCTCATCTATGAAATGGGCATTATTATTTATGGTACCCATAAATGTGGAGATTACATATTCATATACTTGGCTTAGAATTTAGTTTATCTAGTGCCTAGAACAATAGCTGGCTTAAAGAGGTCAAATGGTATTATCATTATGACCCTGGAAATGAAGGCTTGGATTGTATTTAAGTTGGATCCATTCCAGTGATGACAGCTGTGCTAACGTCACCTCTGGTGGCTTTGTCCCCAAGATTCGAGATTACGGTGAGCCCTTTCAGGAAGCAATGTGGTTGGACCTGGTTAAGGAAAGGCTGATTACGGAAATGTACACGGTGGCATGGTTTGTGCGAGACATGCGCCTGATGTTTCGCAACCATAAAACATTTTACAAGGTAAAGAGCATTTCCTGCTTCCTTTTTGCGTCTTTTCTACTTTCCCCTAATTTCTGGGACAGCAGAATTTTGCAAGTATTACACTCAGTTTCAGCCTGGGGAGAGCTCAAACAAGACAAGGATTACAGAAAAAAAACCACCTCGGCATTCCTGGAGGCAAGGAGTGAGTGGCAAAAAGAACAGCAAGCAGGACAGGGGAGGGATCTCTGGAACAGAAGCTGAAAAAAACCATGCTCTGTTCCCAGATCGGCAGCTCGCTCCCAACGAGAGCAGTAAATGGCATCCAGCCTCTTTGTTCAAACTGGAAGGAAAGGCAGTTTATGCCTACATTGTTCTTCCTGCCTCAGAAATATGAAAATAAATAAGTAAACAACATAAAATCAATTAAACTTCCTGGATAATCAGGCTTGCATATTTTTACACATAAATTTCTCATTGGACTCAAACATCTGGAATTGCCTTCAGATCCAATGTTGGTTTCATCCTCCTTTACTAGGGAGGGACAGCTGGTTGAGCTATCCTGCAATCCCAGACATTTGTAACTTTGGTTTTTCCTGATTTTTATCCTCACTTGTACAGATATTTCTTGGGAGGTACCTAAGGAAGATTTTCATCTCCACCCAGCTTCCTTCCCTTCTTCCATGCCAGGAGTTGGCATGTTCACAAACCACAGATTGTAAACTGGTACCCATTCATGGAGCTGCAGGGAGAAAGGGTTGACCAGAGAGCCACTCAGTGCCTGGCATATCCGTAGTCCTGGAGAACAGAGGGTCATCCTTCCTCAGCGAGTGGGCTTCCAAGAAATGCATTTACAAAAATTGTTAAGCTATTTTGCATCATGCTCAGATTTGCCATGATCAAAACTAACCCTTCAGTCTAAATCGCCTGTCAGGTGGAAATTAACAACCAGCTGGAGTCTCATGCTTTTCAACATTTTAGTAGCAGCATCTCCCCATCCATTCTGCCTTACTGCTGGGCTCCTAAAAAAATAAGAGTGAGGCTGGGCATGGTGACTCACATCTGTAATCCCAGCTTTTTGGGAGTCCGAGGTGAGGGAATCATCTGAGGCCAGGAGTTTGAGACCAGCCTGAGCAACATAGCAAGGCCTCCTCACCCCGATCTCTGAAAGAGAAAAAAATGTTTTAAAACTTTGGGCATAGTGGCATGTGCCTGTAGTTTCAGCTTCTCAGGAGCTGAGGTGGGAGGATCACATGAGCCCAGGAATTCAAGGCTGCAGTGAGCCATGACGGTGCCACTGCACCACAGCCTGGGTGACGGGGAAAGACCCTGACTCAAAAACAAAAACACAAAAAAAAGTATGAGTGATTTGATGGCTGTAATCCTTCATCCTTCAATGTGTTTGTTTGCTTTTTTCTCTTTCAGGCTTCTGACTTTGGCCAGGTAGGACTTGACTTAGAGGCAGAATTTGAAAAAGATCTCAAAGACGTGCTCGGTTTTCATGAAGCCAATGACGGCGGTTTCTGGACTCTTCCTTGACCCTGTTCTGTAAAGACTGAAGCATCCCCACCTCAGGATTCAGCTGATGGGACCCTGGCTTGGACTGTTGATTGCCAGTGAGTCTGGGATGTAATTGGCTGCCCTCAGGACCCAAACCCAGACACTTCATAGGATTATCACACCCTCCATCTTTATTCTTTCTTTTTACCTTTAAAAGTCTATATCTACACTAAAAAAAAAAAAAATTAATACTTCCTTAATACCATCAGATACCCCATCATAGTTCACATTCTCCCCACTGTCTCATAAGTCTTTTTAGAGTTGATTTGTTCAAATCAGGATCTAAACAAGTTCCACACACTGCATTTGGCTCTCCTGTCCCTATGTCTCTTTTAAGCTATAAATTGTCATGTATTTATTGAAGAACTCAGGGTTTTGGTCCTATTACATTTTTTGCAATCTGGAATTTTCTGGTTGCATTTTCTTAGTGGTATAGTCCTCTCTTCCTCTCATTTTTTGTAAGCTAGAAGTTAGATCTAGAAGCTTGCTTTAACTCAGGTTTTGAGGGGTTTGTTTTGATTTGGGGGTTTTGGGGCACATGCAGGCTTCACAGGGGAATTTAGTATTATTTTTTATGTTAAGGTTGGCAGCAGGTGCACGTGTTATCAGCCTGATCATCTATCACCTGATGGTTTTAGCAATACCTAAATCCGTGATATCATCAGAGGTTGCAAAATGATGAGATTCAGGTTTTTTTTTACATAATTATTGGTCAGAATTATTCTGCAAATAGCTTCTCTTTAACAGTATTCGGTTACCTTGAAATACAGGTTGTACAAAAAATAGGATAAATGCTTGTTTTTTTATTTAGCAATGTTCAAAATAATGAATTGATGTCCCAATATCCTCTAAAGGTAACCAGGGATTTTTTAATTTAATTATCTTGAACCCACATATTTAAATATACGTAGCATGCTACAAACCATTGCAGTTAATACCTTTATTGATGCTTGAGTTGCCCACTTTTTCTTTTTTTTTTTTTTTTTTTTTTTTTGAGACAGAGTCTCACTCTGTCACCCAGGCCGGAGTACAGTAGCGTCATCTTGACTCACTGCAACCTCCTCCTCCTGGGTGCAAGCGATTCTCCTGCCTCAGCCTCCGAGTAGCTGGGATTACAGGCATGTGCAAGTTCCCCACTTTTAGTGAGAAACTCCTCAATTTGCCTCCTGAGTTGTTTTGAAATGACCCCAGAACTCTTTGATGGTGTATTAGCTATCTATTGCTGTGTAACAAATGACCTCAAAGCTTAGCTGCTTAAAAAGAAAAAAACATTTTATTGCTCACTATTCTGTGGATCAAGAATTCAGGCATCATCCATGAGGATGCTTCCCTTTGCTCCACATGGTACTGGCAGACCCCATTCATACTTGCACACTGTCACTTCTGCCACAATCTATTGGTGAAAGCAAGTCACAGGGACAGATTCAGAAGGAGGGAGAATAGACCTTACCTCTTGATGCGATGGGTGGCAAAGTCACATTTCAAAGGAGAATGTTGCTTGGGAAGAAACATTGCTGCTCCCATCTTTAGAAGCAATCTACCATAGTTCACCCTCTGGCCACAGTAGTTCACATCTTTCCCAAATGCAAAGGACACTCCTCTCCCCACAGAAGTCTCACTCTCTGCAGCATTGGAACAAAGTCCAGGACCTCCTTATCTAAATCAGGTTCAGATCAGATAAAGCTTCTTCGGGCTGGGCACAGTGGCTCACACCTGAAATCCCAGCACTTTAGGAGGCCGAGGCAGGTGGATCGCTTGAGTCCAGGAGTTGAAGACCAGCCTGGGTAACATGGCAAAACCTCATCTCTACAAAAAAAAAAAAAAAAAAATCTTTTTAATTAGCTGGGCAAGGTGGCACACACCTGTAGTCCCAGCTACTCAGGAGGCTGAGGTGGAAGGATGAGCCTGGGAGGCAGAGGTCGCAGTGAGCCAAGAATGCACCACTGCACTCCAGCCTGGACAACAGAGACCCTGCCTCAAAAAAAAAAAAAAAAAAAGGAAAGAAAACAAAAGAAATAGGCTCCTCAGGTATGGTTTATTGGGTGCAGCTCCTTGGGTGCACCTCCTCTTGAACTAGAGGCCTGTGAGCTGAAAAATTGTTTCTTCCCTGCTGCCAACAGTCAGTGATGAAACAGGGACTGAACAACTACTATAGACACTTCCATTCAAACGGGGAAAAAGGAAGCAGCAGTCACTCATTTATAGCAATTCTGAAATCCAGTCAAGCACATGTTGCTAGTTCCCCCTAATCCCAGGGCAGGAAATTTTCCTTGATACATGATTTATATGTATGATACACCTCTAATTCCCATCCCATCCCATCCTACCCCACAGGCTTCTTCCTTGTCTTCCTCGGTTCTGTATTGGTGTCTCCCTTCTCCAACAGTATTATTTACTCACTTGCTCAATCCCCAGGTACAACAATAAAAGTTAACAGAATTTTAACACTCAGATCACTATGAAAAACAAACTAAGTTGATTTCTAAATTTCTGTGGAGTTTATTTTTGTTTGTTATAGATTTAATATACCATTGCAGAGGGTATTTAATGTACCATTGCAGAGGGTATTTAATATACCATTGCAGAGGATTTTACATTTGTATTTATAAATGAGATTGCTCTATAGTTTTTACACACTGTCATAGTCAGATTTACGGTTATCCTACCTCGGTAAAATAACTTGTAAAATTTTCTACCTTTTAATATATTCTGGAATAATTTATAGTGTTTTAAATTAACCAAAAGTGTGTGACCCAGAGTTCACTGGAGAGACAGTGGTAACCACATTATCTGCTTTCTTTACGGTTTTCAGGCTATGAAGATATTCTGTTGGTTTTTGAGACAGCTCTGCTTTTATGTTTTTCTAAGAAGTCATCTATTTCATTTGTGGTTAAAAGTAATATAGGTGGTCTGCCAGGCGCAGTGGCTCAGGCCTGTAATCCCAGCACTTTGGGAGGCTGAGGCGAGTGGATCGCGAGGTCAAGAGATCGAGACCAGCCTGACCAACGTGGTGAAACCCCGTCTCTACTAAAAATACAAAAATTAGCCAGGCGTGGTGGCGGGCGCCTGTAGTCCCAGCTACTCAAGAGGCTGAGGCAGGAGAATCGCTTGAACCCGGGAGGTGGAGGTTGCAGTGAGCCGAGATCCCACCACTGCACTCCAGCCTGGGCAACAGAGTAAGACTCTGTTTCAAAAAAAAAAAAAAAAGTTATATAGGTGGTCTTATTTCTGTCATATTTTAATATTTCTCTTTTTAATGTTTTAATGTTATTTTTGTCTATTTTTTTTCTTCTGCCTTCTATTTTGGAAGGCATCGTAACGGCTTTTAGTTCCAATATTTACCCATAAGTTTTCCCAATGCATTTTGACTTATTTTTTTAATGTCAAAGTCAAAAATAAAATATCTGTAATGTGTCACATACTTAAGGCAATGCGTTTATCACTTTGATACCTCTCAGCTCCCTTATTCCTGTCTTTTCACTCTCTTGAAATACAGACATGAATTAGTATTAATTTTTTTGCTTTTACTCTATAATGTTTATTCTATTCAATTATATTATGTCATTATTTGTTAGTTTCACATTATGTAAATTATTTGTCATGTCCTATGTCATATAAAGTAATTCAAAAGCAAAAATTAAAAGTGTGTGTTACGTGATAACCTGTATTTTTGAGAACAGTATTAATGTGTTTCTGTTTTCACTGTTTAAGATTCCCTGCTGGTCTTTTCTTGACACGACTTCTCCATACTTCCTTTTTGCTCTGCCTTTCAGTCAACTGAAGTGTGTCTTTAAGTAATTTGAAAAGAATTACATGGATGGTATGTTTTCTGATTCACCATATCTTAGAATGTGTTCTATTGTTTTCATAAATTAATAACATAATATATAACTTATCATAACTTCTCACCTTCAAAATTGATTTAAACTTTGTTCCACTGTCTTTGGGGATTTTATTCTACAACTCTGAAATCTAAGTCCAGCCAGAATTCTGCCTCCTCATTAGTGTGTGGAAACCAATGATATTTCCCCTATTATCCCAATAGTTCTATATTTAGTTATTTTTGCCAGGATAGGTTTCAAATATAGTACCTTTTCATTCATCATGCCTGGCACACTGAGCCCTTTCGATATACATGCCTGGTTATTTTTGCAGCCCCATTAAACCTTACTGATCCATTTGTCCTGGGCTCACTTTCAAGAACATCTATTATCTACAGGCTATCTGCTCTCTGTTCTCCCTATTTATCATTTTTTAAAAATGTTTCAAGAAGCACTCCTCGTCTTAGGCCATTAGTATGAAACTGATATTAATATAATTGCAATTTGATAGTATTTAAACCTATTTTTTAGCATGTTAATAATGCTAATTGCTATTTTTAAACAAAAGTTCAAAGGACATAAACTTTTCTCAACATAATGCTTTTCTCAAGACAAAAATTGCAAATCATTACAACTTACTAAATTGTCCTGGTCTGTGTTTCTGGCTTTTCATTCTTAGTCTCCATGGAGGAGTAAGACCATCAAAAACCGAGGCCCTGCCCCATAAGGAGGCAGAACCTGTCCAGCAGGCCCCCTTCAGCCTCCCAGTGAGGAACTGGGAGTAGAGTGTGTTGGAGTTTCCATTTAGGTACCCAGTGTCACAGACTAATGAACAGAAAATGTATAGAGATTTCTTTTGCTCCTATTTCTCAGTGTTTTCACAACAGTGTGAACTGTGAAATAGATTGACCTCACCTATGATCCAGGAAAGGGCGGAGGCAGTTTGAGCACTGGCTCAAGAAAAGCATATAATAAAGTAGAATTCCCTTCATTGTATGGAAAGACAACAAATATGGCCATAAAGATGGCCACTCCTGGTGCCATTTTGGAGTGAATGCTGAGTTCTAGAGATGATGATTTTATCAGCCTAGACTTTAGACTTCCAAATCCTTCTGAGAGGTACACTAAAGGTTCCCATTCCTAGCATAAGCTCAATGCATTATGATAAAAGATTCCCCTCCCTACCAGTTTACCAGCAGCCAGGATTGCTGGGTAAAAAAATCTTATATCCATTCATGACCTAACCCTGTCTTCCGTTCTCGCATTGGTAAGCTGATCCAGGTCTGTCTGTCTATCATCTAATCATGGCTCTGGGTTTCTCTGTATCTTGGGCAGGGGGTGGGGGGTACCCTAAAGAGTCATTTATTTCTTTCAAGTTGAGACTTTCAAACACTAGCAGTTTGATTGCCATGACAGCCAAGACCCCTATTCCCGGAACACTCTCTTCCCTTGCTCCTGTTTGTTGCTGTACTGCTCCCCTGGTTTTCAAGTGATTTCTGCCTGCGAGAGCAGGGTTTGGGTTATTCTGCTTAGCCCAGCTGGTCCTCACCTTCCCCCAGACTCTCTGAGCTGTAGGTGCAGGATTTGCCCTCCTGGTCGTTTCCCACTGCTCAGGCCTCATCCACGTTCAGCACGTACCTCCTTAGATGTTAAAAACTCTTAATGAACCCACCATCAGTGATGCCCCTGCAGACAATGCCAATTGCCTCTCTCCAGGGACCCATTCCAGTCCTGCACCCAGGCCATAATAACATAGGCGTTAAAAAGAAATTATTTAGGCAGATAGTGAGGGTAAGGAAGTCCTCGCTGAGGTTTTCCTTTTAATGAAAAGCAGCCCCCAAGTCATTTCTTTTCTAACAAAAAGCAGCCTGTAAAATTGAGCTGCAGACATAGATAAGCAAGCTGGAAGCTTGCACGGGTGAATGCCGGCAGCTGTGCCAATGGGAAAGGGCTATCTGGGAGCCAGGCATGTCCAACACGGTGGCTCCATCTTCCCTTTTCCTTGCCAACCACATGTACAGTAAGGAGCAGACAACATGGTGCTGACCAAGTAGAAAACCCATTTGCATAATAATAAGATTAGGGTGGGGTGGCCAACTTCCTCCTGTGCTATGTAAATGTCACATGTGGTCCAACCAATCTGTGGGCCCTATGTAAATCAGACACTGCCTCCTCAAGCCAGTCTATAAAATCCGGTGCATTTTGGCGTGGGCTGGAAGACCCACTTGGGCACTCCTCTCTCTCTGCAGGAGAGTTATTCTTTTTTCTCTTTCTTTTGCCTATTAAACCTCCACTCTTTCTTTTTTTTTTTTTTTTCTGAGACAGAGTCTCGCTCTGTCGCCCAGGCTGGAGTGCAGTGGTGCAATCTTGGCTCACTACAAGCTCTGCCTCCCGGGTTCACGCCATTCTCCTGCCTCAGCCTCCCAAGTAGCTGGGACTACAGGCGCCCACCACCACGCCCGGCTAATTTTTTGTATTTTTGGTAGAGACGGGGTTTCACCATATTAGCCAGGATGGTCTCTATCTCCTGACCTGGTGATCCACCTGCCTCATCCTCCCAAAGTGCTAGCATTACAGGCGTGAGCCACCGCGCCCGGCCAAACGTCCACTCTTAATCTCACTCCAGGTGTGTCCATGTTCTTGATTTCCTTGGCATGAGACCACAAACCTCAAGTATTACCCCAGGTGAACAACACTGCTTCAATTTCTCCCATCTGATCCAGCTGGGTTCCACTCTTTCCTGAACCCTTTCCTCCCCAACTGGCCAGGGAGCCTGCATCAGCTCAGGACTACCTTCAGGTTATGATGTGGGAGGTTTTACATGACTCCAAAAGGTTGCAAAAATGGAACAACAAAAAAAGCTTTCTTATCAGGAATGACTGGAGGAATTACATGTAAAAATACATTCCCCCCTCTAGCTGATAGCAGAAATTCCACCTTGGAAGATTCATTCTTAGAAACTGGGGAGACATTGTCTCCTGGTGAAGTGCAGCCTCCCTCAGGAGAGGTAGACTTCATTGGCATCAACATCTGGAGTGGGTACATTTCTCAGATGCTTTCCAAGCTCTGGTAGAGCCAGGCCTTCAGAGCAAGCTCACATTCTGCAAGTAGTTATGGGAGTCGGTGGGCGGGGTCAGTCCTGGCAGGTGCCTTGGACTCTTTGCTTTCCTGCCCTGAGCCCTGAGGACCCTGACTGCTTCTCTTTCGTCCCAAAGCTGCTCCAATGGAACTCCTCCCCTCTTGAAATTAGGTGTGGGGACTATGGGATTCACAACTCTCCTGTCATTCTATCTCTTCTGTAATTGTGACTTAGAAAAAATGCACAGACCGTATTCATTTTAGCAGTCATTCCCCTATGAAGTGACATGTGAAATAATGAAATCAAGAAGGCACTGTCTTGCTCTCTTCACCTCTGGTCTCAACTGGGCCATTTGAATCTCCAGAACCATCTAGAACAAGGAAGACCACCTGGCGAAGTCCCTCCCAGCACAGGACTCCAGGCAACCTGGCACCAGTCATCCCCATTGGACAAGACCAGAGCTCAGATGCATTGGCAGAGGGGACACTTTTCCCCTTTAGCAGCTACTGGCGTCTGATCATTTACAGAGAGGTTGGGTAGAACCCTGAGGAACCCATGATAGCCACTTTCCAGAAGACAGCCCGGGGCCTCAAGCAAAAACTCAATGGTGAGGACAGTCACCCAGACCTGGACACAAGGCCCAAGTATGAGCAGAAAGGGGTGGTTACACGTCCAGGATGTCAGCTGATACTGAAGCATCTGACACACTGTTCTGAAACAGAGTCTGTTGGATGTGGAGTTAAGGTTTTGACTCACTAAATGCTCTGCCCTAGGGGATAAAGTGGAAATGTCCTTATTTCGCAAGGGCAACAGCGAGGTTTCCAGCCTTCAGGCCCAGCAGTGGTTCTCCAGCTTCCACAACCCAGACCTTAAGCACTGTGGTTGCAGCATTCAGACCCCGGGCCACAACTGTGCCCAGCTATCAAGGCCGGGATTGAGGGGAGCTGACTCAGCTGCCCCCATGACTTGGTTCAGAATTGACTCACGGGCCTATGAAAGTGCTCTGGGGGTACCTGTCAAAGCTTGGTCTTGGCCAGTGAAAGATAAGCATTCAAGTTAATGGGCATATGTTAGTACTCACCAGCAGGAAAAAACTAGAGGCTTCAGTGCATCCTAGGATCCTGGGGGAAGAATTGTCATGTCCTCCTAAGAAGGCAGAATTGGTCCAAACAAGGGACAGTGAGGAGGGCAGGGTAAACAAGCCACTCCTTGCCACCTACAAGTGCCAATTTGCCCTAAATTTTCCCAGACAGAGCCCACAGGTCAGATTTTGATGTTTCTGTATCTGGACCATGACCCAGTTTGTATTCATAGCCAATCCCTAATCTCATCATCATCTCAGTTTCCAGTTCCTCAAAGAAGTTTACCCTTGAACCCCTAGGCCTGGTTCTGGCTCTGTGGAGGGCTCAGGCAGAGCAGAATGCATACAGAGGCTTTCCCATTCTCCCAGGATGGGCACAGGACCTAGCCCTGAGAGCAGCAGGCACCCTGGACTTCTACAAAAGTGTGCCATAGGCCAGGCACGGTGGCTCAAGCCTGTAATCTCAGCACTTTGGGAGGAGGCGGGTGGATCACTTGAGGCTAGGAGTTCAAGACCAGCCTGGCCAAGATGGTGAAACTCTACTAAGAATACAGAAATTAGCCCAGTGTGGTGGTGTACACCTGTAATCCCAGCTACTTGGGAGGCTGAGGCAAGGGAATCGCTTGAGCCTGTGGCGGGGTGGCGGAGGTTGCAGTGAGCCGAGATTGCACCACTGCACTCCTGCCTGGGCGACAGGAGACTCTGTCCACCCTCTCCCTACCCCACAAAAAAAAAAAAAAAAAAAAAAGTGTAGCATGCTGTTCAACCACCAGAGGGCACTGTGGGCCCCTCCAGAGACGGAAAGGAATTGAGCTATTAAAGCTCCTGCAAGGACAAGGAACTAGCAGAAAGAAGTAGTGAAGGCTTTGAAGGGGAGGAAGATGCTCTCAGTGGCTCCTATTTCATGCAGATGGAGGAAAACCAACCAAGAGCATGCGCCAGGTCCTCTCCAGATGAGACTGGCAAAGACGAAGCAGCAGGCAGTCACGTTTAGGCACATGCTTGCGAGGATTTCCTTACTGTGACAAAAGGTCCCTTCTGTTGTTTGTCACAAGTGCAAAACCTCACAGCTAGCATAATGAAACAACTGAGATGCACTCAGTAACGTGGGCTGGAAAAGGATCCCCAGTTTTTCGTTTCATAGATTGGAATCTGGTAGGAGGCCCGCCTGGGGATGGCCGGCAGCAGGCAGAGACCTGGATTCTAGATCCTCCCATTTGCAAGAATGTCCCAGGTGACCTCCTCTCGGGGATGCTAGAGGATGAGGACAGGGTGAAGAAGCCAGCCTACTGGGGGAAGGGGGGTCTTTGGGACCAATCAAGAGTGCTTAGAGAGGGGTCCTCTGAGATATCTGGACACTGACCGCTTCCCAATGAATTGCCTATGGCCCGCTGCTTCAGAATCACAGGGAGCTTGCCTAAAATGCAGATTCTGGGATGTTGGCTCTGGGTGGGAATCTCTAGGATTCAGGCCCAGGAATCTGTGTTTTTAACCAGTTGAACAAGTTTTCTAGGTGATTTTTGTTTGTTTGTTTTGTTTTGTTTTGCCACAATTAGGTTTGAGATCCACTGCCCTACGACTGGTCCTTTATCTGACTTAAACATTTGACAAAGGAGCAAATCTAACTAAGGTATCTGTGGTGTGGGCAGCAGTAGAGCCTGCAACTTAATCACAAGAGCTGTCCTTGTCCTGTGAGGTGACAACCGAGAGTTTATTGTTTGGTTGATTGCTTGGTTTGTTTAATTGTAATGTTTTGTAGTTTAATTGTTTATTTATTAACAGCTTTCAGAAACAGTAATAAGAATAGAATGTGAAGCCAACTGCAGAAGAAAAAACTAAACTGAGAAGGGAACTAAATAAAAAAGCAGCTGGGCAGATGAGATTTGGGGGTGCAGGGAGCAAGCATGTGGATGGAGGGAGGAGATTAATATTGAGCCATGGTCATGAGAACTTCAGAGAGAGATGGATGAGTGGAGGTGGCCCACACGGTATTCTCTTTTAGTGTTAAAGTCTCACCAATGCACCACGACGTAGCAGTCTCTCGTTGTGACGTATTACCTGGAGTTCTTTGTCTCATGACCCAGAGAATTAAGGAGTGTGGACACAAAAGGTGAGATTGGAGCAAAAGTTTTCTAAGCAAAAGAAGAAAGCTTTCTGCCATGGAGAGGGGGCCCAGAAGAGGGTTGCTGTCTTTACAGTTGAATGCAAAGGCTTTTATAAGAAACTGATGAGGGCTGGGCATCTCATTTGCATAAGACACAAATTTCTGTTAGCTCCACCCCATCCTCCAAGTGTGCATGTGGGCCCTTAGCTTAGTGACTCCATATTGCTTTGTTCCCCTTACTGTACATGTGTTACGGGACAGAACTTTCCACTGCAGGCGTGTCTGGGTGAGTCACCTGTGTAGCTTTTCTTATCTATGTGGCTGTGGGCGTGTCTTAGGCAAGCCCCTCTGTGCAAGTTGGCTGTTCTTTTGTTTGAAAGAATTTAACTGAGGGCCCACCCTAACTGCCTGCCTGACTGGCTTCTTCCTTTCTCCTCTCTCGGTAGGTCATGGATTGGCTCCTGCTTTGACACCGCCTTGAGGGACTTAAGATGTTGGCATGATTTTTGAAGCTTTTTATTGGATATTGGGTTGATATTATATTTGAACATGAAGTCACCCTGAGGTGTGCTGTCAGGTGGCCCCATTGTATTTGGATACAGGCAGCTGTGAAATGCAGGGGAGCAGTTAAGAATATTAACAGGTCCCCAGTTGAAATGCTTTAATGGCAGTGGTACATGGCCTGTTCCTACCCCACCCAACACACGTCACAACCCCAACCCCTACCCCCAAAGCCTATTCTCAATATGGCAGCCAGACTTAGCCTGTTAAGATGAGTCCAATCCTACCTACTCCACCTTCAGGGTGAGAGCACCCCCTCTGAGGCCTGTATGAGGGGCTTCTCCCCTCCCTCGTAGGTCTGCTGCACCCACTGGCCTCCCTGGAACCCAGGCCACTCCTGCCTCAAGGCCTTTACACCAGCAATCCCCTGGGTCTGGAGCTTCCTCCCCCTGGAAGTCCCCACAGTTCACCCTCACATCTTTAATGTTTTTGCTCAAATGTCCCTGGGGGAGCCTGCTCCAACCACCCCTAATGCTGCAACCTCCCACACCTGGCTCTCCTGCTCCCTCTCACGTGTGTCCTTTCTTCCCCCAAAATATCCCATTTATCATGTTCTAACACGCAACATGATTTGTTTATTGTGTTTGGTGTCTGTCTCTTGTCACTATCATGTAAGCTCCACAGGGACAAAATTTTTTATCTCTTTTGTTTGTTGGTATATCCCTACCGTCAAACTCATCAGCGCTTAATACAGATTTGTAGAATGAATGGATGAATGAATGAATGCCTCTAGGCTCCCAGTCAGTCTGAGCAGGCTGGTTTGCAGGTCCGGAGCTTCTCCGAGCAGCATCTCCCGACTCCTGGTCCCCATTGGGTCACTGGAATCTCACTCCCCATGCACCAGGCCACGTCTTGATGTTTGATGGGCTGGGCTCCCGCTCTGGTTCTGCCCCAGGACTCCCTTCTGCATCCTGCCCCGTGGTGTCCTTGCCTATGCCCCTCTCATCGGTGCCACTGCCCTCCCGAATGCAGCCTGGGCGTCTCTGCTGTGAGCTCCCGTCACTGGGCTCTGCCCTCTGTGGACACACTGTGCCACTTCCCCTTCTATGTCACTGACCTGGACCCAGTCTGAAGGTTGCCCTCCTGTTAAAGAAACCCAGGACCTGACAGTAGGTAAAGTAGGAAAAGCACATTTTATTCAGGAAGTATTGCAAAGGGGGAAAGAGGCCTCAGTGCATATAGAACGGACTCAGTGGTTAATTCAACCAGAACGAGTGGGGATTTATAGCCATGGAGCAGGCTGGCAGTCGGGATGGAGGAAATTACTAAGAGAAAGCAGCAGGGGGAAGGAAAGCTTCTGGTTAAACAGGCTTAGGATTCTTGCTGAAGGCAGGCCAGGGTGGTCAGATGCGAAGGATGGGGGCCTCTCTCCACACTGACTTAGGAGGGACTTGCTAAAACTGGCTGATGCAGGCCCAACGATGACAGGCACAGAAGCCCAGGGTTGAGGCCCCGTTGAAAGAGAGCTTCGAGGAGCCTGACTTAAGTGCGGCCTCAGAGCGAGTCTTTGTCCTGGGAAGCGGGACCTTTTGCTGGCAAGCCAAGCGCCTGCCCTAGCTTGACCAGGGTGCGGAGCCCGCCCTCCCCTGCTGCTGTGCCTTGAGAATCAGGCAGATCCAGAACAGGACCAGGCCAGAAAATCCTGCGGCTGTGGGACGTGGGCAGGATGAGGCCTTGCTGTGAATGTCCCTGAGAAAAATGTGCCTCCCTCCCTTTCTAAAAAGGTTTCCTGCCGTGAAAATGACACCCAGGAAAATAGAACAGGAGAAGACCAGTCTCGGGAACCACACCTCCGGGAGCTCCTCTCAGCCCCTAGCCAGCGGCCCCTCTAGGCCCACAGTCCCTCCTGGACTGGAGCTGGGGTCGTTGTTCTCTCAAGGAAGCAGTGAGGAGTGTGGACAGGCCCAGGGAAGAAATGCCTGACTCTGTGCTTCGTGGGGAAGGCGGGGAAGACAGCAGGGATTGGAGCTGAGAACCAGAGGCCAGAGGACGCCCTGAGACAGGACTTCCTGAAAGAAGCCCTGGGACCCCCACTGCCAAGGGTCCAGGTGAGGAGGGGAGATGGGGTGGGGGCTGGGGCTTTCAAAGGATCAAGTTTTCACCACCCAGACTTTTTGGGATTCAGGAGGGGGGTGTTGGAGTGAACACTGGGCTTCAGCTTCTGTCCTAAAATACCTAAAATCAAAATAAACCCAGCCAGGCGTGGTGGCTCACACCTCTAATCCCAGCACTTTGGGAGGCCAAGGAGGGAGGATTGCTTGAGCCCAGGAGTTCAAGACCAGACTGGGCAAGATAGTGAGACCGCCCCCCACCCCCGCACCCCCATCTCTTCTACAAAAAAATAAAAATAAAAATTTGCTGGGTGTGGTGGCGCACGCCTGTAGTCCCAGCTACTCAGGAGGCTGAGGTAGGAGGATTGTTTGAGCCAGGAGGTCAAGGCTACAGTGGACCAAGATCACCCCACTGCACTCCAGCCTGGGTGGCAAAAGGGAGACCCTATCTCCAAAAAAAAAAACCTTACCCTGAAAATTTAATTTCCTTCTAACACATCATCCTGATCCCCAGGAGAGATTCATCATCCTTCTACTTGACTTTCTTCTGTTGAACTATCTAACCTGGTCTATTTCAACAAATACTATTTCTTGACAACCACTAACCTGGCTTGGGCTTTATTAGGCTAAAGAAATGCCTGCCTCCAGAATTAGATTCTATAAAGTTTTCTTTTGCAGACAGATAGTGGAAGTGCCCAAATTAATCATTTTAATTTCTCAGAAGGGAAGAAAAAATGCCATTTGATCCAACCACATAGGCAAAGTGCCTCGCACACAGTAGCTACTCGGTAAAGCTGAGTCACGGCTGTGGTTGGGACCAGGGAGGGTACCCTTCCCTTCACATGCAGTGTCCTGGGTTTCTCCCTCCTGACCCTTCTCATCAGGAGTCCCTGGAACTGAGGTCCCACGAGGCTTCAGGTGCCACAGCACGGGTGGCAGCTTCTGTCATGCCAGCCACAATCAGTGACCCCAGATAAGGTTGGCAGGGTGATCCCAAAGAGAACGGTGACTTCAGCCCCAGCACAGGGAGGCCGATGGCTGGGGACTGGGGGAAACTCCTGTGGACGGGGTTCCTGAGAATGGCCTGGAAAGAAAAAGCTAAAAAGGTGGAAGTCAGACAGAACACAGCTCATGCCACTTCAAATAGGAATTTGCCCACATCTAGGCCAGGCCCTGTCGCCTCTTGTCTCTCTCAGCAGTATTGGTGCCTGAAGGGATCCATTAAGGGATCCAGTGTGAAATTTTCTGGCTTGGCTCATAGACCGTCCTGTCTTTGGAATCAAAGAGCAGACACAGATCAATGCATAAGGTGAGGAGTCTTGAATTCTTAACTATTTCTTTCCTTAGTGAAAGAGAGTTGCACTGGCTAAGTGTACTGAGTTTAAAGCCTCTTGTTCCTTCTGCAAAATCTGCAGGCACAGCAGCCTGAGGCATCTGCCCCTAAGCCAGGGTCAGAGCTGGGGGCAGCAACAGGGGCTGGGGACCCGAGACAGCCCCTTGGGTTTCCCTTGCAGGTGCCAAGAACCAGCAAGTCTCCTGGGGATTGAGTGCCTTGTGGGGCACTTGGGCCTGTCCCATTGTCCTCCTCCAAGGAAACTTTTGGGGCACTCTGGCTCTCCAGGGCTGGGGACGGCTCTGCCCCATGTCACCAAGGCCCTCTGCAGGGTGTGGGTGTGGACACAGCTAGTAGCACGAGCCGTGGTCGGTCTGCAGTTCCACCTTTGCAGCTTTGCCCTTCCCTGTCTGCCAATCTGATCCCAATCCTGTCTGTGCCCATCCCAACCCCCTATACCTGAATTACATCAGCCTAGAATTCACCTGCTACTTCCATTCCTGCCTTCAAATTCTGACCTTTACCTGTCTGGCCAAGGAGTTTTGTCCCTCCTCGATGTGCTGTTGTTTAAATGCTCCCAAGGAAATGCCTACCCCAACCCCCAAAACAGGATCAGGGACCAGGGTTTTTTTTTTTTTGCTGCTTCCTTCTACCTTCACCTTCAGTGTTGCAGAGCACCCATAGCCCGCTGAACCAGGGGTTCCGTGCCATCTGCAATGCTGTGTATGTGCAAGAGGTGAGGCAGAGAACAGGGAAGCATACGTTCCCACTCCTAAAAATTCCCAGAGAAAAATACTTTCTGTGAGTGTCAAAACATGATGGGACTGTTCATGAAATCAGTCCGTGAAGTCAGCTGTGATCATGATGAAACATGAGCCATGGTTCTGTGGGTTCTGAAGCTATACAAATCACAAATTCTTCATCATGATAGAAACTGAAAACCTAACTTGTTCAACATATGTTTCTTGAATTGGATATCCAGACGCAAAAAAAAAAAAAAAAAAAAAAAAAGGAGGAGAAAGAAAAAATCTCAATCATAATCCAAGAATCTGATACCATATACAAAAATTAATTTAAAATGGATCATAGACCTAAATGTAAAACTGTAAAGCTCCTAGAAGAAACAGGAGAGAAAATATTTGAGGAGGTGGTAGGCTGGATGCTTTCCCAAAAATGCCTACCTCCTAGTTCCTGGAACCTATGAACATGTTATGTTACCTGGCAAGAGACTTTGCAGATGCAAGGAAAGAGACAGATCTTAAAACAGGGAGTGTATCCTGGGCTATCCAGGTGGGCCCCACCTAATCACATGACCCCTTAATAGCAGAGAACTTTCTCTAGCTGCAGCAGAAGGGAAAATTAGATATTCCAGTCATGAGAAGTTCTTTAAGAGTTTATGAGTCAGGATTGCCAGCTAGCAGAGTGAGGGCCTCATTTTCAAGGATCAGAGAGAGGCCCAGAGAGAGGATCAGAGAGAATTCCAAGGGCGACCCCAGTTGACCCCAGCAATGAAGCTGGCAGCTGAGCCCCACAACCTCAAGGAACTGGGTTCTGCCCACACCCTGAGTGAACACTGTAGTGGATTTTTCCCAAGCCTCTTGGTAAGAGCCCAGACAGCCGACACTTTGACTTTGGCCTGGTGAGACCCAGAGTACAGAAACCAGTCAAGGAGCTCAGACTTCTGACCTACAAAACTGTAAGATCATAAATTTGTGTTGTCTTATGCCACTAAGGTTGTGGTAGTTTTTCACAGCAGCAGTAGAAAAATAATAGAGACCCTGGGTTAGGCAAAGATTTCTTAGCTAGAACATAAAACACATAAACCATAAGAGAAAAAAAAAAGAATAAGCTGAACATCAAATTAAAACCTGATTTTTGGAAGATACTTTTAAGAAAGTTAAAAAAGAAACAAGAAAAGATGAGGACAATATTTAAAAACACATATCTCATGAAGGACTGGAATCCAGAATATATAAAGAAATCCTCAGCCAGGTGCGGCGACTCATGCCTGTAATCTCAGCACTTTGGGAGGCAGAGGTGGGCAGATCACCTGAGATCAGGAGTTCAAGACCAGTCTGGCCAACATGATGACACCCTGTCTCAACTAAAAATACAAAAAGTAGCTAGATGTGGTGGTAGGCACCTGTAATCCCAGCTACTCAGAAGGCTGAGGCAGGAGAATCGCTTGAACCCAGAAGGCAGAGGTTGCAGTGAGCCGAGATCAAGCCACTGCACTCCAGCCTGGGCAACAGAGCAAGACTCCATCTCAAAAAAAAAAAAAAAAAAAAAGAAAAAGAAAAAGAAAGAAAGAAAAACAAATCTTAGAACTCAATAGAGACAAAATATTCAATTTTTTTTAAGTGGGAAGGGAAGATGATTTGAACAGATACTTCATCAAAGAAGATATACAAATGGCAAATTAAACACATAAAAAGATGCTCAACATCACTAGTCATCAGGGAAATGCAAATGAAAGCCCTGATGAGATACTGTTACACACCTATTAGCATGGCTAAAATTAGAAAGACTGGCAATACTAAGAGCAGACAAGGAGGCAGAGCAACTGGAAATCTCATGCATGCAAAATGGAACAATCACATCGGAAAACAGTTTGGTAGTTTCTGACAGAATTACACTAATGTTTATCATTTGGCCCAGCAACCCCTTCCCAGGCACTGAAATAAAAACATAGGTCCACGCAAAGACCTGTACATGGATGATCATTGCAGCTTTATTTGTAATGGCCAAAAACTGGAAGGAACTCACACGCCGATCAGCAAGTAAATTGGTAAGTAAATTGTAGCACATCCATATAATGGAACATTACTCAGTAATAAAGAATGACAAGCTACTGATACATGCGGCAACAGGGATGAACTCCAAGAGCATTAGGCTAACTGAAAAAAGCCAGACTCAACAGGCCGGTAATGACATAATTTCATTTATATGATGTCCATTATATGACATTCTAGTGGAGGCAAAACTACAGGGACAAAACATGGATTGGTGGTTGCCAGGGATGGCACGGCAAAAGAGGAGTGACTGCCAAAGGGACTGAGGGAGCGTCTGGCACGATGGGACTGCCCTGGGTCTTGACTGTATTGGTGTCATGTGGTTCTACATTTGTCAAAACAAAACAAACCTACATTTTAAAAGAGTGGATTGGCCCAGTGCAGTGGCTCATGTCTAATTCCAGCACTTTGGGAGGCCGAGGCAGGTGGATCATGAGGTCAGGAGATCGAGACCATCCTGGCCAACATGGTGAAACCCCATCTCTACTAAAAATACAAAAATTAGCCGGGCATGGTGGCGGGCACTTGTAATCCCAGCTACTTGGGAGGCCGAGGCAGGAGAATCGCTTGAACCTGGGAAGCGGAAGTTGCAGTGAGCTGAGATCATGCCACTGCACTGCAGCCTGGCCACAGAGCAAGACCCCGTCTCAAAAAAAAAAAAAAAAAAAAGAGTGGATTTTACCGTATGTCAATTATACCTGAATATATCTGACTTCTATAAAAACTACATGATGATCCCCACTTCCACTAAAAATAAAACCCCCTATTTGGTCCCACCTGGCCCACATGATCCCCTAAATTGATCATTATTATTATTCACACTTTTCGAAGTAACACATGTGTTTTCTAGTCTTTTCCTGCAATTATCTTTTAGAGGAGGGCCCCTTGAAAGAAGAAGTTCCCAGGAGAGATCAGTGTATCATTATGAGCTTGAGCTCTTCCCCACTTTAAGCCAGTGTAATGATTTAGAATTAATTGCCTACTTTTCTTTCTGTCATCTGCGATTAATATTTTATTGCCAAAGTAAATGAGAATTGTTTTTAAAGGGACAGCACAGCCTATATTGACTCAGGGCATTTGTTTCTGTCTATTGTACTGGAAAGCCATGGTTGGATTCTCTGAAGCGAGGACACTCTGGCTATCATCCTTGGAAGTACTGACAGCAGAGACCACAGAAAATAAATTCATGCTCAGCCCAGACCTATTTTGGCTGCAGTCACTTTTCTTGGTGGAGAGGAGCCCTTCTCAGAAAGAGCAGGAAAAGCACCTGCTGGGCAGTGCTGCTGCAGATCCCATCCAGGTTCTCTATTTTTAATTTTTATTTTATTTATTTATTTCAGATGGAGTCTCATTCTGTCGCCCAGGCTGGAGTGTGGTGGTGCCATTTCAGCTCACTGCAACCTCCACCTTTCAGGTTCAAGCGATTCTCCTGCCTCAGCCTCCCGAGTAGTGCCCGCCACCACGCCTGGCTAATTTTTGTATTTTTAGTAGACGGGGTTTTGCCATGTTGGCCAGGCTGGTCTCAAACCCCTGACCTCAAGTGATCCACCCACCTCAGGTCCCAAAATGCTGGGATTACAGGCGCCCAGCCCCCATCCAGGTGCTCTAAACAGCTGAATAAAATCCAGGAACACCCTAGACTGAGGACTTCAGGATGCTGATGCGCTAATTAGCTATCAGACCAGGTGCACAAAATCGGAGCTCACCACCTTGTTTATTTTGCCAACTGCTAGGGGTAGAATAAATGAAACAAAGACCTACTGGCCAGATGCGTTGGCTCACCTGTAATCCCAGCACTTTGGGAAGCCAAGGTGGGAGGATCACTTGAGGCCAGGAGTTCAAGATCAGCCTGGGCAAAATAATGAGACCACTCCCCCTCCCCCCAACCCCGTCTCTAAAGGAAAAACTTAGCTGGGCATGGTGACATGCAACTGTAGTCCCAGCTAATCTGGAAGCTGAAGCAGGAGGATCCCTTGAGCTCAGGACTTCGAAGTTACAGTAGCTGTGATCTTATCTCTGCCCTCCAGGCTGGGCAATAGAGTAAGACTCTGTTTCAAAAGAAAAAGAGCTACTGACTCAGAAAGGCTGATAATCACAATGAGCTTTCAAAGGCTTTTCCAGAGGACTGTTTTTTCACTTTTTATCTTCTATGCTACCATATATCATTGCATCCAGGACACCATAGATCGTATAAGGCAGGAAAATAAGTTGCAAAGTAAACTATGCCACCATGCTTTTTCATTTCTTAGGAGTTGTACTGTATATTTATTGAAGCTTATTCGGACAGATGTTCATCCTATATCACCTTTGGTCACATTAAAATAGAGATGCAAAGAAAATGAGTTGGTTAGGGTGTTCCTTAAATTTGTTTCGTCCAACTTTTCTGAATCACATTTCAACTCAAAGTCATCAAATTTCATATTTTATCAGACTTTCTTGTCTTCTACAGTCAAGAGTTGGCAAACTTTTTCTGCAAGTTTCAGACTCTGCCGGGCCCTGTGCTCTCTGTGACAGCCACTCAACTCTGCCGCTGTGAGGCAAAGCCGGCCATACACAATACTGAAATGAATGGGCGTGGGTGTGTTCCAAAAACAATCTTTATGGACACAGAAATTTGAATTTTATATAATTTTCACGTCATGAACTATTATTCTTCTTTTGACTATTTTCAGCTATTTAAAAATGTATAAAACATTCTTACGGCCGGGCGCGGTGGCTCACGCCTGTAATCCCAGCACTTTGGGTGGCCGAGACGGGCGGATCACGAGGTCAGGAGATCGAGACCATCCTGGCTAACACGGTGAAACCCCGTCTCTATTAAAAATACAAAAATTAGCCGGGCATGGTGGCGCGCGCCTGTAGTCCCAGCTACACGGGAGGCTGAGGCAGGAGAATGGCGTGAACCCGGGAGGCGGAGCTTGCAGTGAGTCGAGATCGCGCCACTGCACTCCAGCATGGGCGACAGAGCGAAACTCCGTCTCAAAAAAAAAAAAAAAAAAAAAAAAAAAACATTCTTACTCGCAGGCTATACAAAACAAATGGTAGGCTGGATTTAACCTGTGGACCGTGGTTTGCCAGCCCCGACTGTATGCCACTGGGAGAATTGGTAATGCAGTGTATCTTTTATTTATTTATTTATTATTTATTTATTTATTTTGAGACGGAGTCTCGTTCTTGTTGCCCAGGCTGGAGTACAGTAGCACAATCTCGGCTCACTGCAACCTCTGCCTCCTGGGTTCAAGCGATTCTCCTGCCTCAGCCTCCTGAGTAGCTGGGATTACAGGTGCGTGTCACCACGCCCAGCTAATTTTTGTACTTTTAGTAGAGATGGGGTTTCGCCATGTTGGCCCGGCTGGTCTCGAACTCCTGACCTCACGTGATCCACCTGCCTCGGCCTCCCAAAGTGCTGGGATTACAGGTGTGAGCCACCGCGCCCAGCCAAGTGTATCTTTTAAAAAGATATACTGCAGTCTCCAGGATTCTCTTTGGGCCACTGACAGCTGTTTCTCACATTTGGTTGCAGGAGAATATTCATCAGGATAGAGTTAGTTATGCTGCAGTAACTATCCCCAAATCTCAGTGGCTTAAAACAAAGGTTTATTTCTCACTCATACGAGATCCCTGGTGGGTCAGGGCTACTTTCTAGGGCAGCCACCCCGTGTAACAGTTCAGCTTTAGTCCTCCATGTGAACACGTGCACCCTCAATATTGACAGGGGACCAGAATGTGGAAAATCACACACCACCTCTTACAGGCTTTCCTTCAAAAGTGACAGGTGTCACTTCCTATTTGCAAAACCAGTCACACGGACCAGTAGTTTAAAAATGTATCTACCCATCTTCAAAAGGTGGAGACTAATTCCCCTTCCCTTGCATGTGGGCCAGACCTACTGCCTCGCTACGACTATGGCAGACATTGAAATATGTGACCCGAGAGGCCAAATGCAAAAAGAATACCTTCAACTGGTGTGGGCCCACTTTCAGATGGTGCATTCTGGTGAAGGCCAGCCATCATGTCACAAGGACACTCGAGCAGCCCTTTGAGAGCACCAGATGAAGAGAAGCCTATGTGGAGAGGAACCAGTTGGCCAGTACCAACCCACTGGGTGTGTGAGTGGGTCCCTCAGAGTGGATCCTCCAGCCTCCATCAAGCCTCCAGGTGATCCCAGCCCCTCAGCCTTCCAGTCTTCCAGATGAGGCACCTCCCATATGTCTGTGTCCTGTCTGAATTCTCGATCCACAGAAACAGTGAGATAATAGGCCTCTAGGTTTGGAGGGTGATTTATTACACAGGAATAGACAATGAAAAAAGTACACATGGCTTCACCTAATCTCAAAAAGATAGGAGAAGTTCGAGTTTCCCATTGGCTTAAAGAAGGGACTAATTATTGGTAAATGTCTTGATCTTATTACAACAAGGTGTCAATGAGGAATTTTCAAACAAAAACCTGGACTCACATTCCTTCCTCTAATGGTTTGTAAATGGCTGCTGACTGAAACATCAGGGGATTGCTCTTGCCCTAAGATGCTCCCTGGAATAATGTCTGAGGTCATAGACGCACAGGCCATGGCACAGAAGCTGGACAGCACTTTTTAGTCTTTTTGAAAAACACATCTAGATTTTACATTTTACATTAAAATGTAAAAAGAATGAGCACCTGGGGATCCATGGAAATAATATATCACTGTCTCTCAGTCACATGCTCTCTTATTTTTGCCTGTGTTGTGGTTATTTGCCTTTAACTAGGAGATCTGTGGTGGTAGATATGGAGATAACGTGAGAACATGGGCAGAAAAAGTCCTTATATCCAAAGCAAAGCAAATGATTGACTGATGTTTCTGATTTTTAAAAAATTGTTAGTGCTACATAAACTGTAAGTATAATAATTACAACTAAGGTTCATCTGACCTTAACTCATGGAAATAGTCTAGATTCAATTGGCCCAGAATGGTCCTATAATTGTATATATGGACAGGAATATAAATTTCTCTATACACATACATATGCATATACACATAGCATCTATACTATACTTAGCTTTAGGTAACATGTATACCTATATATCACAACTAGAAATAAAATTTCCTTTCAAATTAGCCATTAACAGATTCTTAATGATGAATAGTGATCTTGTTAGTAGTTAACTGGTAACCTTTATATTGAAATAGCAAGACATACTAGTATGCAAGCAAGAAACAGCTTGATTCTTTTTCCTGGGGCCCATTCAAACCCTATTTTCAAATCCAACCTTTACCTCCCTAGGATGAAATCTTAGATGAGATCCCATAGTTTTGTCTAGTCACTTTTTCAAAAGACTGTGGAAAAAAAACGCAGCATAAAATGTACCATCTTAACCATTTTTAGGTGTATAGCTCAGTAGCGTTAAGTGCGTTTACATGGCTATGAAACAAATCTCCAGAACTTTTCCATCTTGAGAACTGAAGCTCTGTGCCCATTAAAGAACTATTCATTCTCCCTGCTCTCTCCAGCCCTGGCAGTTGCCATTTTATATTCAACTTCTATGAATTTGACTACTTTAAACACCTCTGATAAATGGAATCATACAGTATTCATCTTTTAGTGACTGGCTTATGTCACTTAGCATTATCGTCCTCAAAGCTCATCCATCTTGTAGCTTATGACATAATTTCCTTCCTTTTTAAGGTTAAACAATATTCCAGATTTTTTAAGGTTAAACAATATTCCATTGTGTGTATATAGATATTACATACTACAATATTACATATCATATCTTATTACATACTATATTACATATATTATAATATTGATATATATCATATATAAGATTACACATATTACATACATATATAATTACATATATAAGATATATATCAATTACATGTTACATATATTATATATAAGATATATATATCAATATTCTATTGTGTATATATATCAACATTCCATTGTGTATATATAAATATTCCATTGTGTATATATATATACACACACACACAACTTATAGTTTGTTTATACTATATCTTATAATATGTAATAAGATCAAGACATTTACCAATAATTTGTTCCTTCTTTAAGCCATTGGGAAATTACATATATATATATATATATATATATATATATATATATATATATATATATACAATGGAACACTGTTTAACCTTAAAAAGGAAGGAAATTATGTCATAATTTGGTGTATATATAGGAGATATATATATATATATATATATATATATCTCACTGCATTTATCCATTCATCCATGAGGCATGATGGACATTTGGGTTGCTTCCACCTCTTGACTATTGCGAATGATGCTACAATGAGTATGGACATACAAATATCTCTTCAAGCTCTGCTTTCAGTTCTTTCTGGATATATACCTAGAAGTGGGACTGCTGGATCATATGGTAATTTTATTTTTGATTTTTTGAGGAACCTTCATACTGTTTTCTATAGTGGTCATACTATTTTACAACTGCACCGGCAATCCACAAGTGTTCCAATTTCTCCATATACTCAGCAGCACTTGTTATTTTCTGTGTTTTGTTTTAATGGTGGCTGTCATAATGGATGTGAGGAGATAACTCATTATGGTTTTGAATTGCATTTTGCCTAGTTATTCTAAATAATAAAAGTCCTTTGGTCATTATCAGCTCCAAAGAACAATCTCATTTTAGTAAATATAATAGGCAGAATAACATCCCCCCACTCCCACAAAGCTTATGGCTGTGTTATATGGCTATGTTGTGCTGCATTACAAGAAGGAATTAAGGTTGCAGGTGGAATTAAGGTTTCTTGTCTGCTTCCCCTACCCACCTGTGACTCCTTCAGTGTTGGAACAGAGCTTGGAAGAACATGAAACGGGCAGGAAAGGCCATCCTTAACAAAGGCAGATGTAATATGACATTTGCATCTTCTGCGTAGGGCAGATTCCCAGCGGTGATTCTTTCTTTTCTATACCACACTGTGGGATCCTAGGTCTAAGTTATCCCCTTTGGACTCTTGGGAAATCCTTGTCTTTAGCCAGGTGCTTCTCACTCTATTTTCATCCTCTGCTACCAATAGTAACCTCCAGCCTCTTTCGGCTGAGGCCCCTTTCCTTTGGCATGAAGCCCTTTGGACAGGTCGTTTCCAATAACCCAAAGCCAGACCCTACTTGTAAGTCCTCTTGGCTCACAAGAACACTCTGACATCCTCTCCCCACCTCCACCAATGTGCAGTTTTCTCTCCACTGCATATATATGTGTTTGTATGGCCATCAGGCAGGTAGTTCCAGAAACAGACTTTGACCTTCTCAGAGGAGAAAAAAAAAGCTTAAAATCCATAAGCATGGCTGATTTTACAGTCTTGAACTTCTTCTAAACAATGGCCTGAATTCATTCAACATTTTCTTATGATGAGTATTATGAACTACTACTTTTCTATTCTTGCTTTTAAGATTTTGCCCAAGTTTATTCTTAAAGTAGTCAATATGTGTTTATATAGCATATCTACGTAGAAGCCAGAATTAGTTTCATGCAGAAATAATGTGTTTGCAGTTATAGTAAATAAAATATTCATAAGAACTTAGAAATTTTGAGATAATTCACATTTTATCCTTAAAGCAATTTATTCTTAGAGCTTTATGAAAGCTATATCTTCTCTGAACATTTGCCCAAACCTCCCACACTATCTGACTTTAAACTCACTATCATTGCACCATTCAATATGAGCAACGAACATTTTACAAGAACTCTCAACAATTGCAAGTAACTTTACCTACCACTTCCTCTCTTCCCTTCCCTTTTGTATCTTGCCCAGAGTTTAAGGTTCCCAGGGGTGCACAGGATTTTCACATCATGAAGTTAATTATTGCTGATATCATGAACTCTCATTTGTGACATAAATTATAACTCTAAATACCAGTTTAAACAACTTTCCAATCTAAATCTATGATATCAAAACCAAAATTATCTTACAAATGATAAATTCTCAATACTTTGCCTTTTGTAGATCATCTCTTAAGGAAAACACAGAAGAACTGTTAACATTGGTTGACTCTTAGAGAAGAGTGGGAGACCTGGGAAAATGGAGAGGAAAAGATTTTTTTTTTTTTTTTTTTTTACTAAATATCATTTTGAACCCTTTGACTTTTACACCACTTAGATTCCCAATTCAAAATTTTTTTAATTTTAAAATTGATAATTTGTATTTGAAAGTATGAAACTACCACTTAGCACTTAATGTTACAAGCAGAAGTCACCTTTGAGATCAGAAAATAGAGTTTTAATAGTTTTCTACGTTTTAAGGATAAATTAAATGACTTATATTAGATCTAGGACTTATATATAAGTTAAGCTTGGTAAATTTTTTTACTTTTTCTTTTACTTTCTGGGGAACAAAGATATCCTTTGCTCTTAGATGGCTTAATATTTCAACAGTTCCCTAGCAAGCAGACTCAGGAAAAAAAAAATGTTAACCAAAATAAAGAGAGAGCTTGGCTTTTATGGGGAAGGGGTTTGTAGAAAGGTATGTTTTATTGGTTGATGAATCCGTTTCTTAATCTGAGGGCCTACAGTCCACCAGGCCCCGTGTTGGGTCCCCTGGGGGACAAAGGTACTAAGACCTGATGCCTTCCCTGGAAAGATACTTGAGCAATGGAAAAGAAAAAGTGATGCTTTGTTTTCTCAAAGTTGGGGTTGGAGAGGGGCAAGACTTATAACACCTAGAGAGAAGCAAGAAAACTTGAAGTCAAAATGTAGTAGAAACCACTAGAGCCTGAAAACAAGGAAGGCCTGAGGACAGGAGAATGTAATCAAAACAATGGGTGAAAAAGGCTTTCTTCCATGATCCAGGTGTCCACACCCAAAGCACAGTGGAGAATCGAGGCCTGAATCTCCCACGCAATTGGCCCAACTCTCAACAGTGAGGAAATGATCACCTTGGGCCAAGTAGTGTACAAGACAAATGTTAAAGGGAAGGCCCCGACCTCCTAGGTTTATGTAAGGCCATTGTAAGCCTCAGCTTTTTCTCATTTTAAAATCAGAAATAATCATACCTATATATAAAATTGTTGTGAGGATGTGACATATTGTTTATAAAATAGCTCGCATCATGTTAGGGTTGCCGTTGTTGCTCAATAAATGCTATCTGTTGTTTTTGCTGCTGTTGTTGCCTGTAGGTAAAATTAAATGCAGTAAAGGCAGATCCTATGGATTGGCTCATTCAATCTTCATTTTACCCTCCTTTTGTGGTAACTTCCAGCATTGCCAAATCTATGAAACTCAGAACTACATTTCCAAGACTTCTTTACTTTTAGAGTTCTGGATGCCACTTAGGTTCTACCAGTTAGAAGCAATGATGTAAGATTTGGAAGATGGAAGGGAGTGGAGGCCGTCTCCCTCTCACTATTTCTTCTGGCAAGCAAATTCACAAAGGCATGAGTGTCAAGGGGCAGGAGGAGCTGTGGTGGTGGCAGCTGCTTAACCTCCAGATCATGCTGGTTGCAGTGGTTTACTCTTGACATCAATCAGGCATGGGGTTTGGGGTCCCAATTTCACTCCTTCAGCTTTCTAGGGACTTTGTCAGCATCTGATTCCTGTATTAGGTCCTTTCTGCTTAAAATACCTAGGGTGATGATTCTTATTGCTAGAACTGAATCCTGACTGATTCAGAAATGGATGCTTTCTCTAAAGAAATGCCACACATAAACTTCTGTGAAAGAATATATTTCATGCTGCTGCCTCAAACTTGCTTAAAGTTATTAGTGGATTTCCATGTTTAAACCAGGTCAGTGTTCTTATTGATGCCATTCTCTTTGAAAACTGTGAATATAACACAACTAAAGTTCTCTGGCATCCTGAACAGTTAACTCTGTATTTGTATGTCATGCTGAAAAACAGAGTATATGTTTGTGGTGACCATAACCCATCCACTGTCTTTCTTTATACTTTACTTGGTTGAAACCAAACTGATCCTTGAAATAATTTTGCCTCCTGATACTCATTCTTCCTTCCTTAGTATTAAGAATCCCAATTTTTGGCTGAGGACACAGCTAACCAGCTAAAATTTATTTCTTTTCTCCATGTAAGCTAGATGTATTGTCTGTTCTTACACTGCTATAAAGAACTACTTGAGACTGGGTAATTTATGAAGAAAAGAGGTTTAATTGATTCCCAGTTCCACAGGCTGTACATGAAGCATGGCTGGGAGGCCTCAGGAAACTTACACTCATGGTGGAAGGGCGAAGGGGAAGCAAGCACCTTCTGCACATGCTGGCAGAAGACAGAGAGAGCAAAGGGGGAAGTGCCACACACCTTCAAACAACCAGATCTCATGAGAATCCACTCACTATCATGAGAACAGCAAGGGGGAAATCTGCCTCCAATGATCCAATCACCTCCCACCAGGTTCTTCCCCCAACATTGGGGACTGCAATGCAACATATGAGATTTGGGTGGGGACACAGAGCCAAACCATATAATTCTACCCCTGGCTCCTCCCAGATCTCATGTCCTCCTTACATTTCAAAACACCATCATGCCTTCCTAACAGTCCTCCAAAGTCTTAACTAATTCCAGCATTAACTCAAAGTCCAATTCCAAAGTTTTATCTGAGATAAGGCAAGTCCCTTTCACATATGAGCCTGTAAAATCAAAAACAAGTTAGTTACTTCCAAGATACAATGGCGGTACAGGCATTGGGTAAATGCTTCTATTCCAAAAGGGAGAAGTTGGGCAAAACAAAGGGGCTACAGGTCCCATGCAAGTCCAAAACCCAGCAGGGCAGTCTTTAAATCTTAAAGCTCCAAAATAATCTCCTTTAACTTAATGTCTCACATCCAGGACACAATGATGCAAGGGGTGGGCTCCCAAGGCCTTAGGAACTTCTAGCCCTGTGGCTCTGCAGCCCCTTAGCTGCTTTCATAGGGTGGCATTGAGTGCCTGTGGCACTCAACTTGTAGGTGCACAGTACAAGGTGTCGGTGGATCTGCCATTCTGAGGTCTGAAGGATGGTGGCCCTCTTTTCACAGCTCCACTAGGCAGTGCCCCAGTGAGGACTCTGTGTGGGGGTTCCAACCCCACATTTCCCCTCTGCACTGCCCTAGTAGAGGTTCTCTGTGAGGGCTCTGCCCCTGCAGCAGACTTATGTCTGGACATCCAGGCATTTCCATACATCATCTGAAACCTAGGCAGAGGTTCCCAAACCTCACCTCTTGACTTTGGCACACCTGCAGGCCCAACACGACGTGGAAGCCACCAAGACCTAGGGATTGCACCCTCTGAAGCCATGGCCCAAGCTGTACTTTGGCCCCCTTTAGTCATGGCTGGAGCTGAAGCAGCTGGGATACAGGGCATCATGTCCCGAGGCTGCACAGAGTAGCATGGCCCTGAGCCTGGCCCACGAAACCATTTTTCCCTCATAGGCCTCCAGGACTGCAATGCAAGGGGCTGCCACAAAGGTCTCAGAAATGTCCTGGAGGCATTTTTCCCATTGTCTTGGCTATTAACATTTCTTTACTTATGCAAATTTCTGCAGCCTTGAATTCCTCCACAGAAAAAGAGTTTTTTTTTTTCCTACCACATGGTCGGGCTGCAAATTTTCCAAACTTTTATGCTCTGCTTCCCTTTTAAATATAAGTTCCAATTTCAGACCATGTCCTTCTTCACAAATATGAGGGTACACTTTTAGAAATAGCCAGGTCACATCTTAAACACTTTGCTGCTTAGAAATTTCTTGCGCCAGATGCCCTAAATCATCTCTCTCAAGTACAAAGTTCCACAGATCTTTAGAGCAGGGGCACAATGCCACGAGTCTCCTTGCTAAAGGACAGCAAGAATGACCTTTACTCCAGTTCCCAATAAGTTCTTCATCTCCATCTGAGACCACTCAGCCTGGATTTCACTGCCCATATCACTATCAGCATTTTGGTCACAACCACTCAACAAGTCTCTAGGAAGTTCCAAACTTTCCCTCATCTTCCTGTCTTCTGAGCCCTCCAAACTGTTCCAATCTCTGCCTGTTACCTAGTTCTAAAGTTGCTTCCACATTTTCCGGTATCTTTATAGCAATGCCCTACTTTCCTGGCACCAACTTTCTGTATTAGTCCATTCTCACACTGCTATAAAGAACTGCCTGATATTGGGTAATTAGTAAAGAGGTTTAATTGACTCACAGTTCAGCATGGCTGGGGAAGCCTCAGGAAACTTACAATCATGGCGGACGCGTAAAGAGGAAGCAAGAATCTTCTTTACCTGGTGGCAGGAGAGAGAGAATGTGAAGGGGGGAGTGCCATACACCTTCAAACAACCAGATCTCAATAGAAGTCATTCACTATCACAAAAACAGCAAGGGGGAAATCCACCACCACGATCCAATCACCTCCCACCAGGTCCCTCCCCAAACATTGGGAATTATGATTCAACATGAGATTTGGGTGGGGACACAGAGCCAAACCATATTACTAGGCATACCCATGTGACTAAATGTTGACCAATTTGACATAAGAAAAAGTAAGTATTTTGTGTAACTTCTAGGAAGTGTCTACAGAAGAAAGGTGCCGACCCTTCTTTGCTCCTTCCTGCTTTCTGTTGGAGTGTGCCTGTGATGATAGGCACACTAACAGCCATCTTGAGTCATGAGGTGGCACAGTAATCATGGCACAACAGAAGAGAATGAGCTTGTTGACTGTGGAGTGGCCACACAGGCCTGGATTATGTACCTCCAGGTTTGTTTTACATAAGAAAAAAAAAACGGCTGGGCACTGTGGCTCACATCTGTAATCCCAACATTTTAGGAGGCTGAAGTGGGAGGATCACTTTAGCCCAAGAGTTTAAGACCAGCCTGGACAACATAGTGAGACCCTGTTCCTACAAAAAAAAATTTATTTTTAATTAGCCAGGTATGGTGGCATGTGCCTGTAAGCCCAGCTACTTGGGGGGCTGAGTCTGGAGGATCACTTGAGGCTGGGAGGTCAAGGCTGCAGTGAGCTGTGATTGCACCACCGCACTCAGGTCTAGGTGACAGAGCCAGACCCTGTCTTAAAGAAAAAGAAAAAAAAATCTATCTCTAACTTTTGGAAGCCACTGTTATTTTGTTGCTGTATTTTTATTATATGCAGCTGAATCCACCCTTAATTAGTATAATGGGAAAAGCCAAACTTCTTCCCTTCACATTAACCATGGACTATTTCTCAGTTTCTAAAAACAAGTATATTCCCAAGACCTGCCTAACTGCTCATACACGGTAGAGCACACTGCTAAAAACACTGGCCTGGGTTTAAAGTTAAAGACATTAAAAGGATTTCACTGAAGCCAATTCAGTGTACACAGTAGTCAAGTTTGTAAGCCAAACAAATAACTTTGACTTACTCATATTTCTTTCAAAATCAAATGAAGGCACCAATTTTAGGTTGAGTGAAAGACAGGTCCTCAGCCTTAGCTGATGAGACCATTAGGACTAGAGTTATTGATTCAAATGGCTGAGTTTTTTTTCTAAACTAGCCCTCTGCTGTTGACAGTGTGACCACACCATAGCTGACAACACATCCAATGGTGTAATCTGCTTTGCAGCTCTTTATTCCAGAGCCCATAGATCAGAGGATTAAAACACTGGGAAAATGCAAAAATGCCAAAACCCACCAGATTTAAAGCAAAGAAAAATACCCCACACACTTTCCCCAAACCTATGAATATCAGATTCTGGGTGTTATTTATATTAATATTTCAGAGGAGGGACATATACACAAATTATCCACACACATGCAAAGGTTTGAAAGATATACTCTTTGTACTTAGAAAATTGCTCAAATTCAGGTCAAGGTTTTACCGCTTATGCATCCTTTTCTAGTATCTAGGAAGATACTGGGATCTCAGGGTTGCTGAGGGAATGGGACCACCAAAATGACAAGCTGTGCATGGTAACTTCATAAAGTTTTCTCAAGTGTGCACAGCAATGCCACTGTGTGGCAGCCTGGGAGAACACCCAAATTATAGCATCATTGTTGTTGCCATGATAGTCTATGATGCAGATACTGACTGTTGCCTGCCCCTCCCCACCTGTACCCCATCCAAAGTGATGTACCCTGTAAGCCTTTGCTGCCTTGCTCCTTCATCCTCAACTACAGCATCACCTTCTCCCCCAGCAAAGTTGATTGGCATCTGACTCACTGCAAGTCATTCACTAGACTGCACTGAGTCAGAATATGTCTCTCAAAAACCCAACACAAGGTACACAAAGAATGTAGTCTCAGAGTAATGTCATGCAATTAGCCTGCCAGTCATGTTGTGAGCAGAAGACACAGAGGGAGGTAGGAGAGAAGCAGAGAGAAGTGAGACTATGAGGCCTCTGAGTGTCCACAAAGGCCCTTGCAAGAAGACAAAACAACCTTTGCTCCTGAATTTCCAGTTCCACTGAGATGCCCTGCAATTTCTGTCCTCGGATTCTGAAAATATGATACACCCCTCTATTATTTGAACTATCTTAAATGAGTTTCTATTCCTTCACTCTGTCCTGTAGACTTCAAAGTATAAAAAATGGGCCCTGAAGAGGCACAATAAATTATATTGATTTCCTAAAGGGCATATCACAATGGAGATACAACTATTTTAACTTCCTGAGAATCTGAAATGTCATAACTCTTTATGAAATCCCTCACTGAAGGCATAATTTTCCCCCCTGGGTATTGTGTTGTCCTCTTTTTGAGGAAAACTTTCTTTTTTCTGATGGATTTTTGGTGCCATTGTCTTGTTTTTGAACTCCAGGCATTTATTTTCTCTTCTCTCCAGCTCTTCAGAGAGGAACTGAATTGTAATGGTCATTGTCATTGTGAAAGTCATCATCTTTGAACTGCAGGTGTCTTTTAAGGTCAGACTTTTTGATCAAGATCTAACACAAAAACCTCTTAATATTAAGCAGGAAAATGCATATCTGCTCCCATCAAGTCCTTTTTCCTGAATCGCTCACTGTCAGAGCACACCCTGAAACCGTCTTGGCACCACCATAGAAACTGAGAGCCCTAATGAAGACTGTATGAAAATCCTGGTAAGTTAGAACCAATGCTCCGCCCCTGGACTAGGCGGATCACATGAATGTGGCTTGAAGCCTAGATTTGCTGCTAACAAGGACTGTGACTTTGGATATTGAAGTCGCTTTGCTTCTGTGGTCCTTGGAGCTGTGCAGCATCACCAGGCTCCACATCTGTTCTATTTCTACAGTCATCCTCACTCACATCCTCAAAGCCAACTCTGAACTTGGGCCCAGAGCATCTGCGCTTTTACTTTATTCCTGAGAACAAGATCACCCCTGCCCCAACCCCAAAACACCCTCATGATATTTCTCCATGCCTGAGCCTTTTCTTGCTGATCTGAATAGAAGCCCTGGCTCTCTAGGACAGAGCCTGCCTTGTCCTGCAATGTCCCCTCCCCGGACCTGAAACCCAGCCGACCCCGAGATACATGGAGGTGGCTGCCAGCAGAGTCCACAATAGTGCTGGTCTCCCTGTCTGCTTAGGCCTCTTAACACACAATCCTGGGCTCACTGTTGCCAGGGTTGGCCCAGCTGATGGGTGATAGTCCCCATTATTTGGTCTTGCTCCTCACCCCCATTCTGCCCAGAATCCCAGTCATCTTTTGAAGCATCCCTGCTGGATTTTTCATTTCTGCTCAAAAAGACTCCCTGTACCTGCATGGGGGCTCACCACCTGCCCCCCACACCTGCCCCATTCCATTTGTCAGAACCCTCAGGGCCATGGGTTGGGCTTTGCCTAGCTGTGTTCCAAGACCCAAAACCCTCCATAGGGCATGCAGTGGCTGTCATTGTGTTTCTGTTACAATAAAAATTTTAAAGCTATTCTTTTTTCCCCTTGAATTACTGCAGATGCAACTATAATAAAGGCTAAGTCCCGAAAACCCCCTCCCTCTGGATCTGAAATGGTTTCAGGCAACTATTTATTGCTGGGACCAGCAGGGACTGGTTCCTTTAGTGTTCTAATATGCTTAACACATTAATCCACATGGCACATTGTTTCATCATTGCACTCAACGAACCTTCATTGAGCATTGAAACATACAATGCATAATCCTAAGCAGTGAGGTTATAAGGTAGTAAAACAGTCACTGAGCCCGGGCACAGTGGCTCACACCTGTAATCCCAGCACTTTGGGAGGCCAAAGCAGGCAGATCACTTGAGCCCAGGAGTTTGAGACCAGCCTGAGAAACATTGCAAAGCTCTGTCTCTACGAAAAATAGAAAAATTAGCCAGCTATAGTGGTGCACACGTGTAGTCCCAGCTACTGAGAAGGCTGAGGCAGGAGGATCACGTGAGCCTAGGGAAGTTGAGGCTGCAGTGAGCCATGATTGCACCACTGCACCCCAGCCTGGGCAACAGAGTGAGATCCTGTGTGGAAAAAAAAAAAAAGTTGCTGACATACTGAAGCTTACTGTCCAGTGGAAGATGCAGAATATGATATAGATAACCAAAAACATCATGTATAGTTTTACCCACTTACCAAAAGAATAAGAAAGTCAAGTGTGCTATGGGAGAGTTGTTCAGAAATAAAAGGAATCAGATCACCATGGTCTGATACAGTCAGAGAAGACATCCTGGAGGAGGTGAGGCTTGAATCAGGCCTTTCGTGGATAAAAACCAGAGCAAAGCAGGGTCAGGCGTGAGTTGGGGAGGGAAAAGGAGCCACGCAGATTCCAGGCAAAGGAAAACTGTGAGAGCCCAAGTGAAACCAAACTTGGTATGTTCAGGAGACAATGAGTATATATCTGGGTTTTGTGAGAGTAAGGACTTGTTTAGAGCACTAGGGACGGACTAAGGCCAGGACCAGATCTGGAGGACCTTGATACTATTCCAAGGGTGAAAATCCATTTTGTAAGCAGTAAAGAGACTTGCACAATTAAAATTAGTAGCAGCACATGCCACAGGTTAAGAGCCAGCATGAGATGCCCACCTGTGCATAGTGGCATTTGAAACGAGCTCTGTCTGCAGAGCAGGCAGCCCAGCAAAGGAGAAATTTGCACAGTGAGGACAATACTACCACAGAAAGTGGCTCAGAATACTTTTTGTACACGTGGTATCTCCAGGAGGGTTGGATATCTGCAAAATCGTTGAGGCCTGGTTTTATTGCCTTTAATTTATGTATAAGACCTCAGGAAGATTAGTAATTTATTCAGTATCATACATGCAGAAAGAATCTCCCAGTCTCCAAATTCACATTTCCTCTCAGAAGCATATTTGCATAGATCAAGAGCTTGTGGCAACCAAACTTATGTAATTAGCTCCCATCTATACATGTTTACTCCACTTAGCCACATTCTTAGAGCCTTCTTCTTCTGAAATTCTAAAATGGGAAACACCTGCTTCCTTCTGGCCCAAAATGTTACTTTGGTTTCAGCTTTGAAATAAGACCTGGAGCCAAGAGACTTCAGCAAAAAATTACATTATATCCACAAGTACCCTGACAAAATAAAAGGCAGCCACTGCCATTCTCTGCAAAAGTCCTGCAGGAAGCAGATGGGTGTTAAGGACTGGCCCAGATTTATACACGAACAATGAAGCCTGAGAGATCTCCTTGTAAGAGCCCTGTGGACAACATGCTGTCCTCCAAGAGAAACTGAATATACAAACAAATATGACCAGACCACATATAAAAATAGAACTCTGACTCACAACCTGCAGCACCCAGCCCAGGAAACCAACCCTTTATCTCCAGTAACCACCTAGGAAGCCAGCCTGATGTAAGTCAGACTTGCAGGAGTCAGACTGCTATCTCTAGTAACAATCCAGGAAGCAAACAATAGCCCCTGTAATAACCCACCCCCAAGGGCCAGGACTTGATTAATAACTGACAGCTTTCCTAAATCCAAATTTCCAACTTAGGACCAGTCAGAGAGAGCTAAATATGCTCCCCTAACCTATCACATAGGATGTCCTGTTTCTACTTAACTGCCCACAGCTTCCCCACGTTAACAGCCTCCAATCAAGGCACACCTGAAGCCTTCCCTTTTTTCCATTATGAAGCTTCCTCACTCTGCCTGCCTTTGGGTCTCTGCCAAAATCCAAGCTCTGAATACATAGCCTTTGCTTGTTCTCATCTGGTTGGTCTTTATTTCTACATCAGTATGAAAAGATGGCTCTGGTGGCTCTGCAACAGTACATGCACCTTGAGTCATTTCTCCAGGAGGCTGATGAATCTGTGTGCTGAGCCCTTCATAGCCATTGGATGTCAACCATCACTTATGTGGGGACTCCTGGCCTGGTGCCTTAAAGAGTGGGCTCTCTAGTTGAACTGTCTGGTCTAAATTCTAGAGCCACTATCATGACGTCTCTGAAAGAGACTCCTCTCTGTCCTGTGCACCTCCAGGCCAGCAGCAGAGACGTGTCAGGGAGTTTGGGCAGAGTGAGACAGCTTCCTTCCATGGAGGGCAATTGCCACCTTGGTGTCATGGAGAACTTCTGCCAGGGCAGTGCAGAAGGGAAATGTGGGTGGGGGAGCCCTACTGGGGCACTGCCTAATGGAGCTGTGAGAAGACGGCCACCGTCCTCCAGACCACAGATTGGTAGATCCACCAACAGCTTGCATTGTGTGCCTGAAAAAGTGGCAGACACTTAACACTAGCCTGTGAAAGCAGCCAGGAGGGAGGATGCAGAGCCACAGGGGCAGAGTGGCCCAAGACCATGGGAACCCACCTCTTGCATCAGTGTGACCCGGATGTGAGACATGGAGTCAAAGGAGATCATTTTGGAGCTTTAAGATTTGACTGACTTGTTGGATTTCGGACTTGAATAGGGACGGTAGCCCCTTTGTTTTGGCCAATTTCTTCCATTTGGAACAGCTGTATTTACCCAATGCCTGTACCTCCATTGTATCTAGGAAGTAAATAACTTGCTTTTGATTTTACAGGCTCATAAGCAGAAAAGCCTTGTCTCAGATGAGATGTTGGACTGTGGACTTTTGAGTTAATGCTGAAATGAGTTAAGAATTTGGGGACTGTTGGGAAAGCATGATTGGTTTTGAAATGTGAGGACATGAGATTTGGGAGGGGTCGGGGTGGAATGATATAGTTTGGCTGTGTCCCCACCCAAATCTCATCTTGAATTGTAACTCCCACAATTCCCTCATGTCATGGGAGGAACCCGGTGGGAGGTGATTGAATTATGGGAGATGGGTTTTTCCTGCGCTGTTCTTGTGATAGTGAATGAGCCTCATGAGATCTGACGGTTTTAAAAATGGGAGTTTCTCTACACAAGCTCTCTCTTTGCCTGCTGCCATCCATGTAAGACATGACGTGCTCCTTTTTGCCTTCTGCCATGATTGTGAGGCCTCCCCAGCAATGTAGAACTGAGTCTGTAAGTCCATTAAACCTCTTTTACTTCCCAGTCTCAGGTTGTCTTTACCAGCACTGTGAAAATGGACTAATACACTTGGCCTCATCACAGGCGCTGGGGCACCAGGCTGGGGAAATTTCTCACTTCTCTCATCTCTGAGGGACTGTAAGGCCACTGTAAGCCCACCACCATTGCTAAAGACACCCCCCTTCAGGAGAAAACCAAGGGGGCACTGGATGTGAGAGATGGGGCTAGACTGGAAGAGAGCACAAGAGGTTGATGACCCATACAAAACATAACCATAGAAAATATGTGCTGGGTTGTTTACTGTGACACAGTTTTAGTGAGTGCTGACTTCTTTAATCTGTACAACAAGCCTATAAAGTCAGCGCTACTGTATTATTCAGTTCTCACATTGCTAATAAAGGTATACCCAAGACTGGGTAATTTATAAAGAAAAAGAGATTTAACAGACTCACAGTTCCACATGGCTGAGGAGGCCTCACAATCATGGCAGAAGACAAAGGAGGAGAAAGCCATGTCTTACACAGTGGTGGGCAAGATAGCTTGTGCTGGGGAACTCCCATTTATAAAACCATCAGATCTCACAAGACTTATTCACTACCACGAGAACAGTATGGGGGAACCACCCCCCATGATACAATTATCTACACCTGTCACCCTTGACAGGTGGAGATTATTATAATTCAAGGTGAGATTTCGGTGGGGACACAGCCAAACCATATCAGCTATCATCATTCCCATTTTTCAGAAAAGAAAACTGAGGGACAGAGGAAGGAAATCACCTAGCCAAGGTTTACCAGCTCATGACAGTGACTCTGGAATTTGGATCAGGCAGTTCAACTCCAGAGCCCACTCTCTAAGCCACTGGACCAGGAGCCCCCACATAAGTGATGGTCAACATTGAACAGCCGTGAAGGGCTCCCCACACATCTTCTCACTCGGTCCTCCCAACAGGCTGCAGAGGCTGGAAAAATGAGTGGTGGTCTCATCCCTGCTTCATGAGAGGCAGTGACCAGGAACACGGAGGTGAAGGGAGATGTTGGTTAATGGCGAAGCCTGGCCTCAAACCCAGCTCTTCTGATTTCTGAGACCATTGCTTTTGCTATTGTTGTTTGTTTAGCTTTTTTCCAAGTGTCATATTGGTGTGTGTGAATTTAAACACAGAAAAAAGACTGCAACTGAGTGGTTGTTATAGACTAAATTATGTCTCCCAAATTTCATTTGTGGAAGTCCTAACCTCTAGTACCTCAGAATATGACTGTATTTAGAGACAGGGCCTTTAAGATGAAATGAGGCTATTAGGGTGGCCCCGATCCAGTATGACTGGTGTCCTTGTGTCCTTACAAGAAGAACATGAGGAGATTAGGACAGAGAAATACACCAGGAATGCATACACTGAGAGAGAACACCATGCAGAGAGGGAGCAAGGGGACAGCCGTCTGCAAGCCAAGAAAAGGAGCCTCAGGGAAAAGCAACCCTGCCGGAGCCTTGATCTTGGACTTCTGGCCCTTGAACTGTGAGAAAATAAACTGGTGCTGTTTAGCCCATCCAATCTGTTGTATTTTCTTATGGCAGCCTGAGCACACGAATATAGGGAAAAGCATCTACCAGTTACTATCGTATTGCCAGGAGGCTGAGAATGGCTTACCCATGGGTCCAGCTAGACTCCTCTAGAACCTACATGTGGAATTTCTAAAGGAGGAAAGATCTCTGGTCTCTGAGAGGGAGGAGGCCTTTGGGGCAGGGGCGGTGCTTACGGTCATTCGGCCAGTGTCTGCCACTAAGGTCAGGGCCAGAATCTGACTCACCGCTGATGGGAAGAACACATCAGCTGAGAAAGAACTGCAGAAATGAGTTCAAATGCTCAGCAGCTGCTGGCCGAAGGCCATTCCAAAATGGCTGTTACAATCTACCCTAATGATCAGACCTCCTCCTCGCCCACAGTAAACATGCTCCCTTCTCTTCAAACTCGTCTTTTTCTCTGATCTAATTGTAGACTTACTTATTTGGTATTTTAAAAATCACTGCAGTCCATGAGGCTTTGGATTTCTCCTCCTCAAAGCAGGCAGGAAGGAAGGGAGGGAACCAGTGTTTACTGAGCGCCAGGAACTCAACATCAAGGTCAAGCATTTACTAAATATTCACTGTGATCGTTAATCCTCTGGAGACACTTCAGAGGTGTGACACGGAGAACTGGGTGAAATCACAAAGCCTATTTAGGTATATCCTGTGACTTCTGAAGATAGAGAATGGCACTTTTTTCTAATGAGTGGTTTCCCAGGCAGTTGGCTTTTATAGTCTTAACCTGCCTCTTTTCATATAAAGCGAATTCTCCAGCTTTCTTTCCCATTTCTTTTCTGACCAAAATTTTGGTCTACAGGCATTCTTTAAGTACTCATAAGATTCGTTCATCTAGAGACTCACTACCTTGTTTTAATAGAACATCGTCCTTTTCTAAAATATGTTTAAAAACATATTTTCAAAAACAATATGCACATGCATCTTTACTGAACACTACTCGTGGACAGGGCAGGGTGAAACAAATTCCCAAACCTTGAATATAAATAAATATTCAAGAGGGGAGTATTGGAAAGAAGTAGCTGCTAATAATGGCAGAAAAGCTCTTCTCATTTTACAATTTTGATAATGATGAGTATGTGTGATTCTAACTTATTACAGTAATAATAACACCTATATGAACAGAGGATACAATTTAATGACATATTTTACTATCCTTTATATATACATATATGTGATCAAGCATTTACTATATATATAGTATATATATGCTATTATATATAATATATATGCTCAAGCATTTACTATATATACTCTATATATAGATATATTCTCTATATATATACAGACTAAATTGTCTCCCAAAAAATATAGAGAGTATATATACATATATACATATATATATATATAGAGAGAGAGAGAGAGAGACAGACAGACATAAGAGAAATAAGGCATAGGGGTCATTCCAAGATTTCAGAAAAAGATTGTTCAATATTAACTATAATGGTGTCATATGTAACAAATAACATATTTCATGAATTCGAATAGAAATTTAAATAATGCACTTATAAGAAATCATAATATACTGGCTAAAAGTCAATCAATTCTACTTGGATGGATGGAGTTCTCTGCAGGCACAGAAATAACCAAGGAACTAAGCACAGAACTAACCAGGGAACAAAAGTAGCAAGCTCAACAGATGAACATTTATTCAATCAAGTGGTGAATTCCAACTACCTATGTGTCCCCAGCATGGATTTAAGTGCTGGGGTTGACCAACACGCACCAAGTCTCTGATGTCATGGAGTTTATACAATCCAAAACCTGTGACAGTTTCCTGGCATACAGTAAACATATGGTCTTCCTCCTTTTCTCCTTGTCTCTCCAGATGTCAAAGGTCAATTGATGTCAATAAACTACAAAGAGCAAACAGCAAGCCATATGTGGCTGAGCATATGATTCATTGCCAATAATATTTCCCAACATCTGAAAGGCTTTTGTCTTTGGTCAATTGCCTTGTCTCTATTGAGTTCATCTTCCAACATTTACTTCTAAAATATGCTGAAGCTATTTTAATGTTGCCTTACTGCAATTATTAAGCTAGTTACAAGTTAATTTGCCTATGTAGGACCTTTAGATTATTAGAGCTTGTAACACAACACAGAGCAGCCAAGATGGTGAGTTTTGTGTTGTGCTGGTAGGCTATCCTCCATAGTCAAATGGCTTTCCCTCACAGCGTAGTTGAGATAGCGGCCTCATCCTAACGCAGCAAGACACAATCTTTCTGTCTCAGCAGGCCACGCCTCTCCTTAGCCATAAACCAGATGCTTTATCGGAACAATCTTGGCAAAGTTGAAATCCACGAAGAGTCTTGGCAGATTCCACAAAGCTCTTTCATTTTCTCTCTCTGACTTAGCATTGGAGACTAGTGTGAACTTTCTTCCAGGCTTAATTCTATTTCCCTAAATCAAAGCACAATTTACACATAGCTATTTTTACTAACCTTTTACACATGCTGTGATTTGTTTCACTGATGAAAAAGAAATCCCTCAATTTCGAAATCTGCTTGTAATATGTATTGCTTGGTTAGAAACTTCTATCTTTATTAGATGTCTCTGCATAATGCATATTGTGTTTGTTCACACCATGCAGAGTTGCCTGCCCAGATCTGAAAGCTGTATGATTTTAAATATCTGAAACTGAAAATCCATGGAATAACTTAACCTTTTGCCTGCTCTGAGAACTTTTACTTAGCATATAATTGATTATTAACTTGAACTTTTACTTAGCATATAATTGATTATTAACTTGAACTTTTACTTAATTGCTGTTTAATTGATTTATCTCACTTATTGGAAGCTGATATATTTATAAAGTTTTTTTGGCAGAGTTATAAGCCGACCTATCACAGCGAATTCTATTACTATTTGAATGGACTTGCATTTTTCCATAGCAAAGTCCACGTAAGTCAAGTTATTAATGTTTTTGGTTACTTTCATTAGCATTTATATTTGCCTTTTAGAATCAGCATACAAATTTGAATCATACATAGAGAGAAAATAGCTAACTCAGTACTTATCCTTGTGATTTTTTTAAATCATCATTATATTTCTCTTTTACTTTAATAAACTTATTTTCAAGTAGAAATTATATTACTGTTATTAGGGCTATTTTTGAAAACATTATTTGTAACTATATTTTGTATTTTTCAAAAGAACTTACATTCTAAGTATTAGTGACAAAGAAAATTACTAACTTTGAAAACTCCAGCTATATTATCATTAAACCACTTTTGAATGAGCAAATAACTTATAATCAATTACAATTTTTCAATATATGGCCCCATCTCAATGTCTCCATTTATACATTCACTCATGCATTTATCCATTCCTCCACTCAATAAACATGTATTTTGCACCTGCCATGTGTCAGGAACTACACTAAGCACTGGACCTGCAGAGATGAATGGGATAGGACCTCTGTCCTCAAAAAATTTATTTCATTGATTTGGGGATGGATCAGGAGTGAACACTGGTATGGGTTATGAGAGAGGTGGCAAAAACATATCAATTTCCTATTTTTTTGAATTGGAGGAAATGTATGAAAACTGCAAACCTTGGATTAGTGAAAAGCAAGTTCCTTTTTCCTTTTACCAAGAAGATTTGGGGAAAGTAGTCTTCCTTCTCTTGCATGAAAAGCCAGAGCAGGAATATTGGGATGAATCCTAGTCAGTACAGACACAGGCTAGCAAGAAAAGCCTCCTGGAAAAAGCAAGGGCACCACAAGGTTAATAAGGCTGTTTTGAGGAAGACAGAAGCAGGTAAAGAGGCTCTCCAGAAACCCAGAACTGTGCAAAGAGGCTGGCACTGTGGATAGGAAATGACAGGAAATCTGACAAAAGGAAACTTATAAATGATGCCTGCAGAAGGGAATCAGCCAACAAAGAACCTAATTTAAGGAAACACAAGTGTTTGAAGGGCACAGTTAACTAAATTTAGATTCTAGCCAACTTTGTGGTTTGGCTCAGTGACTTGTCATTTGGGGTTTTAAAGCCATCAGGATGCAGGTTAAGAAGGACCCAATCACAGCACGAATAACCAGTCATTACAGGGATTCTCAGTGAACAACACAACTGAACAGATCTAAGTGACAACATGGGTATAAGATGCACCTTCCCTGCCCTGGGAAAGGAGGATGGCCTTTAGATAAGGGAACAATGACTGGGATGCCTAAAGCTCATCATGTGCACTCAATAAATCCAAGACTGTGTCACTCTGGTCTAGTGAGAGTTGCTTCAGTACTGTTCTATCAAAGACTTTTCCAATAGAACTATGAAGATCCTATTTTCTTTTTCACCACTTCCTTGGCCACTTAAGCCATCCACATCCATGGGCTCAGGCCCACATAAATTAACAGAGAATATTAAATCCTCGGCTGTGGCAAACTCTGCCAAAGAATCAGGCCCACATGACCATTCTCTGGTTATTGCCAATTTTATGTAACTTGAGTATCTAGCTTTTTTTCAGACTTTAGGCTGCCCTCATCTTAAATCTGTTTGCCACTTGGTCTATGTCTTGATCTTTGGATCACTGGTCTTAAAACAATGAATATTACTTCTGGATGATCCAAGCCTGTGGGTCACATGAAGCTATTTGCTCTTTCAGTGTGTTCAGAGTGGTGCCATGCAAATCCCCACCTGGACCCCAAGGAAGTGTGGTCTGGTCAGGCAAGCATACCTGTCAGAGGGAGTGTGGTCTGTGGACAGAGGACCACAGACAATAGAAGAGAGGGGCCAAAACTGAGTAGGGACCAGATTGGGGGCTTCTGTTTGTGTGACCAAAGCTGTAAGAAGCCACATAACCCCAGAGGAATGTACTGTTTCAAGGAGGTCCCACTAGAAATAAGATGTCCTACCCTAAGACTTGCAGATGGTTTGCTGATGAGATGAAGTCGCCTCTTTATGCAACAACAGGAGACGACCAATTTGATCCCAGAAACGTAATTCGCTAAAATCATTCAGCACATTTTGTGGGTTCAACAAATATAGATGGTATTGTAATAACAGCTGAAAATAGAAGGGTGGTTCTTCCCTTAGAAGCCATGAAAATCAGGGAGTAAGAACTTGCTAATGCATCACCAACACTGAAGCAGGACAGGAGCTCTGGTTAATGTAAGATCCTGATCTACTTTAAAGTATTTTCACATGCTGAGAGATATTTATGAGGCTTCCACAGTATTATTATTTTAACACCTATATACTATGTGCCAGGCTCTGTGCAAAATGCCAAAATGCCTATAATTAAATGAAAAAATTGCTGCAGAATCCCAGCACTTGTAGACACTCAGAGGAGGGCATCTAACTTCCATAAAAATGGTTAGAGATGACTTCCCAGAGGACACTGACCCTTGAAAAATAAGGATTCATCCATCCAGCTAGGCAGCCTTTGATTCATTTGTTCATTACATGTGCACTGAGTATCTCTGCCTGTTCTAGATGCTGCGGATACAATACTGAATGAGACAGTCAAGGTCCTTACTCTTGTGAAATTTACATTCTGGTGGGGTGGAGACATAACCAGGAGAAACAAAATGCTTCCTTAAGACCATCCAATATCCATCTTCTGGCCTCATTTCCTTCCCCACACTGTGTTTTCCTACTGAGAAGAGAAAAAGAGCATGACTGCTCAACCTAGAGCATTTCCATCCTTCCGGTAAGTATAGCTCGCATCATGACACTAAAATGCCAGTTTATTGCTTACCATCACAACATAATAAATTCCAGAAGGGCATAGGTCAGGTAAAATCAAATTTCTCAAAGTGCAGAGCTGAGAATCAGCTTCAAGCAGAAATCAAAGTGAGAATGCAGATGCCTACCCTGACATGAGATATCCTTACCTCACTTTAACAGTGGGGATCTTTTCTGCCAGTGAAACAAGTTTTCTTTCCCAGGAAAAAGTATGTGGAAGAAGAGCAGGAGTTTCTTTGTGAATCCTAGGAAGAACTTCCAACACTCAGCATCTAATAGGAGGAAACAAGAGGCATGCTCCACTTCATCTTTTCCCAGGACCTTGAGCCTTCAGATTTGAGGGTCCCTTCCGTGGTGCCTGCTGCCAGTGTCTCACTGTGATTCACTGTGTAGAGAGCTGCAGGAAGTCTGAGAAAGCCGGGGACCACTGGGGTGACCACTTCCTGAAAAAATGCTCAGCGTCTTCTGTCCAAGAGGAAGTGGAGGAGCCTGAGGCCAGCGCCTCTACTTCTGCATACAGGGGTCCTTCTGCAACGAGGAACACACTATCATGCCCCACAAGGGAAAGTGTCTCTAAGGGAAAACTGAAAAATCTTCCCCACCCAAATATAAGAGAAAATTGCAAGCCGCTGAAACTGGTAGTTTTAAGCCAGACTAGCCTTCAGAGATCTCAGATTAAGTCTGTAGAAACGACGGAATTGCCTAACAGGGGCAAGAGAAAGGCAGTTGGAAGCTTCTGCAAGGCACCGTTGGTACCATTCTGAAAATTCATGTTTCCTGTTTGCCAACACGTCTGCTTTAAATCCCTCAAGCTGTTAATTACTTGCTAGTGTTATATACCAGCTTTTCTTCATATTTATAGCTTTCATTTCTCTTTGAAGTTATTCAAGTAATATATGCTTGTTGTCAAAAATGTAAAATACAGATAAGCGTAAAAAAGAAAATAAAAATTCCCCATAATATCACCACTTGAAAATAACTGTCGTGGGCACTTTGCTGTATATCCTTCCTGTCTTTTTTCCATGGTGAATTGGATATTAGGGTGAGCTTCTCAGCGTCCGTTCCACCCCCACAGCACTGGGGAACATTTAGGCAGTTTTGCTGGTATTTGCTCCATCCTCAGCTCCAGCATAGGTCCAGGTTTGGCTAAATTAAACTGCAAGTATATCCTACTCTTGACACGGTGTTTATTTCAGGAACCAGCGCATAAGCCAGATCTAAGCCAATCAACGTAGGACAGTCCCCAGCCCCAGGAAAGGCACATGATCAACATGGTCCAATCAGAGGGAATCCTAGAACTCTGCCCAGTGGCTGGGGAGGAGACGCTCACTCCTCGGGTTGGAAGAGGTGTTTCTGGAGACTGTTGGTAGCCATGTTTCGATCACTGGAGGAACCCAGCTTTGGGATGAAGCAGATATCCCAGAAAAGATATATGAAAAGAAATTCAGTCCTTAAAGAAATTTCTGAGCTGCCAAATTAAACTAACACCAAAACTTGTCTTAACTTTTGAAGTTTCTGGCTATATGAACCAACACATTTGCTTGTTGAAGCCAATTAAATTGAGTTTTCTATTCCCTGTAACTGAATGCATCCTAAGTGACTCATGTAGATATTTTTATAAAAACACATGGCCCCAGCCGGGCGCAGTGGCTCACACCTACAATTCCAGCAGTTTGGGAGGCCGAGGTGGGCAGATCACAAGGTCAGGAGATTGAGACCATCCTGGCTAACACGGTGAAACCCCGTCTCTACTAAAAATACAAAAAAAATTAGCTGGGCTTTGTGACAGGTGCCAGTAGTCCCAGCTACTTGGGAGGCTGAGGCAGGAGAATGGCCTGAACCTGGGAGGCGGAGCTTGCAGTGAGCCGAGATAGTGCCACTGCACTCCAGCCTGGGCGACAGAGCGAGACTCTGTCTCAAAAAAATAAAAATAAATAAAAATAATTTTAAACAAAGAAAAAAAACATGGTCCCATCTTACACACACACACACACACACACACACAGACTAGCATAAGAGAAGATAAATTATATATTAAAGTGTTAACATCAATTAATTCAGGGATTGGGATTGTAGGAGTGTGGGGAAAATTTATAAACTTTTCTTTTTAACATTGGAACATTGATTTTTTTAACATTTTTAATAACGTTTTTAAAAAAAAAGATTGGAGTAGCCCCAATTCAATAACTCACATTACCCCAGATGGCTAAACACCATATTTTTAAAAATAGCCCCTTTTACTTAAATGTCATAGCCCTAGTCTCTACAGGTGGAAGGAAAGTGTAACTGAGAAAAGGGTATAAAAATTACAAGTGGAATAGTCTCCAATTCTAACAGGACTGGCTGAAATTGGGACTAGATAATTAACAGCAAATATGTGTTTTATTACTGTGGACCAATATTCAATGGCATCTATAATAGGGTTCTCTAGAGGGACAGAACAAATAGGATATATACATATATTTATTTATATATTTATATATAATGTATATGTTTATATATAATATAAATTTATATTTATTTTATATTTATATCATATATTTATTACATTATATAAATATATATAAATCATATGTTTTATTATATATAGTATTTATAGTTATATATTATAAATATTTTTATTTATATTATATATATTTTACATATATATATAAAACCCCCATATATAAAAAACTCTCCTTTATATGTATATATTTATATATATGTTTAAATATATATAAAGAGGAGTTTATTAAGTATTACCTTAATCACAAGGTCCTACAATAGGCTGTCTGCATGCTGAGGAACAAGGAGAGCTAGTCCAAGTCCCAAAACTGAAGAACTTGGAGTCTGATGTTCAAAGGCAGGAGGCATCCAGCATGGGAGAAAGATGTAGGCTGGGAGGCTAGGCCAGTCTCTCCTTTTCACGCTTTTCTGCCTGCTTTATATTCACTGGCAGCTGTTTAGATTGTGCCCACCAGATTAAGGGTGGATCTGCTTTCCCCAGCCCACTGACTCAAATGTTAATCTCTTTTGGCAACACCCTCACAGACACACCCAGGATCAATACTTAGTATCCTTCAATCCAATCAAGTTGACACTCAGTATTAACCATCACAAGTCCACCCTTTGTCAACTTGAACCCATACGCAACTCCTGAGATCAATGACAATAATAAGGTCAGGTCATAATTACATCTAAAATAATACAATTATCCTTTGTACAACCAGAAATGCACCAATCCCCAACCCAAATACTATTACACAAAGTTAACAATACACAAATGCTGATACCAAGTCAATAAATCTTTTGTCACATGGTAAAAAAAGGAAATAAAATAAAGATATTTTCTTAATACAAGTGTATACATGCACAGACGTGTTTTTAACAAAAGAAGGAGGAAATACTCATGACAATTACAGTCCCCACTTCTGCAACTGGTCATGTGGTCATAGCTGGTATTGATGACTACCTTCTTCTACTACCCATTCTGTATTCCCTTTGCCTTCAGCAAGCACCTCAGTGGGTTGTGGTTTTTTTCCTGGTGGAGTGACCCAAACCTTCATTCCTGAGGGGTTTGGGCCAATTGTAGTCCTTCCTGGATTGGGCTGTTGTCGTTTCCCATTGACCTTAATCACAGGGCATAGTAATACTAAGAGATGCCCTAATGGATCTCCTGTATTCCATGCATATTCTTCCTTACCTCTGTTGTGGAGTAGTAGACTGATTTCATCTTGATAGTCCAGGTCAATCACCCCAGCTAACACTGTAACTCCCTTCTTAGCCTGTTGACTTAAAGGTAGGAGGAGCCCAAAGTGTCGAGGTAGCCATCTTAACTTCCACTTTAATGGAATCGTTGTTGTGTCTCCTGCTGGCAGCATTCCTCCCTCTGGAACTAAGACCTCTAGGCCAGCAGAACGTAATGTCACAAGAACAGGAAGAAAAATTTTGCTAGTGGATCACTATGGGTGATGGTGAGTGGTGCCACTTCCACTTCCACCCCTTGATTCCTGGACCCATGAATCCTGGCTACGGGAGAAAGAGTACCATATATTGGACACTGATTCAGAGCATACACGGCCTTCTGGAGAACTTTGCCCCAGCCCTGCAAAGTATTGTCACCTAGTTGGCATTTTAATTGTGACTTCAAAAGGCCATACCACCACTCTATCAACCCAGCTGCTTCAGGATTATGGGGAACATGGTAAGACAGGTGAATTCCATGAGCATGAGCCCACTGCCGCCCTTCTTTAGCCATAAAGTGAGTGCCTTGGTCAGAGGCAATGCAGTGTGGACTACCATGACGGTGGATAAGGCAGTCCGTGAGTCCACGGCTAGTAGTCTTGGCAGAAGCATTGTATGCAGGATAGGCAAACCCATATCCAGAGTAAGTGTCTGTTCCAGTGAGGACAAACCTCTACCCTTTTCATGATGGAAGAGGTCCAATATAATCAACCTGCCACCAGGTAGCTGGCTGTTCTCCCCGAGCAATGGTGCCATATCAAGGGCTCAGTGTTGATCTCTTCTTCTGGCAAATTGGACACTCAGCAGTGGCTGTAGCCAGGTCAGCCTTGGTGAGTGAAAGTCCATGTTGCTGAGCCCAAGCATAACCTCCATCCCTGCCACCATGGCCACTTTGTTCATGGGCCCATTGGGTGATGACAGGGATGGCTGGGTAAAGAGGCTGAGTGGTGTCCACAGAATGGGTCATCCTGTCCACTTGATTATTAAAATCCTCCTCTGCTGAGGTCACCATTGGTGAGCACTCACAAAGCACTCACATGGGATATCTTCACACTTTTGACCACTCCAAGAGGTCCATCCACATACCTCTTCCCTAAATTTCTGTCACCAATTTTCCAATCATGCTTCTTCCAAGTCCCTGACCATCCAGCCAAACCATTGACTACAGCCCACAAATCAGTATATAATCGCACATCTGGCCATTTCTCCTTCCATGCAAAGTGCACAACCAGGTGCACTGTTCAAAGTTCTGCCAACTGGGAAGATTTCCCTTCACCCCTGTCCTTCAGGGATGTCCTAGAAAGGAGCTGTAGTACTGCAGCTGTCCACTTTCGGGTGGTGTCTGCATATCATGCAGAGCCATCTGTGAACCATGCCCTAGTCTTCACTTCCTCTGACCATCATAGGGAATGCTCCATGAGGTCATCAGTGCAGGCTAGGGGAGAAAAGGCATGGTGGCAGGAGTGGAGACCATGGACATTTGAGCCACTTCCTCATGCAACTTACTTATGCCTTCAGGATCTGCTCGAGCCCAATCACATATATACCACTTCCATTTGATGATGAAATGCTGCTGTGCATGACCCACTTTATGGCTAGATGGGTCAGAAAGCACCCAGTTAATGATAGGTAGTTCAGGTCACATGGTGATTTGATGATCCATAGTCAAACAAGTTTCCACCAAAGACCAGTAATAGGCCCAGAGCTGTCTCTCAAAAGGAGAGTAGTTATCTGCAGAAGATGGCAGGGCCTTGCTCCAAAATCCTAGAGGCCTCTGCTCTAGGCCTCACCTATGGAGGCCTACCAAAGGCTCCAGACAGCATCCCTGTCTGCCACTGACACCTCAAGCACCACTGGATTTGCTGGGTCATATGGCCTAAGTGGCAGAGCAGCTTCACAGCAGCCTGGACCTGTTGCAGAGCCTTCTCCTGTTTGTGACCCCACTCCTGGTACCAAAATCTGTATTAGTCAGGGTTCTGTAGAGGGAAAGAAATGATAGGATATATATGAGAGTTTATTAAGTATTAACTTACAAGATAACAAGCTTCCACAATAGGCTGTCTGCAAGCTGAGGAGCAAGGAGAGCCTGTCTGAGTCCCAAAACTGAAGAACTTGGAGTCCGATGTTCAAGGGCAGGAGGCATCCAGCACAGGAGAAAGATGTACACTGGGAGGATATGCCAGTCTCTCCTTTTCATGTTTTTCTACCTGCTTTATATTCCCTGGCAGCTGATTATATTGTGCCCACCAGATGAAGGATGGATCTGCCTCCCCCAGCCCACTGACTCAAATGTTATTCTCCTTTGGCAACACCCTCACAGACACACCCAGGATCAATACTTTGTATCCTTCAATCCAATCAAGTTGACACTCAGTATTAACCATCACAGCATCTATATGTTTCTTTCCAGATGTGCATTTTATCTCTTTTTAAAAGGTTACTAGAAAGTTGCTGCAGAAGTATCTACTGGGTTCTAAGATATAACACATAATTTGTATCTCAATGTAGTGTTTTTCCCATAAAAGGAAAAAATCTTTAAAACAATTTCAATACATATGTAACAAAAAATTCTTATATTTTAAAAGTTCTTACAAATTTTAAGTATTTATTGACCTGTACCTATGAACATGCAAATAAGTTATATATATAGTTAACTTAAGTTATATATATAGTTATATATATATAACTTAATAACTATATATATAGCTTAATAAGTTGTATATAAGTTATATATAGTTATATATAACTTATTAAGTTATATAATAGTTATATATAACTTATTAAGTTATATAATAGTTATATATAACTTATTAAGTTATATAATAGTTATATATAACTTATTAAGTTATATATAGTTATATATAACTTAATAAGTTATATAATAGTTATATATAACTTATTAAGTTATATAATAGTTATATATAACTTATTAAGTTATATATAATAGTTATATATAACTTATTAAGTTATATAATAGTTATATATCTTATTAAGTTATATAATAGTTATATATAGTTATATACATAGTTATTATATAACTTAATAAGTTCTATATGTGTTATATATATAACTTATTAAGTTATATATATATATATGTACAGAGAGCTGTGCAAGCTGCTCTGCCACTTAGGCCATATGACCCAGCAAATCCAGTGGTGCTTGAGGTGTCAGTGGCAGACAGGGATGCTGTTTGGAGCCTTTGGTAGGCCCACATAGGTGAGGCCTAAAGTGGAGGCCTCTAGGATTTTGGAGCAAGGCCCTGCCATCTTCTGCAGATAACTACTCTCCTTTTGAGAGACAGCTCCAGGCCTATTACTGGGCTTTGGTGGAAATATATATATATAGTTATATATATAACATCAAATATATATATATATATATATATATTTTTTTTTTTTTTTTTTGAGATGGAGTCTCACTCTGTTGCCAGGATGGAGTGCAGTGGCTCAATCTGGGCTCATTGCAACCTCCACCTCCCTGGTTCAAGCAATTCTCCTGCCTTAGCCTCCCAAGTAGCTGGGACTACAGGGGGGCACCACCATGCCCAGCTAATTTTTGTATTTTTAGTAGAGATGGGGTTTCACCATATTGGCCGCCATGGTCTCGATCTCTTGACCTCGTGATCCACCTGCCTCAGCCTCCCAAAGTGCTGGAATTACAGGTGTGAGCCACCATCCCCGGCTGCAAGTAAGTTATATTTTTGAAATATATGTACGAGGTCACTTCCAAGATGGCCGAATAGGAACAGCTCCAGTCTGCAGCTCCCAGCAAGAATGACACAGAAGACAAATGATTTCTGCATTTCCAACTGAGGTACCTGGTTCATCTCATTGGGACTGGGTGGACAGTGGGTGCAGCCCATGGAGAGTGAGCTGAAGTGGGACGGGGCATCACCTCACTCAGGAAGTGCAAAGGGTTGGGGGTTTTCCCTTTCATAGCCAAGGGAAGCCATGACAGACTGTACCTGGAGAACTGGTACACTCCTGACCAAATAATGTGCTTCTCCCATGGTCTTAGCAACTGGCAGACCAGGAGATACCCTCCTGTGCCTGGCTCGGTGGGTCCCAGGCCCACAGAGCCTTGCTCACTGCTAGTGCAGCAGTCTGAGATCAACCTGCGATGCTGCAGCTTGATGGGGTGAGGGGCATCCGCCATTGCTGAGGCTTGAGTATCTCACAGTGTAAACAAAGTGTCTGGGAAGCTTGAACTGGGCAGAGCCAACCATAGCTCAGCAAGGACTACTGCCACTCTAGATTCCACCTCGGAGGGCAGGGCATAGCAAAACAAAAGGCAGCAGACAGCTTCTGCAGACTTAAATGTCCCTGTCTGACAGCTCTGAAGAGAGCACTGGTTGTTTCAGCACAGCGTTCAAGCTCTGAGAACGGACAGACTGCCTCCTCAAGTGGGTCCCTGAACCCCATGTAGCCTGACTGGGAGATACCTCCCAGTAGGGGCCAACAGACACTTCAAACAGGAGGGTGCCTGTCTGGGACAAAGCTTCCAGAGGAAGGATCAGGCAGCAATATTTGCTGTTCTTCAGCCTCCGCTGGTGATACCCAGTCAAACAGGGTCTGGAATGGACTTCCAGCAAACTCCAACAGACTTGCAGCTGAGGGTCCTGACTGTTAGAAGGAAAACTAACAAACAGAAAGGAATAGCATCAACATCAACAAAAGGGACATCCACAGCAACACCCCATCTGTGGGTCACCATCATCAAAGACCAAAGGTAGATAAAACCACAAAGATGGGGAGAGACCAGAGCAGAAAAGCTGAAAATTCCAAAAACCACAGCACTTCTTCTCCTCCAAAGGATCGCAGCTCCTCGCCAGCAAGGGAACAAAACTGGAAGGAGAATGAGTTTGACGAGTTGACAGAAGTAGGCTTCAGAAGGTCGGTAACAACAAACTTCTCCGAGCTAAAGGAGCACATTTTAACCCATCGCAAAAAAGCTAAAAACATTGAAAAAAGGTTAGACGAATGGCTAACTAGAATAAACAGTGTAGAGAAGACCTTAAATGACCCGATGGAGCTGAAAAACACAGCACAAGAACTTTGCAATGCATGCAGAAGCTTCAATAGCCGATTTGATCAAGCATAAGAAAGAATATCAGTGATTGAAGATCAAATTAATGAAACAAAGTGAGAAGACAAGATTAGAGAAAAAAGAGTGAAAATAAATGAACAAAGCCTCCAAGAAATATGGGGCTATGTGAAAAGACCAAATATATGTTTGACTGGTGTACCAGAAAGTGACAGCGAGAATGGAACCAAGTTAGAAAACACACTTCAGGATATTATCCAGGAGAACTTCCCTAACCTAGAAAAGCAGGCCAACATTCAAATTCAGGAAATACAGAGAACACCACAAAGATACTCCTCAATAAGAGCAACCCCAAGACACATAATTGTCAGATTCACCAAGGTTGAAATGAAGGAAAAAATGTTAAGGGCAGCCAGGGAGAAACGTTGGGTTACCCACAAAGGGAAGCCCATCAGACTAACAGCGGATCTTTCAGCAGAAACCCTACAAGCCAGAAGAGAGTAGCGGCCAATATTCAACATTCTTAAAGAAAATAATTTTCAACCCAGAATCTCATACCCAGCCAAAATAAGCTTCATAAGTGAAGGAGAAATAAAATCCTTTACAGACAAGCAAATGCTGAGAGACTTTGTCACCACCAGGCCTGCCTTACAAGAGCTCCTGAAGGAAGCACTAAACATGGACAGGAACAATCAGTACCAGTCACTGCAAAAACATGCCAAATTGTAGAGACCATGGACACTATGAAGAAACTGCATCAATTAACAGGCAAAATAACCAGCTAATATCATAATGACAAGATCAAATTCAAACACAACAATATTAACCTTAAATGTAAATGGGCTAAATACCCCAATTAAAAGACACCCACTGGCAAATTGGATAAAGAGTCAAGACCCATCAGTGTGCTGTATTCAGGAGACCCATTTCACGTGCAGAGATGCACATAGGCTCAAAATAAAGGGATGGAGGAAGATCTACCAAGCAAATGGAAAGCAAAAAAAAAAAAAAAAAAAAAAAAAAGCAGGGGTTGCAATCCTAGTCTGTGATAAAACAGACTTTAAACCAACAAAGATCAAAAGAGACAAAGAAGGCCACTACATAATGGTAAAGGGATCAATTCAACAAGAGCTAACTATACTAAATATATATGCACCCAATAGAGGAGCACCCAGATTCATAAAGCAAGTCTTAGAGACCTACAAACAGACTTAGACTCCCACACAATAATAATGGGAGAATTTAACACCCCACTGTCAATATTAGATCAACAAGACAGAAGGTTGACAAGGATATCCAGGACTTGAACTCAGCTCTGGACCAAGCAGACCTAATACACATCTACAGAACCCTACACCCCACATCAACAGAATATACATTCTTCTCAGCACCACATCACACTTATTCTAAAATTGACCACATAATTGGAAGTAAAACACTCCTCAGCAAATGTAAAAGAACAGAAATCACAACAAACTGTCTCTCAGACCACAGTGCAATCAAATTAGAGCTCAGGATTAAGAAACTCACTCAAAACCACACAACTACATGGAAACTGAACAACCTGCTCCTGAATGACTACTGGGTAAATAACGAAATGAAGGCAGAAATAAACATGTTCTTTGAAACAAATGAGAACAAAGACACAACGTACCAGAATCTCTGGGACATGTTTAAAGCAGTGTGTAGAGGGAAATTTATAGCACTAAATGCCCACAAGAGAAAGCAGGAAAGATCTAAAATTGACACCCTAACATCACAATTAAAAGAACTAGAGAAGCAAGAGCAAACAAATTCAAAAGCTAGCAGGAGTCAAGAAATAACTAAGATCAGAACAGAACTGAAGGAGATAGAGACACAAAAAACCCTTCAAAATATAAATGAATCCAGGAGCCGGTTTTTTGAAAAGATCAACAAAATTGATAGACTGCTAGCAAGACTAATAAAGAAGAAAAGAGAGAAGAATCAAATAGACGCAATAAAAAATGATAAAGGGGATATCACCACCGATCCCACAGAAATACAAACTACCATCAGAGAATACTATAAACACCTCTACGCAAAGAAACTAGAAAATCTAGAAGAAATGCATAAATTCCTGGACAAATACACCCTCCCAAGACTAAACCAGGAAAAAGTTGAATCTCTGAATAGACCAATAACAACTGAGGCAATAATTAATTATTGAAATTAATTGAAATTGAGGCAATAATTAATAGCCTACCAATCAAAAAAAGTCCAGGACCAGATGGATTCACAGCCGAATTCTACCAGAGGTACAAAGAGGAGCTGGTATCATTCCTTCTGAAACTATTCCAATCAATAGAAAAAGAGGGAATCCTCCCTAACTCATTTTATGAGGCCAGCATCATCCTGGTAACAAAGCCTGGCAGAGAAACAACAACAAAAAAAGATAATTTTAGGCCAATATCCCTGATGAATATCAATGCAAAAATCTTCAATAAAATACTGGCAAACTGAATCCAGCAGCACATCAAAATCTTATCCACCATGATCAAGTCGGTTTCATCCCCGGGATGCAAGGCTGGTTCAACATATGCAAATCAATAAACGTAATCCATCACATAAATAGAACCAATGACAAAAACCACGTGTTTATCTCAATAGATGCAGAAAAGGTCTTCGACAAAATTTAACCACCCTTCATGCTAAAAACTCTCAATAAACTAGGTGTTGATGGGACATATCTCAAAATAATAAGAGCTATTTATGACAAACCCACAGCCAATACCATACTGAATAGGCAAACACTGGAAGCATTCCTTTTGAAAACTGGCACAAGACAAGGATGCCATCTGTCACCACTCCTATTCAACATAGTGTTGGAAGTTCTGCTAGGGCAATCAGGCAAGAGAAAGAAATAAAGGGTATTCAATTAGGAAAAGAGGAAGTCAAATTGTCCCTGTTTGCAGATGACATGATTGTATATTTAGAAAACCCCATTGTCTCAGCCCAAAATCTCCTTAAACTGATAAGCAACTTCAGCAAAGTCTCAGGATACAAAATCAATGTGCAAAAATCACAAGCATTCCTATACACCAATAATAGACAGAGAGCCAAATCATGAATGAGCTCCCATTCACAATTACTACAAAGAGAGTAAAATACCTAGGAATCCAACTTACAAGGGATGTGAAGGACCTCTTCAAGGAGAACTACGAACCACTGCTCAACAAAATAAAAGAGGACACAAACAAATGGAAGAACATTCCCTGCTCATGGATAGGAAGAATCAATATCATGAAAATGGCCATACTGCCCAAGGTGATTTATAGATTCAATACTATCCCCATCAAGCTACCACTGACTTTCTTCACAGAATTGGAAAAATCTACTTTAAAGTTCATATAGAACCAAAAAAGAGCCTGCATAGCCAAGACAATCCTAAGCAAACAGAACAAAGCTGGAGGCATCATGTTACCTGACTTCAAACTATACTACAAGGCTACAGTAACCGAAACAGCATGGTACTGGTACCAAAACAAGATATATAGACCAATGGAACAGAACAGAGGCCTCAGAAATAGCACCACACATCTACCCTAACCATCTGATCTTTGACAAACGTGACAAAAACAAGAAATGGGGAAAGGATTTCCTATTTAATAAATGGTGCTGGGAAAACTGGCTAGCCATATGCAGAAAGCTGAAACTGGATCCCTTCCTTACACTTTATACAAAAATTAACTCAAGATGGATTAAAGACTTAAATATAAGACCTAACACCATAAAAACCCTAGAAGAAAACCTAGGCAATACCATTCAGGACATAGGCATGGGCAATGACTTCATGACTAAAACACCAAAAGCAATGGCAACAAAAGCCAAAATAAACAAATGGGATCTAATTAAACTAAAGAGCTTCTGCACAGCAAAAGAAACTATCATCAGAGTGAACAGGCAACCTACAGAATCTGAGAAAATTTTTATAATCTATCCATCTGACAAAGGGCTAATTTCCAGAATCTACAAAGAACTTAAACAAATTTACAGGAAAAAAACAAACAACCCCTTCAAAAGCGGGCAAAAGATATGAACAGACACTTCTCAAAAGAAGACATTTATGCAGCCAACAGACATGTGAAAAAAAGCTCATCATCACTGGTCATTAGAGAAATGCAAATCAAAACCGCAATTTGATACCATCTCATGCCAGTTAGAATGGCAATCATTAAAAAGTCAGGAAACAACAGATGCTGGAGAGGATGTGGAGAAATAGGAATGCTTTTACACTGTTGTTGGGAATGTAAATTAGTTCAACCATTGTGGAAGACAGTGTGGCAATTCCTCAAGGATCTAGAACTAGAAATACCATTTGACCCAGTGACCCCATTACTGGGTATATAGCCAAAGGACGATAAATCATTCTACTATAAAGACACATGCACACATATGTTTATTGCAGCACTATTCACAACAGCAAAGACTTGGAACCAACCCAAATGTCCATCAATGATAGACTGGATTAAGAAGATGTGGCACATATATACCATGGAACACTCTGCAGCCATAAGAAAGAGTGAGTTCATGTCCTTTGCAGGAACATGGATGAAGCTGGAAACCATCATTCTAAGCAAACTTTTACAAGGACACAAAACCAAACACCACATGTTCTCACTCATAGGTGGGAGTTGAACAAAGAGAATACACGGACACAGGGTGGGGAACATCACACAACGGGGCCTGTCAGGGAGTGGAGGGTAAGGGGAGAGATAGCATTAGGAGAAATACCTGATGTAAATGACGAGTTGATGGGTGCAGCAAACCAACATGGCACATGTATACCTATGTAACAAACCTGCAAGTTGTGCACATGTATCTTAGAACTTAAAATATAATATATATATATATATATACACACATACACACATATATATGTACACACACACATACACATACACATATACACACACATATACACACACACATATATATATGTACACCGGCATACCTCAGAGACATTACAGGCTTCATCCAAACCACCCAGCAATAAAGCAAATATCATAATAAAGTGAGTCACACTAATTGTATGGTTCCCCAGTTAATAAAAAAAGGTATGTTTATACTTTGCTGTAATCTATTAAGAGTGCAATAGCATTATGTCTTTTAAAATGTTCACACCTTAATTTTAAAATACTTTGCTAAAAAATGCTAATGATAATCTGAGCCTTCAGTGAGTCATAACCTTTTTTGCTGAAGGAGGTTCTTGCCTTGATGTTGATGGCTGCTGACTGATCAAGATGGCGGCTGCTGAAGGTTGGAATGGCTGTAGCAATTTCCTAAAATAAGACAATATAGTTTGCCACATTGATTCACTTCTCCTTTCACGAAATATTTATCGGTAACATGCAATGACATTTGATAGCATTTTATCCACAATAAAACTTCTTTCAAAATTTGAGTCAATTGTCTCAAACCTTGCAGGTTTGTGTAATATAGTTTATGTGACATTCTACGTTCTTTTTTTTCTTTGAGAGTCTTTTTTTTTTTAATTTGTACAAATGTATGGGGTACACGAGAAATTTTGTTACATGTAAACAATGCATAGTTATCAAGTCAGGATATTTAAGGTGTCCATTACCTGAGTACAATGAATTTTCATTAGCTATAGTCATCCTACTCTGCTATCAAACACTGAATTTATTTCTTCTGTCTTACTGCGTTTATTTGTACCCTTTAACCCACTTCTCTTCATCCTGCCCATCCTCCCCACTCACCCTTCCCAATCTCTGTTATCTATTTTTCCACTCTTTACCTCCATGTGTTCAGTTTTTTTAGCTCCCACAAATGAGTGAGAACTTCTTTGTTGTCATTTAAATAGTGTTCACAGCATCTTTTCCAGGAGTAGATTCCAGCTTAAGAAACCATATTCTTTGCTTACTTACCTGTAAGTGGCTTATCTGCAACTCCTCATCCATTCAAGCTTTATCATAGGATTGCAGCAATTCCATCACATCTTCAGGCTCCATTTCTAATTCTCCTTCTCTCAATACTTGCACCACATCTGCAGTTACTTTCTCCACTGAAGTCCTGAACCCCTCAGAGTCATCCATGAGGGTTGGAATCAACTTCTTCCAAACCCTATTAATTTTGATATTTTGACCTCCTCCCATAAATCACGAATGTTCTTAATGGCAACTAGAATGGTAAATCCTTTCCAAAACATTTTCCATTTATTTTGTCCAGATCCATCAGAGGACTCACTATGTATGGCACCTATAGCCTTACTAAATGTAATTCTTAAATCACAAAACTTGAAAGTCAAAATACTCCTCGATTCATAGAAAATCAAGTAAAAGTCAAGTAAATGGAAAATCTTTTCAACAAATAGTGAGGCAACAATTGTATTATACATATATAGTCATATATATGTATGTACTCCATACTATTATTGGTTCCATTGACTATGACTATATATCCCATATATATATATGTATATGTGTGTGTGTATGTGTGTGTGTATATATATATGCTCAAAAGTGTGTGTGTATATATATATATATATATATATATATATATATATATATATATATTCAAAAAGAATGAACCTTGAGGGAGTAGAGCAAGCAAGATAACAGAATAGAAGCCTACACCATTTGCCAGCCCCAAGGAACATCTAAATTTAACAAATACCTGCACATAGAATAACACCGTCACAAGAACCAAAAATTGGGTGAGCACTCACAGTACTTGGCTGTAACTTCATACTGCAGAAAGAGACATTGGAAAGAATAGAAGAAACAGGGTTTTTTGTTTGTTTGTTTTGGAAACCAAGTCTCACTCTGTCACCCAGGCTGGAGGTGCAGTGAGTCGCACAGTCTTGGCTCACTGCAACCTCTGCCTCCCTGGTTCAAGGGATCCTCGTGTCTCAGCCCCCTGAGTAGCTGGGATTACAGGCATGTGCCACCACACCCGTGTAATTTTTGTATTTTTAGTAGAGACAAGGTTTCACCATGTTGGCCAGGCTAGTCTCTAACTCATGGCCTCAAGTGATGAGCTCACCTCAGCCTTCCAAAGTGCTGGGATTACAGGCATGGGCCATTGTGCCCAGCCTGGAGAGACAGTCTTGAATTCCCAACGCCATCCCTCACCCATCCCCATAGCGATCTGTGCACTTTAGGGAGGGAGGGTGGGGCAACTGGGGGACTTTACAATGAACTCAGTGTTGCCCTGTCACAGCAGAGAACAAAGCCATGCTGGGTTCAGGCAGTGTCTGTGCACAGAGGGGGCATTTGGACCAGACCTAGTCAGAGGGGAATCACCCATCCCAGCAGTCAGCAACTGAGTCTCTCAGCAAGCCTCGCCACTGTAAGCCAAAGTCCTCTGGGGTCCTAGGTAAACTTGAAAGGCAGCCTAGAACACAAGGTCTGCAATTCCTAGGTAACTTCCAGTGTCGGGCTGGGCTCAGAGCCATAGGACTAAGGTGGCAGGTGACCTAGGAAGACACTAGCCAGGGTAGCTACAGGAGTACTTGCACCTCCCCTTTCCCAGCCACAGGCAGTGTAGCTCACAGCAACAAAAGTCTTTCACTGTGAAGAGTAACAGTGACTTTGTCTTGCATTTCGGGTACCAGCTCAGCCACAATATGATAGGGCACTGTGCAGAGTCATGAATTCCCCATTCCAGGCCCTAGCTCTCAGACATTTCTAAACACACATCGGGCCAAAAGGGAGCCCACTATCTTGAAGAGAAGGACCCAGTCCTGGTAAGATTCATTACCTGCTGAATAAAGAACCCTTGGGCACTGGATAATCACCAGTAACACTGTGGGCCTTGGCCTCTGAGACGTGCTGACTACAAGTGTGACCCAGCACATTCCCAGCTGTGGTGACTACAGCAAAAATTTCCTCCTGTTTGAGAAAAGCAGGGGGAAAAGTAAAGGGGAGTTTGTCTTGCACCTTAGGTACCAGCTTGGCCACAGTGGGGTCAAGCAACAAGAAGGCTCTTGGGGTCTCTGAGTCCAGGCCTAGGCTCTTGGACAGCATTTCTGGACCTGCCCTGAGCCAAAGGGGAGCCCACTGCCCTGAGGGGTGAGTCCCAGGCCTGGCAGCACTCACCACAAGCTGACTCAAGAGCCCCTGTTCTTTAAGTGAACATCGGTGGTGGCCTGGAAAAACCTCCCATAGGCCAGTGGTGGTGGTGGCCACAGAGAGAGGCTCCTTTGCCTGTGGAAAGGGAAGGAAAGAGTGAGAAGGACTTTGTATTGTGGTTTGAGTGCCAGCTTAGTTGCAGTAAAATAGAATATTAGCAAATTTCTAAGGTTTTTGACTCTAATCCCTGGCTCCCAGACAATATCTCTGGACCTGCCTAGGGCCTGGGGGAACTCACTGCCCTGAAGGGAAGGACATAAATCTGGCTGGCTTTGCCACCTGCTGATCATAGAGCCCTATGGCCTTGCATGAACATAGGTGGTAGCCAGGTAGTGGTTCTAGCAGGCCTTGGGCAAGACCCAGTGCTGGGCTGGCTTCAGGCTTGACCCAGCACAGTTGCAGTGGTGGTGGCCACAAGAGTGCCTATATCACCACATCCCCAGTTCCAGGCTGCTCAGCAAAGAGGGAGAGAGACTCTCTTTCTTCTCTGAATTATCCAAGACCACCAAGGTGGTACCTCAATGAGTCTGTAAAAACTACAGCAATATTGGGCTTTGGGTCCAAGTCCCTTCAAATATCTGAAAAGCTTCCTTAAGAAGGATGGGCCCAAACAAGCCCAGACTGCAAAAGCTACAATAAGTATCTAAATCTTCAATGCCTGGATACCAAAGAACATCTGACAGCATCAACACCATCCAGGAAAACATGACCTCACCAAATGAACTAAACAGAGCACCAGGGACCAATCCTGGAGTAACAAAAGATATGAGACCTTTCAGACAGAGAATTTAAAATAGTTGTTTAGAGAAAACTGAAAAAAAAAAATTGAAGATAACAAAGAGAAGGGATTCAGAATTCCATCAGATAAATTTAACAAAGAGATTAAAATAATTAAAAAGAATCAAGCAGAAATTCTGGAGTTGAAAAATGCGATTGGCATACAGAAGAATGCATCAGAGACTTTTATAGCAGAGGTGATCAAGCAGAAGAATTACTGAGCTTGAAGACAGACTATTGGAAAATACACAGTCAGAGGAGACAAAAGAAAAAAGAATAAAGCACCCTAAAAGATCTAGGAAATAGCCTCAAAATGGCAAATCTAAGAGTTTTTTGCCTGCCAAGCACAGTGGCTCACGCCTGTAATCCCAGCACTTTAAGAGGCCGAAGCAGGTGGATCACTTGAGGTCATGAGTTTAAGACCAGCCTGGCCAATGTGGTGAAACCCCATCTCTACTAAAAATACAAAAATTAGCCAGGTGTTGTGGCGCACACCTATAATCCCAGCTACTCGGGAGGCTGAGGCAGGAGAATAGCTTGAACCTGAGAGGCAGAGGTTGCAATGAGCTGAGATTGTGCCACTCCATACCAGCTTGGGTGACAGAGCAAGACTCCACCTCAAAAAGAAAAAAAAAAAGAGTTTTTGGCCTTAAAAGAGGAGGAAGAAAGGGATAGGAAGTTTATTCAAAAGGATATCAGAGAATTTCCCAAACCTAGAGAAAGAAATCAAAATTCAAGTACAACAAAGTTATACAACAGCAAGCTGATGTAACTCAAAGATTACCTCAAGGCATTCAATAATGAAACTCTCAAAGGTCAAGGATAAAGGAAGGATTCTAAAAGCAGCAAGAGAAAAGAAACAAATAACATGTAATGGAGTTCCAATACATCTGGCAGCAGACTTTTCAATGGAAACCTTACAGGCCAGAAGAGAGTGACATGACATACTCAAAGTGCTGAAGGGAAAAAAAAACTTTTATCTTAGAATATTATATCTGATGAAAATATCCTTCAAGCATGAAGGAGAAATAAAGACCTTCCCAGACAAACAAAAGCTGAGGAATTTCATCACCACCAAACCTGTCCTACAAGAAAGGCTAAAGGAAGTTCTTCAATCAGAAAAGGATGTTAATGAGCGAAAAGAAATCATCTGAAGGAACAAAACTCACTGGTAATAGTAAGGACATAGAAAAACACAGACTATTATAACATTGTAGTTGTGGTGTGTAAACTACTCTTATCTTAAGTAGAAAGACTAAATGATGACCCAATCAAGAATAATAATTACAGTAACTTTTCAAGACATAGACAGTAAAATAAGACATAAAGAGAAACAACAAAAAGTTAAAAAGCAGGAAAATGAAATTAAATTGTAGAGTTTGTATTAGTTTTCTTTTTGTGTGTTTGTTTGGTTGGTTTTTTTATGTAATCAGTGTTAAGTTGCCATCTGTTTAAAATAGTGGGTTATAAAATAGTATTTGCAAGCCTCATGGTAACTTTAAAAGAAAAAGTATACAAACAGTGGATGCGCAAAAAACAAAAAGCAAGAAACTAAATCATACTACCAGAGAAAATCACCTTCACTAAAAAGAAGACATGAAGGAAGGAAAGAAGAAAAAGGAGACCACAAAACAATCAGAAAACAAATCACAAAATGGCAGGAGTAAGCCCCTAGTTGTCAATAATAACATTGAATGTAAATGGACTAAACTCTCTAATCAAAAGACATAAGTGGGTGGATGGATTTAAAAAACAAGACCCATTGATCTGTTGCCTACAAGAAACACATTTCACCTATAAAGATACACATAGACTGAAAATAAAGGTATGTAAAAAGATATTCCATGCCAATGGAAACCAAAAAAGAGCAGGGGCAGCTATATCTATATCAGACAAAATAGATTTCAAGACAAAAACTGTAAGAAGAGACAAAAAAAGGTCATTTGTAATGATAAAGGGGTCAGTCTAGCTACAGGATATAACAATTGTAAATATATGCACCCAACACTGAGGCACTCAGACATATAAAGCAAATATTTACATATTGCTTTATATAAAGCAAATATTTACATATTGCTTTATATAAAGCAAATATTTACATATTGCTTTATATAAAGCAAATATTTACATATTGCTTTATATAAAGCAAATATATGAACAGAACTCTGTATGCTCTCTTTAGCATATAGAGCTAAAGAGAGAGACAGATCTTAATATAATAATAGCTGGAGACTTCAACACCCCACTTTCAGCTTTGGACAGATCTTTCACACAGAAACTCAACAAAGAAACATTGGATGTCATCTGCACTGTAGACCAAATGGACCTAATAGATATTTACAGAACATTTTATCCAACAGCTGCAGAATACACATTCTTCTCTTTAGTACATGGATCATTCTCAAGGATAGAACAGATGTTAGGGCACAAAACAAGTCTTAAAACATTCAAAAAATGGGAATAATATCAAGTATCTTATCTTGATACAGAATTTCTCATAAAACGAGAAGTGAACAACAACAGGAATTTTTGAAACTATATAAACACATGGAAAGTAAGCAATATGTTCCTGAATGACCAGTGAGTCAATGAAATTAACAAGAAAATTGAAAAATTTTCTAAATGAAGGACAATGGCAGCACAACATACCAAAACCTATGGGCTACAATGAAAGCAGTACTAAGAGGGAAATGTATAGCTATAAGCGCCTATGTGACACTTAATATTGAGTGTCAACTTGACTGGATTGAAGGATGCAAAGTATTGTTCCTAGGTGTGTCTGTGAAGATGTTGCCAAAGGAGATTAACATTTGAGTCAGTGGACTAGGAGAGGCAGACCCACCCTCAATCTGGGTGGTCACCGTGTAATCAGCTGCCAGAGTGGCTAGAATAAACCAGGCAGAAGAGTGTGGAAAAGACTTGACTTGCTGAGTCTTCAAGCCTTCATCTTTTCCCCATGCTGGATGCTTCCTGTCCTCAAATATCAGACTCCAAGTTCTTCGGCTTTTGGACTCTTGGACTAACATCAGTGGTTTGCCAGGGTCTCTCAGGCCTTTGGCCACAGACTGAAGGCTGAACTGTTGGCTTCCCTACTTTTGAGGTTTTGGGACTTGGACGGGCTTCCCTGCTCCTCAGCTTGTAGATGGCCTATTATGGGACTTCATCTGTGATCATGTGAGTCAGTACTCCTAATAATACTCCTTTCACCTTCATGGGGAAAGGATTCCTTATTTAATAAATGGTGTTGGGGAAACTGGCTAGCCATATGCAGAAAACTGAAACTGGACCCCTTCCTTACACCTCATCCAAAAATTAACTCAAGATGGATTAAAGACTTAAATGTAAGACCTAAAACCATAAAAACCCTAGAAGAAAATCTAGGCAATACTATTCAGGACATAGGCATGGGCAAAGACTTCATGACTAAAACACCAAAAGCAATGGCAACAAAAGCCAAAATAGACAAATGGGATCTAATTAAACTAAAAAGCTTCTGCACAGCAAAAGAAACTATCATCAGAGTGAACAGGCAACCTAGAGAAAGGGGGGAAATTTTTGCAATCTATCCATCTGACAAACGGTTAATATCCAAAATCTACAAGGAACTTAAACAAATTTACAAGAAAAAAACAAACAACCCCATCAAAAAGTGGGTGAAGGATATGAACAGACACTTCTCAAAAGAAGACATTTATGCAGCCAACAAGCATATGAAAAAAAGCTCATCATCACTGGTCATTAGAGAAATGCAAATCAAAACCACAATGAGATATCATCTCACGCCAGTTAGAAGGGTGATCATTAAAAAGTCAGGGAACAATAGATGCTGGAGAGGATGTGGAGAAATAGGAACACTTTTACACTGTTGTTGGGAGTGTAAATTAGTTCAACCATTGTGGAAGACAGTGTGGCAATTTCTCAAGGATCTAGAACCAGAAATACCATTTGATCCAGCAGTCCCATTATTAGGTACATAGCCAAAGGATTATAAATCATTCTACTATAAAGACACATGCACATGTATGTTTATTGAAGCACTATTCACAATAGCAAAGACTTGGTACCAACCCAAATGTCCATCAATGATATACTGGATAAAGAAAATGTGGCACATATACACCATGGAATACTATGCAGCCACAAAAAAGAGTGAGTTCATGTCCTCTGCAGGGACATGGATGCAGCTGGAAGCCATCATTCTCAGCAAACTAACACAGGAATAGAAAACTGAACATCACATGTTCTCACTCATAAGTGGGAGTTGAACAATGAAAACACATGGACACAGGGAGGGGACCATCACACACCAGGGCCTGTCAGGGGGTGGAGGGTAAGGGGAGAGATAACATTAGGAGAAATACCTAATGTAGATGACGGGTTGATGGGTACAGCAAACCACCATGGCACCTGTATACCTAGGTAACAAACCTGCATGTTCTGCACGTGTATCCCAGAACTTAAAGTATAATAATAAAAAAAATCAACTTAGGCTCCTCAGAAATGAGGTGTTAAGTAGAGAATTTAAAAAAAAAAAAGAACAAAATTAGAGGAATCACATTACCTGACTTCAAATTATGCTACAGAGCTATAGTAACCAGAACAGCATGATACTGTCATAAAAATAGACACATAGACAAATGGAACAGAATAGAGAACCCAGAAACAAATCCACATGCCTATAGTGAACTCATTTTTGACAAAGGCACCAAGAACATACACTGGAGAAAAAACAGTCTCTTCAATAAATGGTGCTGGGAAAAATGGATATCCATATGCAGAAGAATAAAACTAGACCCCTACCTCTCACCATATACAAAAACCAAATCAAAATGGATTAAGAACTTAAATCTAAGACCTCAAACTACAAAATTACTGCAAGAAAACTTTGGGAAAAATCTCTAGGATATTGGCCTTGGAAAAATTTTTTGAACAATACCTCACAAGCACAGGCAACCAAAGCAAAAACAGACAGATGGGTTCACATCAAGTTTAAAAACTTCTGCAAAGCAAATAAAACAATCAACAAAGTGAAAAGACAGCCCACAAAACGAGGGAAAATATTTGCAAAGTGAAAAGACAAACCTACAAAATGGGAGAAAATATCTGGATAAATAACCAGAATATATAAAGAACTCAAACAACTCTATTGGAAAAAATCTAATAACCTGATTCGAAAATGGGTGAAATATTTGAATAGACATTTCTCAAAAGAAGACATACACATGACAATCAGTGCTCAACATCACTGATCATCAGAGAAAAGCAAATCAAAACTACAATGAGAATCATCTCACCCCAATTAAAATGGCTTATATCCTGGTATCAAAACAGACACATAGACCAATGAAACAAAATAGAGATCTCAGAAATAACCATCTGATCTTCAACAAACCTGACAAAAACAAGCAATGGCAAAAGGTCCTCCATTTAATAAATGGTGCTGGGAAAACTGGCTAGCCATATGCAAAAAACTGAAACTGGACCCCTTCCTTACACCTTATACAAAAATTAACTCAAGATGGACTAAAGACTTAAATGTAAAACCCAAAACCATAAAAACCCAAGAAAAAAATCTAGGCATTACTACTCAGTGAATAGGCATGGGCAAAGATTTTATGATGAAATCACCAAAAGCAATTGCAACAAAAGCTAAAATTGACAAATAGGATCTAATTAAACTAAAGAGCTTCTACACAGCGAAAGAAACTATCATCAGAGCAAACAGACAACCTACAGAATGGGAGAACATTTTTACAATCTACCCATCTGACAATGGTCTAATATCCAGAATGTACAAGGAACTTAAAAAAATTTACAAGAAAAAAACAAGCCCATCAAAAAATGGGCAAAGGACATGAACAGACACTTCTCAAAAGAAAACATTCATGTGGCCAACAAACATGAAGAAAAACTGGACATCACTGATCATTAGAGTAATGCAAATAAAAACCACAATGAGATGCCATCTCATGCCAGTCAGAATGGCGATTATTAAAAAGTCAAGAAACAACAGATACTGACAATGCTGTGGAGAAATAGAAATGCCCTTTTTATTGTTGGTGAGATTGTAAGTTAGTTCAACCACTGTGGAAGACAGTGTGGCGATTCCTCAAGGATCTAGAACCAGAAATACCATTTGACCCAGCAATCTCATTACTGGGTATATACCAAAAAGAATATAAATCATTCTATTATAAAGATACATGCACACATATGTTTACTGCAGCACTATTCACAATAGCAAAGACTTGGAACCAACCCAAATGCCCATCAATGATAGACTGGATAAAGAAAATGTGGTACATATACACCATGGAAGATTATGCAGCCATAAAAAGGAATGAGATCATGTCCTTTGCAGGGATATGGATGAAGCTGGAAGCCATCATTCTCAGCAAACTAAGACAGGAACAGAAAACAAAACACCACATGTTCTCACTTATAAGTGGGAGTTGAACAATGAGAACACATGGACACAGGGAGGAGAACAACTCACACTGGGGCATGTCAAGGGGCCAGGGGAAGGAAGAGCATCAGGACTAACAGCTAATGTATGCGGGGCTTAACACCTAGGTGATGGGTTGATAGGTGCAGCAAACCACCATGGCACACATTTACCTATGTAACAAACCTGCATGTTCAGCACACATATCCTGGAACCTAAAATTACATTAACTTTTTTTTAAAAAAGGCTTATATCCAAGACAGGCAATAACAAATTCTGGAAAGGATATGGAGAAAAGGAAACCCTCATACGCTGTTGGTGGGAACGTAAATTAGTACAACCACTATGAAGAACAATTTGGAGGTTCCTCAAAAAACTGAAAATATAGCTATCATATGATCCAGCAATTCCACTGCTGGGTATATACCCAAAAGAAAGGAAATCAGTACATTGATTTTCTCATACACTGTTGGTGGGAATGTAAATTAGTACAACCACTATGAAGAACAATTTAGAGGTTCCTCAAAAAACTGAAAATATAGCTACCATATGATCCAGCAATTCCACTGCTGGGTATATAACCAAAAGAAAGGAAATCAGTATACTGAAGAGGTATCTGCACTCCCATGTTTGTTGCAGTACTGTCCACAATAGCCAAGATTTGGAAGCAACCTAAGTGTCCATCAACAGATGAATGGATAAAGAAAATGTGGTACTTACACACAGTGGAATACTACTCGGCCATAAAAAAGAATAAGATTCTGTCAGTTGCAACAACATGGATGGAACTTCAGGTCACTATGTTAAGTGAAATAAGCTGGGCAAGGAAAGACAAACATCGCATATTCTCACTTATTTGTGGGATCTAAAAATCCAAAAAAATTGAACTCATGGTAACAGACAGTAGAAGGGTGGTTACCAGAGGCGGGGAAGGGGAGTGGGGAGTGGTGGGGAAGTGGAGATGGTTAATGGTCACCAAAAAAAATAGTTAGAAAGCATGAATAATACCTAATATTTGATAGCATAACATGGTGACTATAGTCAAAATAATTTAATGGTACATTTTAAAATAACTAAAAGAGTATACTTGGGTTGTTTGTAGCACAAAAAATAAATGCTTGAAGAATTGGATAATCCCATTTTCCATGATGTGATTATTAACATTGGATGCTTGTATCAAAATATGTCATGTCCCCCATAAATATATACACCCATGTACCCACAAAAATCAAAAATAAAAATTTGATTTTAAAAAAAGAATAAATCTTGACCTGTACCTTGAATCATATACAAAATTCAACTTAAATGGATCATAGACCTAAATGTAAAACCAACAACTAAACAACTTCTAGAAGGAAAGAGTCCTGGTGTGGTGGTGGCTCATGATTGTAATCCCAGCACTTTGGGAGGCCAAGGCAGGCAGATCACCTGAAGTCAGGAGTTCGAGACCAGCCTAGCCAACATATAGTGAAACCCCACTGCTACTAAAAAATACAAAAATTAGCTGGGTGTGGTGGTGCATACCTGTAGTCCCAGCTACTTGGGAAGCTGAGGCAGGAGAATGGCTTGAACCTGGGAGGCAGAGGTTGCAGTGAGCTGAGATCGCACCACTGCACTCCTGCCTGGGTGACAGAGCAAGACTCTGTCTCTCAAAAAAAAAAAAAAAAAGAAAGAAAGAAAGAAAAAAGAAAAGTCTTTGCAACCTTAGGTTAGGCAAATGTTGCTTATATAGCAAACGAAAAGCTCAAACCACAGAGTAAAAAAAGTATATTTTCTTTCAAAATTTAAAACTTCAGCTTTTTGAACTCTTACAACTTAACAATAAAAAGAGCTGGGCGTGATGGCACACACCTGTAGTCCCAGCTACTCTGGAAGCTTAGGCAGAAGATTCACTTAAAGACAAGAGTTTGAGGCTGCACTGAGCTAAAATTGTGAAACCGCTCTCCAGCCTGGGCAATGCAGCAAGACTTCATCTCTTAAAAAAATATATAATATAAAGAACCCAGCTTTGTAAAAGGACAAAGGATTTGAATAGACATTTCTCCGAGGAAAACATACATATGCTTTTGGCTAAGAAGACATGAAAAGATGTCCATAATCACTAGCACTAGGGAAATGCAAATTAAAACCACAACGAGATACCACTTCACATCCACTAGGATAGGCAGTATGAAAAGGACAGAGAATAAATAGTACTGGAAGTTCCTCAGAAAGTTAAGCAAAGAATTACTATGTGACCCAGCAACTCGATTCCAACGTATATAGTCAAAAGAAATAAAAACATATATCCACATAAAAACTTGCACATAAGCCCAGCGCATGGCTCACACCTGGAATCCCAGCACTTTGGGAGGCTGAGGTGGACAGATCACTTGAGGTCAGGAGTTTGAGGCCAGCCTGGCCAACATGGTGAAACCCCATCTCTACTAAAAATACAAAAATTAGCCAGGCATGGTGGCACATGCCTGTAATACCAGCTACTCAGGAGGCTGAGGCAGGAGAATCACTTGAACCCAGGAGGCAGAGGTTGCTGTGAGCCGAAATCACACCACTGCATTCCAGCCTGGGCAACAGAGCAAGGCTCGGTCTCAAAAACAAATAAACCCACAAGCTTGTTCACAAATGTTCATAGCAGCATTATGTATAATAGCCATGATCTAAATGTTCAAATGAATAATGAATAAACAAAATGTAATATATCCATGCAATAGAATATTACTGAGCTATAAAAAGGAATAAAGTTCTGATACCTGCTACAATTGGATGAACATTGAACACATTATAACAGAAACCAGAAACAAAGGCCACGTATTATATGATTTTATTTACATGAGATGTCCAGAACAGGCAAATCTATAGAAATACAAGGAAAATTAGTGGTTGCCAGGATCTAGGGAGAGGGGAGAGTAGGCAGTGACTGCTCATAGGTATGATGTTTCTTTTTGGAGTGACAAAAATGTTCTGGAATTAGATAATGGTGATTGCATTGCTTTGTGTATAGATAAAAACAACTAAATAGTACACTTTGAAAGGATGAATTTTATGTTCTGTGAATTATATCTCCTTTTTTTTTTTTAAAAAAAAGCAGATCTTCTAAATTGTCTGGTCTTTGAAATACATTAAGAAAAATGAAAAGATAAGCCAGAGAGTGGGAGGAAATGTTTTCAAATCATAGATCTGATCAAAGAAAGGTAACCAGAATATAAGTAAACTCTCAAAACTCAATGATCAGAAAACAATCCAATTTTCAAAAGCATAGAAAATTTGAACATTTTACCAAAAAAAGTTTAGAAAAAATGCTATCAGCACAGGAAAAAACACTCAACATCATTAAGAAAATATAAATTAAACTACAATAAGAGACCACTCACTACACACCTATTAGAATGTTTAAAACTGTGAGGGAAAATGGCAATATCAAATGTTAGCCAAAATGTGAATCAGCTGGAATGTTCATAGACTTCTGGTGGCAATGTAATATGGCATAACTAGTTTGGAAAACAGTTTGACAGCTTCTTAGAAAGTTAAACATACACTTACCACAGATGACCCGGACATTGCATTCCTAGGTATTGACACAAGAGAAATGAAAATATATGTCCACACGCAAACCTGTACACAAATGTTTACAACAGCATTATTCACTAAAAGTCAAAAACCAGAAACAAGCCAAATATCCATTAATCCATGAATGGATAAACAAATCTTTGTGATATAGTCATACAATGGAATACTACTCAGTAGTAAGAAGGAACAGTTATGCTATAGTAATCCACACAAACACATGCAACGTAGGTAAATCTCAAAGGCATTATACCAACTGTAAGAAGCCAGACACAAAAGAATATCAAGTGTATAATTTCATTTACCTGACATTCTGGAAAAACAAAACTCTAGACAGAACTCATATGAGTGGTTGCCAGGTGTTAGTAGTGACGGCAATTGTTGGGTACAAAAGGGCACAAGGGAACTCTTTTGGTTGGATGGAAATTGTTCTACATCTTCAATGTGGTGGTGGTTACACAACTGTAAACATTCGTCAAATTTCAGAGAACTATGTGCTTCTAAAGGTGATTCTTACCACTCCTATTCATCATAGTACTGAAAGTCCTTGCCAGGGCAATCAGCCATGAGAAAAAAATAAAAAGCATCCAAATATGAAAAGAAGAATTCAAACTATCTTTCTTTGCAGATGATAGGATTCTATTCATTGAAAAGCCTAAAGACTCTGCCAAAAAGCTCCTGGAACTGATAAATGACTTCAGTAAAGTTTCAGGATATAAAAATCAATGTACAAAAATCAGTAGCATTTCTTTACAGCAATAACATTTAAACGTTATTAGCTGGAGCTAAGAGCCAAATCAAGAATGCAATCCCGGCTGCGCGCGGTGGCTCATGCCTGTAATCCCAGCACTTTGCGAGGCTGAGGAGGGCAGACCACCTGAAGTCAGGAGTTTGAAACAAGCCTGTCTCTACTAAAAATATGAAAATTAGCTGGTGTGGTGGTGCGTGCCCGTAATTCCAACTACTCAGGAGGCCAAGGCATGGGAATCACTTGAACCCTAGAGGAGGAGTTGCAATGAGCAGAGATCATGCCACTGTACTTCAGTCTGGGTGACAGAGTAAGACTGTCCAAAAAAAAAGCAATCCCATTACAATAGCCACACAAAAAAATAGAATACCCAGGAATACATCTAACCAAGGAAGTGAAAGGTCTTTACAAGGAGAACTACAAAACACTGCTAAAAGAAATCACAGATGAGACAAACAAATGGAAAATATTCCGTGCTCATGGATTGCAAGAATCAGTATCATTAAAATGGCCTTATTATTGCCCAAAGCAATCTACAGATTCAATGCTATTTCTATCAAACTACCAAGGTTATTTTTCACAGAATTAGAAAAAACTATTCTAAAATTCATATGGAACCAAAAAAATAGCCTATATAACCAAAGCAATTCTAAGCAAAATGTACAAAGCCAGAAGCATCACATTAATCCACTTCAAACTATACTATAAGGCTACAGTAACCAAAACAACATGGTACTGGTACAAAAATAAACAGATAGGCCAATGGAACAGAAAAGAGAACTCAGAAATAAAGCCACACACCTACAGCCATCTAATCTTTGACAAAATCAACAAAAATAAGCAATGGGAAAAGAAGTCCCTATTCAATAAATGGTGGTGGGATACAGGCTAGCCATATGCAGAAGAATGAAGTTGGACCCCTACCTTTCACCATTTATAATAACTAACTCAAGATGGATTAAAGATTTAAATGTAAGACTTCAAACTATCAGAATCCTAGAAGAATATTTACGAAGCACCATTCTGGACATGGGCCTTAGGAAAGAATTTATTACTAAGATCTCAAAAGCAATTGCAAAAAAAAAAACACCAAAAATTGACAAGTGGTATCTAATTAAACTAAAAAGCTTCTGCACACCAAAAGAAATAGTCAACTGAGTAAACAGACAACCTACAGACTGGGAGAAAATATTTGCAAACTATGCATCCAACAAAGGTCTCATATCCCGAATCTATAGGAACTTAAACAATTGAACTAGCAAAAAACAAATAATTCCATTAAAAAATGGGCACAAGACATGAACAGACACTTCTCAAAAAATGGCATACAAGTGGACAACAAACACATAGAAAAATGCCGATCATCACTAATCATTGGAGAAATGCAAATCGAAACCACGATGAAATGCCATCTGACACCTGTCAGAATGGCTATTATTACAAAGTCAAAAAACAACAAATATCGTTGAGGCCGCAGAGAAAAGGGAATGCTTCTACATTGCTAAAGGGAATGTAAATTAGTTCAGCCACTGTGGAAAGCAGTTTGGAGACTTCTCAGAGAACCAAAAGTAGAGCTACCATTCGACCCAAGCAATCTCATTACTGGGTATGTATCCAAAACAAAACAAATCATTCTACCAAAAAGACACATGCACTTTGCAATTCGTGCAGCACTATTCACAATAGCAAAGTTATGGAATCAACCTAGGTGCCCATCAACAGTGTACTGGATAAAGAAAATGTGGCACATATACACCATGGAATACTATACAGCCATAAAAAATGAAATCATGTCCTTTGCAGCAACATGAATACAGCTGAGTACCTGGGTGACAGGATAATTCATACCCGAACCTCAGCAACATGCAATATACCCAGGTAGCAAACCTGCGCATGTACCCCCCCGGATCTAAAATAAAGGTTGGAAAAGGGAAAAAAAAGGTGATTTTTTTCCCGTATGTAAATTATATCTCAACAAATTTGATTCTTAAAAAATGAACTAGGTTATTCTAATACATCTCCTCCCACAAAAGAAAACACTAAAATTTATTTTTAAAAATTTTGTATAGATACTCCATGGTGGAATTGTTAGATCAAATGGTAATCCTACTTTCAGTTCTTTAAGGAACCTCTAAACTGTTTCCATGGTGGTTGTACTAGTTTACATTCCCCCTAGCAGTGTAAAAGTGTTCCCTTTTTACCACATCCATGCCAGCATCTATTATTTTTTGATTTTTTAATTATGGCCATTCTTGCAGGGTAAGATGGTATCTCATTATAGTTTTAATTTGCATTTCTCTGATAGCTAGTGATGTTGAGCTTTTTTTTATACGTTTGTTGGCCATTTGTATACCTTCTTTTAAGAATTGTCTATTCATGTCCTTTGCCCAATTTTTGATGGGTTATTTGGTTTTTTCTTGCTGATTTGATTGATTTCCTTGTAGATTCTGGATGTTAGTCCTCCGTCAGATGCAAAGACACTTGCGTACACATATTTATAGCAATTGCAAAAATATGGAACCAACGTAAATGCCCAGCAACCAATGAGTGAATAAAGAAAACGTTGTGTATGTACACTATGGAATACTACTTAGCCATAAAAAAAATAGTGGTATTTGCAGCAACTTGGATGGATTGGAGATTATTATTCTAAGTGAAGTAGCTCAGGAATTGAAAACCAAATATCATATGTTCTCACTTATAAGTGGGAGCTAAACTATGAGGATGCAAAGGTATAAGAATGATATATTGGACTTTGGGGACTCAGGGGAAAGGGTGGGAGGGAGGTGCACTATTTGGGGCATACTTATACTAAAAAGTATTCATTGTTTATCTGAGACGCATATTTAACTGGGCACTATTTTTTAAAGTTTTATTTTAGGTTCAAGGGTACATGTGCAGGTTTGTTACTTAGGTAAACTCATGTCACAGGGATTTGTTGTACAGATTATTTCATCACCCAGGTACTAAGCCTAGTATCCAATAGTTATTTTTTCTGCTCCTATTTCTCCTCCCACCCTCCACCCTCAAGTAGACCCTAGTGCCTGTTCTTTCCTTCTTCATGTCTGTAAGTTCTCATTATTTAGCTCCCACATATAAATGAGAACATGCGGTATATGGTTTTCTGTTCCTGTGTTAGTTTGCTAAGGATAATGATCTCCAGCTACATCCATGTTCCCACAAAGCCATGGTCTCTTTTTTATGGCTGCATAGTATTCCATGGTGTATATGTACCACATTTTATTCAATCTGTCATTGATGGGCATTTAGGTTGAATCCAGGCCTTTGCTATTGTGAACCGTGCTGCAATGTACATTCATGTGCATGTGTCTTCATGGTAGAATGATTTATATTCCTCTGGGTATATACCCTGTAATGGGGATGCTGGGTCAAATGGTAGTTCTGCTTTCAGTTCTTTGAGGAATCACCATACTGCTTTCAACAGTGGTTGAACTAATTTACACTCCTACCAACGGTGTGTAAATGTTCCCTTTTCTCCACAACCTCACCAGCATCTGTTATTTTTTTAGATTTTTCTAATAGCCATTCTGACTGGTGTGAGATGGTATCTCATTGTGGTTTTGATTTGCATTTCTCTAATGATCAGTGATGAAATAATTTCATATGCTTTTTGGCTGCATATATGTATTTTTTTGCAAAGTGTCTGTTTATGTCCTTTGCTCACTTTTTAATGGGGTTGTTTGTTTTTTCCTTGTAAATTTAAGTTCCTCATAAATGCTGGATATTAGACCTTTGTCAAATGCATAGTTTGCAAATATTTTCTCCCATTCTGTAGGTTGCCTGTTTACTCTGTTGATAGTTTCTTTTGCTGTGCAGAATCTCTTAAGTTTAATTAGGTCCCATTCATCAATTTTTGCTTTTATACTGATTACTTTGAGCATCTCCATCATGAAATCTTTGCCTGTTCCTATGTCCAGGATGGTATTGCCTAGGTTGTCGTCCAGGGTTTTTATAGTTTTGGATTTTACATTTAAATCCATCTTGATTTGATTTTTGTATATGGTATAAGGAAGGGTTCCAGTTTCAATCTTCTGCATATGGCTAGCCAGTTACTCTGGAACGATTTACTGAATAGGGAGTCTTTTCCCCATTGCTTGTTCTTGTCAGCTTTGTCAAAGATCAGATGGTCATAGGTGTGTGGTCTTATTTCTGGTTTCTCTATTCTGTTCCATTCTTCTATGTGTCTGTTTTTGTACCAGTACCATGCTGTTTTGGTTATGCAGCCCTGTAATATAGTTTGAAGTTAGGTAATGTGATGCCTCCAGCTTTGTTGCTTTTGCTTAAGATTGCCTTGGCTATTTGGGCTCTTTTTGGATTCCATATGAATTTTAAAGTAGTTTTTTCTAGTTCTGTAAAGAATGACATTGGTAGTTTGATAGGAATAGCATTGAATCTATACGTTGCTTTGGGCAGTATGGCCATTTTAATGATATTGATTCTTCCTATTCCATGAGCATGGTGTGTTTTTCCATTTGTTTGTGTCATCTCTGATTTCTTTCAGCAATGTTTTGTAATTCTCATTGTAGAGATCTTTCACCTCCCTGGTTAGCTGTTTCCTAAGTGGTGTATTCTTTTTGTGGCAGTCGTGAATGGGATTGCCTTCCTGATTTGACTCTCGGCTTGGCTGTTGTTGGTTTATAAGAACATTAGTAATTTTTGTACACTGATTTTCTATCCTGAACTTTGCTGAAGTTGTTTATCAGCTGCAGGAGCTTTTAAGGCATTTTCTAGATACAGAATCATGTCGTCTGCAAACAGAGATAGCTTGACTTTATAGTTTTGAGTTTTACATTTAAGTCTTTAATCCATCTTGAGTTGATTTTTGTATGTGGTGTAAGGAAGGGGAACTCTCTATCTGACTACCCTTTATTTCTTTCTCTTGCCTGATTGCTCTAAGTCTTCCAAAGCTTTGTTGAAGAGGAGTGGTGAGAAAGGGCATCCTTGTCTTGCACCAGTTTTCAAGGAGAATGCTTCCAGCTTTTCTTCATTTCATATGATATTGGCTGTGGCTGTCATAGATGGCTATCATTCTGAGGTATGCCCCTTCAATACTTAGTTTATTGAGAGTTTTTAATAAAAAGAGATGTTTAATTTTTTTGAAAACCTTTTCTGCATCTATTGAGATAATCATGGTTTTTCTCTTTAGTTCTGTTTATGTGATGTATCACATTTATTGATTTGTGTGTGTTGAACCAAACTTGCATCCCAGGGATGAAGCCTACTTGATTGTGGTGGATTAGCTTTTTTATGTGCTGCTGAATTCAATTTGCAAGTATTTTGTTGAGGATTTTTGCATCAATGTTCATCAAATATACTGGCCTGAAGTTTTATTTTTTGTCATTGTTGCATATCTGCCAGGATTTGGTATCAGGATGATGCTGGCCTCATAGAATGAGTTGGGGAGGAGTCCCTCCTCCTCAGTGTTTTTGAATAGTTTCCGTAGGAATAGTACCAGCTCTTTTCCCTACACTTGGTAGAATTTGGTTGTAAATCCATCTGGTCCTGGGTTTTTTTTGTTGGTAAGCTATTTATTACTGATTCAATTTTGGAGCTTGTTATTGGCCTGTTCAGGGAACTAATTCCTTGCTGGTTCAGTTTTGGTGGGTGTATGTGTCCAGGAATTTGTCCATCTGTTTTCTAGTGTATGTGTGCGGAGGCGTTCATAATAGTTTATGACAGTTATTATTATTTCTGGGCACTGTATTTTTTATTTGCTAAATCTTTCATCTCCACCCCTAGGAGAAGGGTCCACAGGAGAGTGGTGCCTGCATTCCATCATGAGCCCTTCAAATGGAGCTGGTAAAAAGCCATCTTTACAAGCTAGCCCTCTCCTATCCCAGACTATTTCCTTCATTTCATCCTGCTTCTCTTTGCCTGTTCTCCTTATCTTGGGCCCTCTGACAACCCTCACCTGCCTTATTTCTTGAGATACCTCAGTTCCATAACTTATTTAATTACCCACTCCACCCCATAAACAGTCCATTGGTGACATGGCTTCCTGAAGTGATCATGGTGCTTTCTTCCAATGAGACTCTGGCATTTATTCCGGCTTCAAAGTGTGGTCCAAGAACAGAAGCGTGGGAATCACCTGGGGGCTTATGAGAACATCAGAATCTCCAGCCCCACCCCAGACTTGCAGAGTCATGTTCTGCATTTTAACAAGATCCAGATGATTTATAGACACATTGAAGTCTGAATAGCACAGCTCTGGAGACCACTGAGATTTTTGTTAGGATGACCCTAATTCCCCCTTGAATTCAGAAGAGTAGAAAAAAACTTCTCACCTCCCAAGCTTGGGGGAAGAGAGCTCTACCTCCTCCCACCTTTTGGATGTGCCCCTGAAATGGCTGTTTTCACTGCCAGGTCATTTCACAGATACCTCCAAGCCTGTTCAGCAAGAGGCTGGAGGGAGAATGAAGAGAAAGGCTCATTTGACGTATTAGGCTGTTCTTATATTGCTATAAAGAAATACCTGAGGCTGGATAATTTATAAAGAAAAGAGGTTTAATTGGCTCATGGTTCTTTCAGCTGTACAGGAGGCATAGTGTCAGCATCCACTTCTGACGAGAGCCTCAGGGAGCTTCCAATCATGGTAGAGGGTGATGGGGAGACAACATGTCACGTGGTGAGAGAGGAGGCAAGCGTGGGGAGGTGCCACACACTTTTAAACAACTAGATCTCACAAAAACTCAGAGTGAGAACCCACCTGTCACCAAGAGGATGATGCTACGCCATTTATGAAGCCTCTGCCCCCATGATCCAATACCTCCTACCAGGCTCTAGCTCCAACGAACACTGGGGATTACATTTCAACATGAGATTTGGAGGAGACAAATATCCAAACCATATCATTTGATAAACTGCTTATTTTGGTCCAATTCCAGCCCTGGCCAGATGCCCTTCAGGCTAAGAAATCAGGTTTATGCTCAACTAAATGAAGGCCATAGAGAAGAATGTTTATGTCTTCACCCCTCAGATCTTGGTTTCTCTCTCTCTTTCTTTTCCTCTCTCTCTCTTTTTATCTCTCTCTCTCATTCTCTGATGGTTTAATACAACTAGGGCATAACCTAGCAGAAAATAGAAGCTTGGGATAAGAGGAGAAGGAGTACATGAGAGTCAGTGAGGCAGTAAGTTGGGAGAGCTTGGATCAGCAGAATCATTTATGGTAAATGATCCCTTGGACACACCTCAGACTACTAAATTAGAATCTTCAGAGATGGGGCTCAGGAATCTGTGATTGAACAAACACCTGGAGTGATTTTCATGCAAATAAAGTTTGGGTGCATTTATAGCATGAGAAAATGGCTGTCAACTCCAGGATGGAAAAATTAGATATTGGGCACGACAGACTCCCAAACTGTGTCTTCTACCTGCTGCCTAGTTTGTCTGAACACCAGCAAGTACTAGCACATGGCTTTAAGGGAAGATGCGCTGCTGGATGAGAATCAAGTAGAGGTGAGTAGCTGACAACATAGCAAGCATATATACTAATATACAGTTAGTTTCCAAAAATGAGGGCATTTAAATTATTCCTAAGTCATGTGATTTCATAGAATAGGTGTACATAAAGTATACACACACACACACATACATGCACACACACATTTTCCTAATGCCTTCATAAAATATTGCAAACTGCCAGACACAGTGGTTCATGCCTGTAATCCCAGCATTTTGGGAGGCCGAAGTGGGAGGATCTCTTGAGCCCAGGAGTTCAAGACCAGCCTGGACAACATAGTGAGACACCGTGTCTTCAAATAAAAAATTAGCTAGGTGTGGTGGCACATATTTGTAGTCCCAGCTACTCAGGGGGCTAAAGTGGGAGAATTACTTGAGTCCAGGAGGTCAAGGCTGCAGTAAGTCATGACTGTGCCACTGCACTCCAGCCTGGATGATAAAGTGAGACCCTGTCTAAAAAAAAAAAAAAAAAAAAAAAAAAAATGCAAACTTTATTTTTTGCGGGGAGCCTCTCCCTTTAATTTTTATACAGACCTGAATTATATCAAGTTACAAAACAGCTTAGTCATTGCCATGGTTTGAATGTTTGCTTCAAAACTCATGTTGGAATTTAATTGTCATTGTGATGGTATTAAGACATAAGGTCCTTAAGAGGTGATTAGGTCATGAGTGAGGGTCTGCTGTCATGAACGGATTCATGTCTTTATCTCAGGAGTGGGTTAGTTAACATGGAAGTGGGCTCCTGACACAAAGGATAAGTTTGGTCCTCTCTTTCTCTGTCTTGAGCACTTACGTAACTTTCCACTTTCCTCCATGGGAAGATGCAACAAGAAGGCTCTTACCAGATGGCTGAGTATCACAGCCTTGGACTTCCCAGCCAGCCTCAAGAATCATGAGCCAACTGAATCTCTTTTCTTTATAAACTACCCAGTCTGTGGGATTCTGTTATAGCAGCAGAAAACAGACTAAGGCAGTCATATACAAATGATGCGTAAAATACTTATCAGGAATTAATCCATTTTTTCCCCACAGGTTCTTACCTGTTTCTCCTAAATAACTTGGCAAGCACTAGAATTGCTGGTACAGGAAATATTTAAATGTGATTCATGTGTTTATATATTTTGCATAAAAATTTTTCTCCAAAACTACTATTCAAAAATTCTAAGAACCAGTAGGATAGCTGTGAGGCCTAAGGAAAAGGGAGAGAGGGAAGAAGGGCAGATGTGTGACTTATGGCAATGTTTCAGGGGCAAGACTGCATAAGATATGCTATGTAGAGTACCAGAGTCAGGTGGCTTTCTTGGGGCAGGTGGGGAATGGGTCCTCTCACTCTTCTGGAAGTTTTCCAAAACCCCTTCCAGAAAATGATCAATTACCCTCTATTGTCCACCTATCCTGACATAAACATCAGGAAAACAAAACTGTTGAGCAACTTGCAATAGATAAAATGATTGTGCAAAGTCATAAATTTAGTATCAAAGTAGAGTGTGACTGAATGACACTGCCATTGATGTCTAGAACTAATATTATAGGCAATCCAGAGTATGAGGATAGTTCATTTGTACCATTGTTATGGATGGAGGGTGGGAAGCAATTGAGAAGAGAAGGACTAAAGAATAGAAAGTGGAGAAAACTTATTTGAAAGTTCCTCTCAGTTGGGTCATATGTTGGGTGTGCCATGGTTCCTGAAGAAATAGAAAATACAATTTCAGGACAGTACCTGTGATAAATCCCATTTTCCAAAGATGGTCACGACAATATCTCCATCCCACCTGCTCTTCTCCAGTGTGACTTTGCCATTCCTAACATTGAAAGATGGGATTCTAGTCCCCTTCCCCTTGCATCTGACGGGCTAGTGACTGCCTCAATCAATCAGGAATGCATCTGCCATGCTCCGGACCACTCGCACTTGGAGCCCTGAGTTGCCATGTAAGTAGTCCAATGACACTGAGGCTGCCATGCTGGAGAGGCCATGTGTAGGCGCTCCAGCCAACATCACAGCTGAGCACCCAGCTGACAAAAAGCATCTGCTGCCAGCCATCAGAGTGCGCCATCTTGCAGGTCGAGCCCAGCTGACATCTGACTGTCCACATGAGAAGCCTTGAATCAGAATGGCCCAACTGAGCCCTTCCCAAGTTCCTGATCCACTAAATTGTTAGCAAAATTAAATGTTTGTTTGTTTTGTTTTCTGATGCAGGGTTTCACTCTATCACCCAGGCTGGAGTGCAGTGGCTCATTCACAGCTCACTACAGCCTGGACATCCAGGCTCAAGTGATCCCTGCAGCTCAGCCTCCTGTGTAGCTGGGACTACAGGTGCACACCGTCACATCTGGCTTACTGTGTTTTTGTTTTCGTAAAGACGAAGTCTCACTATGTTGCCCAGACTGGTCCCAATCTCCTGGGTTCAACAGATCCTCCTGCCTTGGCCTCTCAAACTGCTGAAATTACAGGCATGAGCCACCGGGATTGCCCAAAATCAAATGGTTATTTTAAGCTGCTAAGTTTTGGTGTGATTTGTCACATAGCACTAGGAAAGGGAATAGTATCTAACTGAAACCCTGAAATTACAAAATCTCAGACTGTTTTCTTCCCTTGCATAATTATTTCTATTTGAGTATTTTTCCTTTTCTGGGAGAAAGATCTGAAATCCATACTCCGTGTGTGTGTGAATCATGATAATATTATAAGCTGACCACTTTCAAAGGGCTAAAAAGAGAATGCTGGTGTGTGGTTAATCCCACTTTCAAAGGTTGATTTGGCTCTGCTTAGAACAAAGTTGAATCTCCAAATTTTCAGCACAAGGGTAAACTTTGAAGTGTGAAGAAAAGAGGCAACTACCTATGTCAGGTGGTCTGAAAGGTTGTTATTTCATTTCCTTCTTGCCAATGATCTAATGATGGAATTACAAACATCTTCACAGATTGGTGGAAGAGATCATTGGTGAGAAGAAAATGAAATAACTAATCTTTGGGCCAGGCATAGTGGCTCATGCCTGTAATCCCAGTGTTTTGGGAAGCAGAGGCAGGCAGATCGCTTGAATCCAGGAGTCTGAGACCATCCTGGGCAACAGGTAAAACCCCGTCTCTTCAAAAAAAAAAAAAAAAATACAACAAAATACAAAAATTAGCCAGACATGGTGGCACGAGTCTGTGGTCCCAGCTACTCGGGAGGCTGAGGTGGGAAGATGACTTGAGCTAGGAGGAGGTCCAGGCTGCAGTGAGACATGATCGCATCACGATACTCCAGCCTGGGTAACAGAGTGAGACCCCGTCTCAAAAAAAAAGAGAGAGAGAGGAGAGAGAGAGAGAAAGAAAGAAGGAAAGAAAGAAAGAAAGAAAGAAAGAAAGAAAGAAAGAAAGAAGGAAGGAAGGAAGGAAGGAAGGAAGGAAGGAAGGAAAGAAAGAAAGAAAGAAAAAGAAAGAAAGAAAGAAAGAAAGAAAGAAAGAGAAAGAAAGAAAGAAAGAAAGAAAGAAAGAAAGAAAGAGAAAGAAAGAAAGAAAGAAAGAAAGAAAGAAAGAAAGAAAGAAAGAAAGAGAAAGAAAGAAAGAAAGAAACAGAAAGAAAGAAAGAAAAGAAAGAAAGACTAGCCGGCTAGCTCTTTGGGATTATCTGACTCTAGTTTTCCAATAAAGTAGTAGGGAAAAAAAAGAAAGCAAATACAGCTTAACATGAGAAGGAATCTTCTAGAATTAAAAAGCTGGTGAGTATTAGGAAATGAGCTATCATAGGTGTTCCATAATTGAACAGTCACTTGTATGGGGAGGTAAACAGGATTAGATTGGATGAGGTGTTGGCAAACTTTGTCTGAAAAGGAGAAAATAATAACTATTTTCAGCTTTGCACACCATGTGGTCTCTATTGCAACTACTTCGTGCCATTATAGCACAAAAGCAGCCCTAGGCAATACATAAGTGTATTGTCTTCCACTGTATTTACTAAAACTGTATTCTACTAAAACTGTATTTCCCCCAAATGGGTATCAAGCTGGATTTGGCCCAATTTGGTGACTACTGGTTTAGTTAATCTCCAACATTTCTTTCAACCCTTGGATACTGGCAAATTAACTTTTAGAATGCCAGCACCCCCCAATGGGTGGTCCCTTAACAATTTGAACACTAGCCTGGAATTAGTTTGCAATCCAGGCCCATGAGAATGGACACAGGTGGGCCCCCACTGGGGAGAGTCAGTGTGCAGAGGAAGAGAAAGAGTTGCTGGAAACTCTGGTCCTGCTTGACTAACAGGCTGTACATGTCTTAAAAACAGAGATGGTCTCTATATGCCCAGCTTCTATTGCAGCCGATCTCCCCACTGCCACCGCCCCCCACCCCCAGATGCAGTTCAGAAACAAGAAGAGTGCTATTTGCTTCCACCACCCTGTGTGTTGAAATGAATGACGCAGATGCATGTTCACAGCAAGAGCAGAGGAAAGGCCAATTTCGTCATCCCAGTAGTAAGGCAAGTTGAAAGCCAAAACCTGCTAACCCCTAGAGCAGGAATCTTTACGCTGTGTACATTTACCTGGGTCTGCACTCAACGAGGAGAGGCTGCACTCTAAGGGCCACTGAGATGGGGCCTGGGGACCCGCAGAGGAATAAACCAGCTCTCAAAGGGTTAATGACAAGGAGAAAAACTGAGCACATCAGCATGTTTTTTCCCTTTGGCTTTTTAAGAATTCTTTCCATCTACTAGCTTTATTTTATGCCATTCCAAACTGAGTCAGTGGCGTAGGAATCATCTAAGGATAACATGTGCATTTTAAGGAAAATAAAAAATTCGGGGCAGGAGAGAGCCTTCACTGCAAAGATATTATCCATGGTCAGAAACTTGAGATTTTTGTTCCCAAATTCCATGGATGTTAGGAGGCTCTTCCCAAGTTGTGCAGCCTCTTCCCTGCAACGTCACCCGGCAGACACTGCCATGCAGCTGTCCAGCTCCCGTAGCCTCAGTCATCCACCAGACTCCAAGAAATCTGTCCAGTGGCCTCTCCATCATGGTATTCACCTTTTGCCTTCTCTGTTCCTGTTTCTCTGTGCCACACGAAATGAGAGACTGGGGACATGCAAGCATCTGGGCTTTTGTGGGGTGTAGTGCGTCCATGTGGGGTACAGTACATCCCTGTGGGGATGCATAGCTCTCTCCTGCATTTCGTTAGGCCCAGCAAGTAGACCCTGGAAGGCTTACACATAGCAGACCCTCAAAAACTATATATTTGCACCAAATGAATTTTCTTTTTTTTTTGAGATGGAGTCTCGCTCTGTCGCCTAGGCTGAAGTGCAGTGGCTCGATCTCAGCTCACTGCAACCTCCACCTCCCCGGTTCAAGTGATTCTCCTGCCTCAGCCTCCCAAGTAGCTAGGACCACAGGCATGCACCACCACGCCTGGCTAATTTTGGTATTTTTAGTAGAGGCGGGGTTTCGCCATGTTGGCCAAGCTGGTCTTGAACTCCTGACTTCAGGTGATCTGCCCACCTCAGCCTCCCAAAGTGCTAGGATTACAGGTGTGAGCCACCACACCCAGCCTTCCGGCAAATGATTTAACTCAGTACGTTTAAATGTCTAATACACCGGGCATGGTGGCTCACACCTATAATCTCAGCACTTTGGGAAGGCAAGGCAAGAGGATTGCTTGAACCTAGGAGTTTTAGACCAGCCTGAGCAACATAGTGAGACCTCATCTTTATATTGTCTTCAAAAAAAAAATGTTTGAAAAGATAATAAAATATAAATGTACAACATGGAATTATAGCTATTTTGTACAGCAATTTTAGGTATCCCAGGAGCGATATTCAATATATTTCATATCTGGTAAGGCAAGATCACCCACCAATCAGAATGAACCCAGCCTTGGCAGGAGGCAGGTAAGGTGTAGCAAGGAACCAGGAAGCAGCTATTTACCTACTGACCAGTCATGATAGTAATGTGTCAACATTTTCATACCCTGTATGGCCGTAATGGAAATACCAGCTGGGCATCAGTCCTGCTGTCCTCAAATAGACTAGAAGACAGTTTGGGACAGATCACAGGGGATTGAGAATATTGTCCTTAACTATTATTTTCCCAACGTATGAAGAGCCCAGGGCTGGAGCCCAGGATGTGCAGAGGCCCGAGGCCTAACTGATGGGAGCTGAGGCTGGGGGAGGGGGGTGAAGTGGGAGTAAAGAGTGCTTCAAATGGGAGGGCTTGATTCAACAGTGTGGGCCAGAGGGGTGTGACATTATCTGACCCTTACTTCTGAAATGCCCATCTGTTCTAGCTGGGTGACCAACAGTAATGTTACCACTAAGACACTGGGGACTCGGAAGATGGGCAAATTGAATGGAGAATGAGGAATGTAATTTTCAGTCATCTAAGGTAAAGAGTGTGGGAGAGCCAGCTGGACAGGAGTAGGGGACCAACTGACCTCAGAGGCTTGATGGGCAAGAAACCACCTGGAGAGGAACTTCAGGAGGGAAAAGATGGGCCACTGTTTTGGGAATTGACCGGGCTCCAAAGACACTTAACTTACTTTACAATGTTGCTGTGGACTGTCCTTGTGTACAGACAGTCCTGAGGTTCTGAACTTCAGTCCTTTACGTTAAGACTTCTCCTTTTTCTCCTTTCCTGATGAGGAAATGGCTCCCTCCAAATCCCATCCTCTCACAAACCTTTGGGTTTCCTGTCAAATTTAAACAAAACATAGAGATTATCTACCAATAATCTCAAATGCCCTGAGAGAAACTTCAAGAGAAGAACACACCCTTCTCATTGCCAAGACGGAGTTTCCAAGGAAAAGGGATCAGAGGAGCGGTGGTTCTGGACTGAACAAGTAAAAAGATGTTTTCCCACAGCAACTTGGTTTTGCTGTCGGCAACTAGGGAAAGTTTGATTTCCAGAGAAGGAAGTAGAGAACAAGATCAGCAAACCAGAGAATGCTCTCCAAGGCCCCTAGGAACACCATGGGATCCTCAGACACACCCAACAGCAGTGAGTGTGAGTGGCCCAATAAGTCCACATGTATGACGGGATACCTACTCTATGCCCTGTGCTGCACAGAGAATCACATGTGTATCCTTTCCCCCTAGAACTCAGAACCATGAATCATCCTAATACAAGGCGCACGGGCCACGTGTGCATCAGGATTCCTGCACTTGCATAGGATGAACTGCAACTCACACTGGCTGAAGAGCACATATCGGTTCAAGTAACGGAAAAACACAGACAGAGATTCTGGAAAGCAAGGCTGGACCCAGCAGCTTAAATGAGGCCATGATTTCTTCGTCTCTCCAATTTTTGGCTCTGTTCTGTTTTCACTGACTTTAATTTTAGATAGGGCTGTGCTTCCATAAGGCAATAAAAGTTTCCCCCAGCAGTTCGAGGCTTAGTTTCTATCAGATTGGCAAGCCCAGCAGACAATGCCTCTTTCCCAACAGCTACAGTCAAAGAGCTGAGATTTGAGGTACAATTGGCTTGGTTTGGGTCATAGGTCTATTCCCAAGCCAATTTCTATAGTCAGAAAAAAAGAATGCCCTGACAGGATAGGCCTGGGATCCTGTAAAAGCAGCTCAACCCAGCCGGGCACAGTGGCTCACGCCTGTAATCCCAGCACTTTGGGAGGCCAAGGCAGGTGGATCACCTGAGGTCTGGAGTTCGAGACAAGTGTGGTCAACATGGTGAAACCCCATCTCTAAAAATACAAAAATTAGCCGAATGTGGTGGCGCATGCCTGTAATCCCCACTACTCGGGAGGCTGAGACAGGAGAATTGCTTGAACCGGGGAGGCCGAGATTGCAGTAAGCAAAGATCATTCCACTGCACTCCAGCCTGGGTGATAGAGTGGGACTCTGTCTCAATAAAAAAAAAAAAAAAAAAAGGCAGCTCAACCCTTACCAGAGATGGCTCACCATGGGGAAAACCAGGTTGCTGTTAGCAGAAAAAAAGAAGATATGTACTGGACAGACAGAAAAAAACAGCAGAAGTGCTCCACAGAGTACCAGACAAATCCCATGGGTTCATAAAAGAGGTCCTGTTCATTTTTACCTGAGCTGGGCACAGTGGCTCACGTCTGTAAACCCAACACTGGGAGGACAAGACAGGTGGATCGCATGAGGACAGGAGTTCGAGATCAGCTTGGCCAACATCGTGAAAACCCATCTCTACTAAAAATACAGAAAAATTAGCTGGGCATGGTGGCAGACACCTGTAATCCCAGCTACTCAGGATGCTGAGGCAGGAGAATCACTTGAACCTGGGAGGTAGAGGTTGCAGTGAGCCATGATCACACCACTGCATTCCAGCCTGGACAAGAGAGCAAGACTCTGTCTCAAAAAAAAAAAAAAATTGATCTGAGAGATGTGGCCATGAAGGAGCTAGCTTGAGTTGAGTCATGACTAAAAAAAAAAAGAAAGAAAGAAAAAAGAAAAGGATTATGATAAATAAAAAAGTATAGTAGAAGGAGATCCCAAGCCAAGGAAAAAGCACATAGAAACACAAAGCATAAATGTCCTCTGGAAATTGAGGGCAATCCACTCAGCCTGGAACAGTGACAATACAGGTGTAGCAGAGGAGGACACTTGAAACGTGAGCTGGGTCAGGTCAAGGAAGCCTTTAAGCACCTGGTTAGGGAGACAGGGACACCTGTTCCTCAAACCAACTGTAGCCTGCAGGAACCAGGGACATGTCTCTTGAGATTTTTCCCCCACTTAAAATGTGTACTCAACTAAAGGCAGCATGTATCATGGTTGACGCAGGGACTGTAGAGCTGGACTGCCTGATTCAAATCCAGCTCAGCCACTTACTAGCTTCATGAACTGGGGCAAATTCCTTAACCCGTCTGTGCCCCTGTTTCCTCACCTATAAATGAGAAAATAATAGCCTCTCCTTCATGGAGGTATTGTGACAATTGAATAAAATAATTCATAAAGATGTGAGAATCAAGCCAGGCTCGTTGTAAGCATGGTCAGTTGCTCTTCTTAGTGAGCACACACCAATGGCGGGCCAGTGGAGAGGCAACTCCAGCCGGCTGGCACCTCTATGTAACCTACTTCGCTCAGGATGGGATCGGTCAGTGCCCACACTCTAAGCATGGGCCATCCCTCCAATTCCATCGCCGTAACCAACTTTTAAAAACCCAATTAGCTTAGCAGGCATAGATTTAGACCTCCATCCTATAGCTAATTAGAAGCTCTGTGTTCTTGGGCAGGGAAGGGTATACCAATGCTTATATTTTACTGGTTTTTATTGGGTGGAAAGCCTACTTTGTCACTGGGTACCCCCAAACATCATTATTTTCAATTCAGCCTTTTTGAACTTATTCAGTTTCTCCAGGGAAGAATCTTCTAGTCTCCTTTTTGGGAAAATAAGCCAGGCTGCCCTCCTGGGAACAGGAGAGGTGAAAGTTTATTGGCGGTGTCCCACCACTTAGTATACAGATGTCACCCAACCCCACAGACCTCTGGATCCTCAGCTCCACCTTCTGCCCTGCCTGATACCTGAATCTGGACCCTCTCTGGTTCAGTTTCTCCAGAAAATAAACACACTGTGAGGCCAGGGGATGAGGATTTCTTGGCTAATTCTTCTGATGCAATTTGTCTGGAGTTTGGCCTGACCATCTGGATTTTTTTCAAAAGCTCCCAGGTGTTCTAATGTGTAGCCAAGGCAGGGAACAATTGCGTTAAAGCAATGCTTGCCACATGTCAGTTATTTGCCTACCATCTTGCTGAACAATTACTTACTTATCACTTTCTTTAAATGAAATCAGGTTTAACTTAAATTTTGTTTTGATAAGAAGTGTCATATCATTTATGTAAATGGAAAGCAAGTCTACCACTTGTAAATATGTAAAAGAGCAAAGAAACCTCCTTCTCACTCCCCTCACCCTACTTTGTTTTATTTTATAATGCTTAGCACCTGAAATATTGCCTGTTTCACTCTCCCTTAGAATGCATACTCCATGAGAACAGGAACTCCTGTCAGCTTGTCCAATACAGTCTTCTCCGTCACCCAGGACTCACCTGGCCCTCAATAACTATTGTTAAATAAATTAATAAGAGAAACCACAAATAAGTACCTAAAAACAATATATGGTTATTAAATTCCAACTAGGTAGGGCTACTTGTTGATGATTCCGAATCTGAAGACTGCTCTCTCCCTTAATAAATTAGAGGTGTTAAACACTCCACCCGGACTTTCTCCTTGAGTATTCAATGAACTGAAAAAGAATTGCACATGCACGTGTTTATTACTGATGTGTCAGCACCTAGATACCTGGTGTCTGGCACCTTGTAGGAGCTCAATACTCTTTTAAAATGCCTGAAGGAGACCTAGTGTTAGTTACTGCTAGTCAGTGTGGGTCTAAAATCACCAGTGCTACCAGTTCACCCTCCAGAAGATACTGCCTCAAATCATTCTGACAGTCCTGATACCCAAGAAGCACACCCTCCTATTTTTGCAGCCAGTATAACCTCTATGAACAATGTCCTTCTCCGTCCTCTCACCTCTATACCTATTGAGGAGGATCAAACCATTTTTTTTGTTTGTTTGTTTGTTTTTGAGATGGAGTCTTGCTTTGTCGCCCAGGCTGGAGTGCAGTGGCCCGATCTTGGCTCACTGCACGCTCCGCCTCCCGGGTTCATGCCATTCTCCTGCCTCAGCCTCCCGAGTAGCTGGGACTACAGGCACCCGCCACCACGCCTGGCTAATTTTTTTTTTTTTTTTGTATTTTTAGTAGAGACAGGGTTTCACCATGTTAGCCAGGATGGTCTCGATCTCCTGACCTCGTGATCTGCCTGCCTCGGCCTCCCAAAGTGCTGGGATTACAGGCGTGAGCCACCATGACTGGCCGGATCAAACCATTTTTTTCATCCTTCCCATTGGCAGACCTCTTTCCATGGAGGTTTAAAACTCCATGAACTGCATTTGATTATGATTTTTGTTTTACCGCAAGTATCCTGAAGGCCCCACTGTGGCTCAAGTGTGTGGGACTCCAGGCTAGTTACACGTCCATATCAATGCTGGCCTTCCTTACAATGAATCCAGATGACTATGTTTTATTAGGAGCTGTCCAGTCACCAACAAACACAATAATTTGGTCCTCTTATCCCAAGGTAAAAGTCACTGAGGACTGGGTTCAAGATTTAGCCATCCATGCATGACAAGGGTTTTGAGAAAACCAGCCCTAACTAACTAATCCGAAGTTCTCTTGCCCTTCTCTGGCCATCCTGGTCCCTAGGGAGTTAGTCACAAAATAAATTGGGAAGCAGCACACGGCTTAGGTAGGCATTTTTATGTGACACCACCCCTCCCCCATGTGTCACCTGATTATCCAATCCCACGCGGGACAGGAGACCATAGAGAACTATTTAAAAGCCTTCTTTGGGAGATCCACTTCTCTGCAAATGCCCCACTCCTCTCTGCTGAGCAGCCCTCTCCATGCTCAGCAGCAGGCAGGTTTCCCTGCTGAGGCAGAGGAGCCTGATCCACCCAGTCCTGCCCCGGGAGCCACAGGTGGGCTCAGCTTCCACCAATAAACTAAGACCCATAAAAGGGGAATGGAGAAAGGTAGGGAGGGCAGAAGGAACCAAGAGGAACAGAGAGGTGTTAAGTGTGAGAAAAGGAAAGTCCTTGTAGCTTTTCTATATTTTCTTTTATGTTTTCTTTCTTTTTTTTTTTTTTTTACTTTTTCAATTAAAAAACATTGTGCATACTTAGTGGATGTGTATGTTTATGGGGTACATATTTTCCGGGACTGCATAAGATCAGAAACCAAACGCTGGGAAACAGGAAAAGAAAAAGCAGTTAGATTAGCCAGTTTCCTGCAGCATTGTTAATAAAGGTCACAATAGCACTGCTGGATACTAAATGGAATTTGGCCCTGCAAAAATTCAGCTAGAAAATAATAGCTAACACCCATGGGTGCTATGTGCCAAGGATCATTCTAAGAACTTTTCATACTTTTAAAAAATTGTTTTTTACTCCTAAATACTTCAGCGAGCATTTCTTTTTTTAAAAAAAGACATTCTCTTACATAACCACAGTACTGTAATTGTTAAAATTTTAAAAAACTAATAGGCTTATAGTGTTATTACCTAATCTCAAGACCTTAATCAGATTTAGCTGATGGTCCCACCACAACTGGTAAAAGCAACCCTGGATCACGTGTTGCCTTTATTTGTCATTTCTCTCATGTCTCCTTGAAGCTGGGCTCTTCATGAATCTTTGCTTACCCTTGGTGATGCCAACCTTCTTGGGAAGGATAGGCTAGTTATTTTGTAGAATGTCCCTTAATTCAGCTTTGTCTGATGTTTCCCCATGATTAGACCTATGTATTTTTTGTCAACGATCTCACAGAAGGGCTGCTGTGTTCCTCTCAGTATATCTCATCAGGAGGTACAGGTCAATGGACTTCATATACTCTTTTTTTTGAGACAGGGTCTCACTCTGTTGTCCAGGCTGGAGTGCAGTGGCTCACTGCAGCCTCAACCTCCTGGAATCCGGTGATCCTCCTGCCTCGGCCTCCCTTGTAGCTAGAACCCCAGACACATGCCACCATGCCCAGCTAATTTTTTCATTTTTTTGTAGAGACACGGATCTCACTTTGTTGCCCAGGCTGGTCTCGAACTCTTGGACTAAAGCAATCCTCCTGCCTCGGCCTCCCAAAGTGCTGGGATTCCAAATGTGAGCCACTGTACCCAGCCTTCACATACTTTAAATCATTTACTCCTCACAGCAACTCAAGAGGTAGGTATTATTATTATTATTAAAATATATTTATACTTTTATAAAATAAAATATAAATAAAATGTATATTTATTATTTATAAAATAATAAAATATTGTTAAAATATTTATATATTTTATTATTGTATTATTTTTATTAATCTGCTACAGTCTGAAAGTTTGTATCCCCCCCAAATTCATACATTGAAACCTAACCCCCAAGGTGATGGTATTAGGGAGGTAGGACCTTTGGGATGTAATTAGGTCATGAGGGCATAGCTCTTATGAATGAGATCAGTGTCCTCATAAAAGAGACCCCAGAGAGTGCCCTGCCCCTTCTATCATGTGAGGACACAGTGAGATTTTGTATATGAACCGGGAAATGGGCCCTCACCAGACACTAAAATCTGCAGCACCCTGATCATGGACTTCCCAGCCTCCAGAACTGCGAGAAATAAATGTCTGTTGTGCATAAGCCACCCAGTTTATGGTATGTTGTTACAGCAGTCCAAATGGGCTGAGACATTTTCGTCTTACGGAAGATGACACTGAGATGTAGAGATGCTCAGCAACCTCATTAACAGATAAAGAGGTGAGTGGTGAAAGCTGGGATTGCAGTTCAGCAGTGAGGCTCCAGGCTTTATACTCTTAATGACTAATATATGCTGCCTCTCAAGAGGGTTCTCGTGTCAGGCAATTCTCTCTCTCAGGTGGAATAGGCTTGGATGACGCTCTTATCACTACTTTAAATATAAGTCCCCTAATGATGTGCCAGGCACAGTGCTGTCCGTGTGTTGTCTTATTTAATCCTCACAACAACCCTTTGATGTAGGTGCTGGTATTACACCCACTCCAGCGCTGATGCCAGGCCAAGTACACACAGATGGAGGAGCTGGGCTTTTGGTCTGGCTGACCTCGGAAACAGCTCAACTCTGTGCATTCTTGGCTTTCACCATAAATGCTCTGCTACTTCGCAACAAGGAAGAGGAGAGCTCTTTATTTTCATAATCACTGATTACACAGTCCTAAAAGTTCTCTAATGCTGGTATTTGGTCTTGGCAATACATTGATATCTCCTGATCCTTTCTTGCAGAGGAGACAATGTAGGCCCAGCTGGGGACTGGCCTGGTGAACCAGGGTTACAGAATCTGCCTGGGCTGTAAGGCCCACTGGTGTTCAGGCAGATGTCTTTTCAGGTATTTAGGTCTTTATTTTCATTCAGTAATGCTTTGTAATTTTCAGAGTACAAGCTTGGCACTTCCTTTAAGCATATTCCCAATTTTTAAAATTCTTTTGGATGTTATTGTAAATGGAGTTGTTAGTGTATAGAAATATCATTAATTTGCATACACTGATCTTGTATGCTGCAACTTTGCTGAATGCACTTCTTAAGTCCTATTCTTGTTAGTGGATTCCTTATGTTTTCTGTATATAAATCATATATCTGAAAATAGAGGTAATTTTATTTTCTTCTTTCTATTCTGGATGCCCTTTATTTCTTTTTTTAATTTTTAATCTTTTATTTATTTATTGCCTAATTCCCCTGGTTAGAATCTCTAGTACTATATTGAATAGGAATGTCAAAAGTGGATATCCTTATCTTGTTCCTGATCTTTAGGGGAAAGCATTCAATCTTTCACCATCAAGTATGATGTTAGCTGTGAGTTTTTGTAGATGCCTTTTATCAGGTTGAGGAAGTACCCTTCAATTGCTAGTCTGTTGTGTGTTTTTTTTAGTCATGAAAGGGTGTTGTATTTTGTCAAATACTTATTCTGTATATATTAAGATGATCATGTTATTTTGATTTTTTCCTTTTTTAAAATGTTTATTTATTTATTTATTTATTTGTTTATTTTTGAGAAAGAGTCTCGCTCTATCGCCCAGGCTGGAGTGCAGTGGCATGATCTCAGTTCACTGCAACCTCCGCTTCCTGGGTTGAAGCGATTCTCCTGCCTCAGCCTCTTGAGTAGCTGGGACTACAGGCACGTGCAACCACACCCGCCCAGATACTTTTTGTATTTTTAGTACAGAAAAGGTTTCACCATGTTGGCCAGGCTGGCCTTGAACCCCTGACCTCAAGTGATCCACCTGCCTTGGCCTCCCAAAGTGATGGGATTATAGGCGTGAGCCACCGCACCGGGCTGTTTTTCATTTTGTTGTTTTGTTGTTGTTGTTGTTGTTGTTTTAGATCTTGCTCTTTTGCACAGGCTAGAGTGCAGTGGTGGGATCAAAGCTCACTGTAGCCCCAAGCAGTCCTCCCACCCCATCCTCCTGAGTCACTAGGACTATAGGCCCACACCTCATCCTTTATTCTATTGATACTATCTATCACATTAACTGATTTTCAAATACATACCAACCTTGCATTCCTGGGATAAGTCCCACTTGGTCATAGTGAGCTCATTATTTTTATTTATTTATTTATTTATTTTAAAGACAAGGTCTTGCTTGGTTACCAAGGCTGGAGTGCAGTGGCACCATCATAGTTCACTGTAACCTCAAACTCCTGCGCTTAAGCAATCCTCCCACCTCAGCCTCCTGAGTAGCTGGGACTACAGGTGCATGCCACCACACCCAGCTGTTATTTTTAATTTTTATTTTGTAGAGATGGGGCCTCACTATTGAGGTTGCCCAGGCAGATATTGAACTCCTGCCCTCAAGCAGTCACCCTGCCTTAGCCTCCCACAGTGCTGGGATTACAGGGGTGAGCCACTATGCCTGGCTAAGTTAATTGATTTTAATAATTAAATAAGTGTCCACGAAGCCAGCACAACAAGGCACATCTAATCATACCCATCCCTTCTCCCTGTCATCCCTGACCTAAGTCCCATGTTCATCTTTCCTTGCTTCTCTTTTTGGATAGTTGCACTGCACCTAGATGCATTCCAAAAATATTTGGTTTAAGTTTTGTAATTTTGCATAAAGAGTATTATGCTTTTTTCTGCTTAATATGTAATTTCTAAGATTCAAACATATGGTGTATTAATGGAGTTGATCCTTTTGATTGCTGTATAATATTCCATTGTATGACTACTATGTATGCCACATTAAAATAGTAATTATGTATCCCATGTAACTATGTATCCCATGTAACTATTAAAAGTAGTAACTATTAAAAGAGTAACTATGTATGCCATATTAAAATAGTAACAGGTCCAAATCTGAACTCCTAATATCTCCCCCAAACAAGCTCCTCCTGCAGTCTTCCCATCTTTGTTAATGTCAGCTCCATTCTTCCAATCACTTAGCCAAAACCTTGGAGTCATCCTTGACTCCTCTTTCTCTCACACATTCAATCTGAAAGCAAATCCTACAACTCTGCCTCCAAAGTATATTCAGATCCAATTTTGTTTTACAACCTTCATTGCCACTTCTATGGTCCCAGTAGCCATTGTCTCTCCCTTGGATTATTGTAGTCAGCCTCCCAAGTAGCGGGATTACAGGCATGCACGGCCACGCCCAGCTAACTTTTGTATTTTTAGTAGAGACAGGGTTTCATCATGTGGGCCAGGCTGGTCTCAAACTCCTGGCTTCAAGTGATCCACCTACCTCAGCCTCCCAAAGTACTGGGATTACAAGCGTGAGGCACCATGCCCAGCCCCCCCTGCTCAACTCTCCAGTGGCTTCCTGTCTCTGAATAAAAGCCAGTTTTTTTCCTGTGATTTTCAAGGCTTTAGGGTGACCTACAGACACTTCCCTCTGCCTTGTGGACTTTGTACCTGCTACTCTTCCTGCTAGGATGAGCTTCCTCCTGTCATTCTCATGGCTCATTCCAGCACTTCTTATTGATGCTTTCTCTCTCCCTTCTAAAGTTTCCCATCACAATAACCCTTCAATTTCCCTGTCCTTGCCTAATTTTTTTCTTAGTGCTTATTACTAATTGTATATATATGTATGTATATATATACATATATATAGAGAGAGAAATAAATACACATACACATATATGCATTACATATATATAACTTGTTTTTCTTGCTCACTGGAACATATACTTAGTGCAGAAAAGCATTTGTGTTGGTTTTGTTCATTGCTGTATCCCCAGCACTTCATAAAATCACATCATACACGTTCAGCAAATATTTGTTGAATGAAAAAATAAATGAATAGCTGAAAAGTAACTACTAGCACATATGGTTCATGGATAAAGCATAAAAATGAGGCCTTGCTGAAATCTGAAATTTATGAGGCACCCAGAAGCCATGACCAATGTCATCTCAGTGTGGTGGTTCTTATGAGACTCCAGGCTGCTGAAGGCTGCTATCAGCCCTGCAACCTCCTTCTGTCCCCATAAGCCATGCTGAAGTCCAAAATCCCTGGAGGCTGGTTTGGCAGCAGGCCAAGACTGAAGATACCTGCCAAGACCAGATGTAACCAAGGTCCCCACTTGGTAAAAGCATCTGCACTTACGGAAAGATAAATCCAGTCACAGGGAGAATCCTGGGGGGGCACAGACTGACCCACCAAGCCAAGAGGTGGCACGGATTTGGGCACAGCACTGGATTTCTGGCCCTGTGTAAGAGAAAGCATTTCCTTCCTCCTTCATAAAACTTTGCCTGGCTGTGCAGCGTGTGGCTTGCCCTGTGATTTCTGAGCACACTTGCATTTCAGGCACTTGTGTTCTGGATTCTAGTCTTTGATCTCCCACATTAAACTCAGAGGAGTGGGGAACAGGGCCATACTGAGAGACAGAGGATATTCTTGGTGACCATGTGGGTTGTGGGTCATCTTTACATCTGGGCTGGCTACAACAATGAGGCAGTCACGGTGACACTTTAAGGCATTTCTCTAACCCCTTCAATGTTCTGTGCTAGCAACTTTCTCAAAAGCTAATTCTATCCCACTCTGTGCCTATTCTACACCATTAAACCACCAAAATTAAGGCAAAGATTGTCCAAATTCTCAGTTTCACCCCAACTCCAAGGTGGGATTATGAAATCAATTGAGTACATGATTAGAACTAAGAGAGGAGGCTTTTACAGGCAGCATGTGAATTAGTTTACATTCTTAAGATGTAAGGTTGTTAGCTAATGCAATTCAATTAAAGGTAAGATTGCTATTGAGAGAAAATATATAATTTGCCTAAAAATCAAGGGAGAATGTCAGGTTTCTCTACTTCAGATACATGAAAAGAGTTTAGCGCTTATATTTTACATTCTAATTGAAGATGGATTTTTTTTTTTTTTGAGACAGAGTGTCGCTGTGTCACCCAGGCTGGAGTGCAATGGCGCTATCTTGTCTCACTTCAACCTCCGTCTCCTGGGTTCAAGCAATTCTCCTGCCTCAACCTCCTGAGTAGCTGGGATTACAGGCACCCACCACTACGCCCTGCTAATTTTTGTATTTTTAGTAGAAATGGGTTTTCACCGTGTTGGCCAGGCTGGTCTCAAGCTCCCGACCTCAGGCGATCCGCCCACCTCGGACTCCCAAAGTGCTGGGATTACAGGCATGAGCCACTGCGCCTGGCCTGATAGTGGATTTCTATTTATTTAACCCAGACATACCAACTTATGGGTCACAGTCCTCTTTGCTTTGGGCCTGTCCTCAATCCACCTGTGTCACTGAGAGACCAACAGACAGGTAAGAGCAGTGAAACTTATGAAGACAAAATAATTGATCAGAAAAGCCTTCATGGTCCAGAGTAGAAGCTTCTCAGAGAGCCAATTAAAGACTGCCTGGGTGTGTGGAGGTGGGACAAGGATTACAAAGCAGCACAAGGAAAATTTTGGAGTCATTTGATTGAGGTGGTAGTTCCATAGACGTGCTGTAACTCATCGAATTGTACACTAAATATGCATAGTTCATACGAGATCCATCCTACCTCCATATGCTGAAACTCATCAAATTGGACACTAAATATGCACAGTTCATATGAGATCCATCATACCTCCATAAGTGGGCAAGTTTTCAGAGAAAAAAAAAACAGACTTAAAAATCTTACAGACTTCTTTTCCAACAAAATGGATCATCGGCAATTGAAGTGCTTGTCAGGAACCCTAATCTTGCTGTCAAAAGCCTGCTTGAAATGAGTGGATATGAGAGGCACCGCCCAAGGGAACACTAACCATCCAGTTGCCCGTGTTCTTATCAGCAAAAGTAAGATATGTAAACCACTGAAGCCTAGCACCTCATCAAAATGCCCTCACTTGGCCACAATTTCTCACAATTTTCTCAAAATTTTTTTTTCTTTTTTTTTTTTGAGACAGAGTCTCACTCTGTTGCCTAGGCTGGAATGCAGAGGCACGATCTCAGCTCAAGGTTCAAGCGATTCTCGCCTCCCAGATTCAAGCAATATCGTGCCTCAGCCTCCCAAGCAGCTGGAATTACAGGCAGGCGCCACCACACCCAGCTAATTTTTGTGTTTTTAGTAGAGACGGGGTTTCACCATGTTGGCCAAGCTGGTCTTGAACTCCTAGCCTCAAGTGATCCACCCGCCTTGGCCTTCCAAAGTGCTGGGATTACAGGCGTGAGCCACTGTGCCCAGCCTCAATAATTTTTAAATCAAGAGTTGATATAAGATTAGCTGGGCATGGTGGCACGCTCCTATAACCCCAGCTACTTGGGATGCTGAGGCAGGAGAATTGCTTGAACCTGGGAAGCAGATGTTGTAGTGAGCCAAGATTGCCACTGCACTCTAGCCTGGGTGACAGAGTGAGATTCCATCTCAAAAAAAAAAAAAAAAAAAAAGAGAGACAGAATTGATATAAGAAATAGCAATATAGGCCGGGTGCAGCGGCTCATGCCTGTAATCCCAGCACTTTGGGAGGGTGAGGCAGCCAGATCACTTGAGTCCAAAAGGTCAAGACCAGTCTGGGCAATATAATGAGACTCCGTCTCTATAAAAAGTCAAAAAAATTAGCCAGGCATGGTGGCGTGTGCCTGTAGTCCCAGCTACTCAGGAGGCTGAGGTGGGAGGATCACCTGAGCCCAGGAGGTTGAGGCTGCAATGAGCTGTGATCATGCTACTGCACTCCAGCTTGGGTGACCGAGGAAGGCAATGTGAAATACATGTGAATTTTTTTTCAAAGAAACGAAAAAGAAGGAAGAAAAGAAAAAGGAAAAGAAGAAAGAAGGAAATCTGTGGTAGGCAGAATAATGGTCTCCCAAAGATGTCCACATCCTAATCCCTGGAACATGTGAATTTGTTACCTTACATGGCAAGAGGGGAATTAAGGTTGCAGATGGAATTAAGGTTGCTAATCAGCTGACCTTAAAATAGAGAGATTATCTGGATTATCTCATTGGACTCAATGTAATCCCCAGGGTCCTTAAAAGTGGACAGGGGTGGGGGCAGAAAAGGGGAGACAAGGCAATGTGAGTATGGAAAGAAGACAAAATGACGCAGCAGTGCTGGCTTTGAAGATGGAGGAAGAGCCACCAGCCAAGGAATGTGGGCGGCCTGCAGAAGCTGGTGGCTCTCCCCTACAGCCACGAGAAGGAACACAGCCTTCAAGGTGGCCAACACCATGATCTCAGCCTAGTATGACCCATTTCAAACTTCCGACCTCCAGAACTGTAAAATAGTGAATTTGTGTGGTTTTCCTCTGCTATTACTGTGGCAGTTTATCACAACAGCAGCAGAGAATTACTGCAAAACCTTCAGGCGGGAAAAAACAGCACAGGCTTCATCGACTCACACATTCACTTCAATAATACAGAAAACTGTCCAAGGCAAAGCACTATGTTGTGTGCCCTGCTGGGAATGAGGTAGGGAGGTATTGAGATGAAAGTTGTGCCTGGTGCCCACGAAGGTAGGTAATGGACGTGCAGAAAGAGCAGGGAGAGGTGGGACCCAGGGTGGAAACAAGAATGAGGGACTGGCCGGTCACGGTGGCTCAGCTTGTGATCCCAGCACTTTGGAGGCCAAGGCCAGAGGATTCCTTGAGTCCAAGTGTTCGAGACCAGCCTGGCAATATAGTGAAACCCGTGTCTCTAAAAGAGAGAGAATAAGGGACTTTGAGTCCTCTTTGGCCAAAAATATTTCAGTGAGGGTCTGTTTCATCCCTTCTCTCCCATCTCAGAGAAATGGAGGCTACTGCTAGTCTCACTTGCATCCTGGATTAGATTTCAGGACCTTTCCGCCAGTGATAAATGTGCAGCGCCTTAGCGGAACCTCAGCCAAAGCTATAAACTTCAACCGGCCACAAGAGTGTGCATGTGAGGTGACTGCATTTTTTTTCCCTGCCAAACCAGAATTAGCCGGTATAGGAATGAACGAGCATGAAGATTTGAAATTGCTCCGATTGGAAGGAAGCCCAGGTTAGGTTTGGGCACCTCCAAACGCACCCGTTTTAAAGCCACCTGGACTGAGGCGTCGAGCTTTCAGCTCCACCAAACGCTCACCTGGCCTGGCAGCGAGCGGCGGAAGAGCCCGGGAGCCCCTCACAGAGCGCACCGAGCCGGGCGGAGAGCTGAGCCGCAGGCACCCGCGTCTCCAGGATGATAGGCGACATTGCAACAAATCTCTACACCCAGCAGCTCAGGGGGCTCCAAGCAGAGCAGCAAGTTCGAGGATCCGGGCGTGGAGCCGAGTGAGGCCGCAGCCCAGCGGGCCTCGGGCGGTGAGTATCCGAGGCCGCGCGCGCCGCGGGCCTGGGGAATGGAGCGACGCCGGGGGCATCGGAGCCTAGGTTTCAGATGGCCGCTGCACCCCCAGGGACCCCCGGGAAGGGGCAGCCCCAGCCCAAGGCAGGCTCGGGAAAGGCTGCCCGGGCGGTGGAGGGCGAGACTGTGCCGGGGCAGGTGGTAGTGCCAAGGCCGCCGCGGGGGCTTGGGAGCTGCGGGCGGGCAGGGTAACCGGCGGTTCAGGGCAGACCGCCAGGCGGAGCTTGGGGACGCGCGCCTTGCTGCTCAAGCTGGCCGGGGCCCCGCGAGCGTCATCCTGGGCACCCCCGTCCGGCTGGAGAAGCGCGTTCTGCCCGGAGCCCAGCCTCGCTGCCCGGCTGCTCTCTAGGCCCGTTTGGGACTCGAACTGGACAGTGATGAGGCGCAGAGCGGGGGACCCGGGGCTGCGCCTAGGGACTTCGCGGGGTGCGGATGCCTCTCTGCACAGGCTGTGGTGCTGCAGCCGGCCCAGCTTCCCCGGTGGGCTGCTGGCTTCCGAACGCGCCGAGGGATGCGGGGTGCCCGAAGTGGGGATGTGGTCTCGGGGTGCCAAGGGAGCGGGAGCACCGAGCGCGGGTGGGGGCGGGCGCTCGAAGGGTGGGGCGCGAGGCCGGACCCCGCGGGCACGATCCCGCACCCAGGGCGCGCAGAGGCTGGGCCCCCTTAGCGCTTCCGATTGAGGCTCCTCAAGAGAGGCTGAAATGGGGTGAGAGACCGGGGACGGCCATTTCGGGGCTAAACGCTGCCAAGGCCATGACGATGTTTTAGGAGCTGAACTCTGCTTTCCAATTAAGCCATTTTCTTTCTGAGGAAAAGTTGATTCGGGCTCATTAACAAGGATGACTGAGGGCCATTATTGGGGCTTAGAGAGATTCTCCTTTGCCTTGTCTGGCTTCTTTGTTTGCATGTGCGTGCGTGTGCGGCTGTGTGTGTGTGTGTGAGAGAGAGAGAGAGAGAGAGAGAGAGAGAGAGAGAGAAGAGAGGGGAGAGAGGCAGTGTTGGGGGTGGGAGGAGGTAAAACAGGCTTGGGATCCTGCAGGCCTGGGTTCCGATTTGGTTTCCACAGCCTGCTAGTTTAACCTTTCTAAGCTTCATTGCTCCCATTTGATGGCTCAGATTCTTCCTCTGTAAAATGCGGACATTCATGCCAATTGGACTGGAGGAGAAGCCACCAAGCACAGTCCCTGACCCAGAGCGAAGCATGTATGTGTTGAGTCCTCCTAATTCGGTGTGAATTTTTCGGTTCTGTTTTTCTCCTATGCTGTCTGCACCAGCTCAGCTCAGCTCCGCTCCCCAGCCTTCTCCGCGGCAGCCTCTTCAGCCTGCTGGCCGCAAGTGCGCCCTCTAAAGGCCCCAAATGCCCTGTACACACCAGGTGAAGAGCGCGGAAGCGCCTGCAGAGCAGAATTAAAGGTGAAGCCCGCACTCACCTGCGTGGGATGCAGAGCCGCTACCACCACGCTCTGCGTAGCTTTGGGGAAGACTGTAATTTCAATTTTAGCTTCGTGCTTCCCGCTTTCCTTATGTGTAATGAGCTCACCACATGCAATGTAATAACAATAGCCAAATTAAAAATGAATGACTTGGCCCAGCGCGGTGGCTCATGCCTGTAATCCCAGCATTTTGGGAGGCCGAGGCGGGTGGATCATCTGAGGTCAGAGTTTCGAGACCAGCCTGGCTAACATGGCGAAACCCCTTCTCTACTAAAGATACTAAAGATGCAGTGGCACACACCTGTAGTCCCAGCTACTCGGGAGGCTGAGGCAGGAGAATCGCTTGAACTCGGGAGGCGGAAGTTGCAGTGAGCCGAGATCTCACCAGTGCACTCCAGCCTGGGCGACAAAGCCATACTCTGTCAAAAAAAAAAAAAAAATGACTTGCTTGTAAAACTTTCTACGCTGCTGTAGAAAATTTAATTTTGTTCTAATATCTGAAACACCCTAGAAGGATCTGTTATTTTCATTTCTGCCTATTATCACGTAAATATGTAGCTGACCCAGTTTCATAGCCTATATATGTTACCCCCCATTTACAATTTCTTTTTCATCGTCTATGAACTCATTTGGGGAGAATGGAAGGCTGACTATTGCTCCCGTAATCTTCCCATTTTCTTATTTCACCCTCTTCATAACGAAGCCCTAATATTTTTTGTCAAGCTTCCAATAGCAAGCTTGCTTAGAGTGGGTTACCTTTTACTTTTTTTTTTTCTTGAGGTAGTCTCGTTCTATCATCCAGGCTAGAGTGCAGTGGCACCATCTCAGCTCACTGCAACCTCCATCTCCCAGGTTCAAGCAATTCTGCTGCCTCAGCCTCCTGCATAGCTGTGAGTATAGGTGCGCACCACCACACTGGCTAATTTTTGTATTTTTAGCAGAGAAGGGATTTCACCATGTTGGCCAGGCTGGTCTCAGACTCCCGACCTCAAGTGATCCATCCCCCTCAGCCTCCCAAAGTGCTGGGATTACAGGCATGAGCCACCGTGTTCTGCCACATTTTACATATTAATCCTTAGCAGAAGCCCCACATTCACTGCCTCAGGGTGCCACATGCATATCGTCATTTTACATGTATGTCAGGATGTAGAAAATGTAAGGGAGCTTGAAGGCCCTATGGTGGTCAAAGACATGGAGCCTAGGGGTACAGATACACCCTCTAAGTTCTCCCTCTCCAGGTGTGGAGTAGGATTATAATACTAAAATTATTCTTATATCTTATATAAATACATATATAATTATACATGTATATAATTATATGAATGCTACAAGCAATCTTGGAGTTGGAGGGATAAACATTTGTTTTTCTGTTGTCTTTTGTTTTCATTAACTAGTTGGTCTAGAAGTTAACCATGAGTAGTCAAAACAGTAATTACTTTTGGAGAGATTTAAGTGTGAAATACAACTGACTCCATTGCTCAGCAGATCTATAGGGGCCTCCTGAGGATCCAAAAGAACTTTTTGGGCCAGGCATGCTGGCTCACGCCTGTAATCCCAGCACTTTGAGAGGCCAAGGCAGGTGGATCACTTGAGGTTAGGAGTTCCAGACCCGCCTGACCAACATGGTGAAACTCCATCTCTACAAAAATACAAAAATTATCTGGCATGGTGGTGCACACCTGAAGTCCCAGCTACTCAGGAGGCTGAGACAGGAGAATCGCTTAAACCTGGAAGGTAGAGGTTGCAATGAGCCGAGATCATGCCACTGCACTCCAGCCTGGACAACAGAGTAAGACTCCATCTCAAAAAAAAAAAGAACTTTTTTACTATATTCTACATGCACCCTTGTGCCTCATGAATAAAATTTGTCCATTAAATGCTATTCAGTGTCACTTATTTATGAACAAACTGGAAATATCAAGAGCAGTTTGTTGGCACCTACATCTCTTCACCCATAAATAATTCAGTAAGAATATAAAGTTCTTATCATTGATTTAGAAAAGTGCTTAATATTTCAACACACGGGCTGAAAAACTATAACTTTTTCCTGTTGTTGTTTGTTTGTTTTGAGATGGAGTTTCACTCTTGTTGCCCAGGCTGGAGTGCAATGGTGCGATCTCGGCTCACTGCAACCTCTGCTTCCCAGGTGCAAGAGATTCTCCTGCTTCAGCCTCCCGAGTAGCTGGGATTACAGGCATGCGCCACCACACCCGGCTAATTTTGTAGTTTTAGTAGAGACAGGGTTTCTCCATGTTGGTCAGGCTGGTCTCACACTCCCGACCTCAGGTGATCCGCCTACCTCGGCCTCCCAAAGTGCTGGGATTACAGGCATAAGCCACCACGCCCGGCCTAAAAAACTCTAACTTTTAAATTTGTATTACTTCAAAGCCTTCCTTGGTTGTAAATGAACTTCAGGAAAATGCCATGTATTGTTGTTTCATCACATTAAACATAGCTGAGCATTTTCCCATGGACAGCAAAATGACATTTTTATGAGCTATTCACACCTTGTGTCAAGCTGCCTGGTTCTCCTGTTTCTGGCTCCTCAGGATTCTGCACACAACAGAGGCAGAGGGAAGACACTCACCAACCATCCCTTCTGAACCCTCTCTGGGCTCATCCACTGGCCCTTTGACAATGCAGCTCTGCACTGCGCTGTAAGCTTTGGAGAGCAAGGGCTGCCCCATCCCTTTCTAGCCCCAAGCAGGCTCAGACATTGGGAAGGGGACAGATACATGCATACACAGACACACACACACACACATACACACACACACACACACACACACAGACAAGGCTGAAACCCAAGACATACTGGAAGACTTCCCAATAGAGGTCATCTTGTTTTGTTTTCTCTTTTACAAGTCAGCCACTAATTTACCTGGAGGTAAGAGGCTGATCCAGACAATATTTTAAAGGTAGCTTTTATTTTCTTATAATACAGGTAATATATATCTATTGAGGAACTTTTTTTTTTTTTTTGAGACAGGGTCTCACTTTGTCTCCCAGGCTGGAGTGCAGTGGCATGATCACAACTCACTGCAGCCTGAACCTCCCAGGCTCAAGCAATTCTCCCACCTCTGCCTCCAGGTAGCTGGGACCACAAGTATGCGCCACCACATGTGCCTGGCTAATTTTTATTTACGGAGATGAGGTCTCACTGTTGTCCAGGCTGGTCTTAAACTCCTGAGCTCAAGTAATCCTCCTACCTCAGCCTCCCAGATTGCTGGGATTACAGGCATGAGCCACCACACCTGGCATATTGAGGAAATTTCTCACCACTAAGATAGTAGAAAGAAGCGGGAAATTACTGGTAAGACCATCATTCAAAGAATAATCTCCATCAACATTTTTCTTTGTTTTGCTCCAGTCTTTTTTCCTATGGATACATGTCTTAGTAGAAATAACAAAGAGATTATTACATATGTCAAAAATAAAGCTGTCTAGGGCTCTTTGAAAATGTACAGGGTCACGCTAAAGTGTGAACTTTATTATTGATGAGAGACCTACATTGTCTAGCTATGCTACAATCAATTGATTTAACAAGTATTCTGATGTTAGATAGTAAAGATGTTTTCAGGGTCTTTTTTCACTGTTTCAGGGTTTCACTATTATAAATTAACTGAATCTTGAAGGATCAACAGAAGAGGTGAGGAGGCTGGAAGGAGAGAGGAGGGGAAGGAGAGAAAATCACACATAATAGCTGGGAGAAGGTGCTGAAGGGACTCCATCCTAATGATAATTCGAAGGGCTGAAGAAATTGGCTTTTTTTTTTTTTTTTTTTTTTTGAGACAGAGTTTCGCTCTTTAACCCAGGCTGGAGTGCAGTGACGTGATCTCACCTCACTACTGCAACCTTCACCCCCACAGCTTCAAACAATTCTCCTACCTCAGCCTCCCAAGTAGCTGGGATTTTAGGCACCTGCCACCATGCCCAACTAATTTTTCTATTTTTAGTAGAGACGGGGTTTACCATGTTGGCCAGGCTGGTCTCGAGCTCCTGACCTCAGGTGATCCACACACCTCAGCCTCCCAAAGTGCTGGGATTACAGGCTTGAACCACTGCGCCGGCCTGGAAATTGGCTTCTGAGATAAACATTTTATCACTCCCAGCAATCTGGATAATGGGAGGTAGCCAGATGTGTGAAGGAGGAAGGACCCAGGCCAAGAGCAGCACTGCACATAGGTGCTGTAGTGGCTGAGGACTGGACAGCTGTTGAGGAGATGGAATAATTTAAAATGTAAAAATAATAATGAGAACAAGGTGTGACAGAAAGAAAGAAGATGATCCCCAGACAGATCCACTAAGTTGCTTCTCCACTGGTACCCTTGGATCCCCTACACTCATTTTTTCCCCCAGTAAACCCTTAGCCAGAACGAATGCTCTAGTCCAGGGGTCAGCAAACTTTTCCTCTAAGTGGTCAGAGTATTTTAGGGTTTTTGGGAAACATAGCCTTTAGAAAGATAAAGTAATCCCAGCACTTTGGGATTGCAAAGCAGGAGGCTTGCTTGAGACTAGGCTGGGCAGCACGGTGAAAGTCCATCTCTACAAGAAATTTTTAAATTAGCCAGTTGTGGTGGCACATGCCTGTAGTACCTGCTACTTGGGAGGCTGAGGCAGAAGGATCACTGGAGCCTGCTAGTTCAAGGCTGCAGTGAGCTATGATTACGCCACTGCACTCCAGCCTGGGTGACAGAGCAAGACCCTGTCTCAAAAAAAAAAAAAAAAAAGGTAAAAACAAACAAAAAATTCTTAACTCAGGTGTGGATAGAAATAGGCTGCAGGCACTGTGCAATTTGCCACAATCTGCTCCTCTCTCCTACCCGTCCACATCAGAACACTCCTGAGAAAAGCTCTACAATTCGAGACTTCTTAGTGCCTTTGACACCCAGAATGGATAGTTTTTTTACATCACCCTCTGCCATGGCAACAAAATGATTTTCAGTAATAATCATGTAATGGTCAGTAATACTCATTATGTTATTGTTCTTCTGTGTTAAAATAATTAAAAGAATATATTTCAATTTTAAAGATAGTGAGCCGGGCAGAGTGCTTCATGCCTGTAATCCCAGCACTTTGAAAGCCGAGGCAGGAGGATCACTTGAGGTCAGGAGTTCAAGACCAGTCTGGCCATCATGGCGAAACCCCGTCTCTAATAAAAATACAAAAATTAGCCAGGTGTGGTGGCACATGCCTGTAGTCCCAGCTACTCAGGAGGCTGAAGCATGAGAATTGCTTGAACCCAGGATGCAGAGGTTGCAGAGAGTCAAAATTACGCCACTGCCCTCCAGCCTGGGTGACAGAGCAACACTCTGTCTCAAAAAAAAAAAAAAAAGATATTGTTCAAATTGAGTAAAACATTTCAAGTATTAATTTAAAATGTCACTTTCCAAACCAAGGTTTTGTACCTCGCAGTCTTCACTGTTTCACTATTTTAAATTGTAAACTAGAATCTCCAAGTGAGTACATAGAGTGACACAAGTGAAGTGACTTGAGATCTGGTTCTTTTTCTGGACAATAGTTGTGCTGGCACAGTTCACCTAGAGTGTTCTGAGAAAGGCGGCAACACATAACACCACAGGGGTTGTGGGTGTGGATTTTGCCAAGTGGGTATTGTTTTGCCAACAATTCTGAACTCTTAGGGGCTTCCTCTCCCAAATAATGTGTGTAGCTGGGACTACACATGTGCCAGGGTCAACTGTAAAACCAGGAGTTCTTGAAATAACTTCCATGTAGAATACAATGTTTACAAAAGGATGAGAAATTAGAACCAGCTAATTTGAAGCATACATATACATAATTAAAATTCAACATAATTGGAACTTAGACCAGCTAAACATTTTTTCAGTGTAATTGTCTAGAATTGCTGGCATGTAGTGATGATTTAGAAAGCAGACCAACTTTTAGTTGTTTGTTGTTTTTAAGTCCTCCAGCTTATTGCAAGCTCCGGGGCAGAGTGCTCCCTGGCTCTGTCCTTGGTGCTCCATGGCCATAGCTGGGCAGTGGGACCCTGCAGGGCTCAACTTGACCTTTGGAACTGCCCAGCAATCATTTCCACTTGTTGTAGGCAACAGTCTTTTCCATTATTCTGAGCATTAAGTCTCCTACACAACCTCTGCCCTCCTCATTCTCAGCCGATAACCTAACTTCCTGCTTCACCAAAGAAATTAAACCATCAGATGTGGTTTTCCATCCCACTACCATCATAGGTTCATCCACCCCCTCCTTCCTCCAGACTCAGAGGATGGGTCTCTCTTCCTAATAAAGACCAATCTGTTTCACCATCTCCAGGATTAGTCATTATCATCATAATATCTCTCTCTCTCCACCCCCGACTCCTGCTCCTTATCCTCAGTCTTTATACACACACTTAATTCTCATCCCCTCCCCCCAAAAAAAACCATGAAAAATGAAACAGGCCAGGCACAGTGGCTCACACCTGTAATACCAGCATTTTGGGAGGCTGAGGCAGGAGGATCGCTTGAAGCCAGGAGTTCAAGACCAGCTTGGGCAACATAGTGAGATCCTGTCTCTCCATACATACATACATACATATATACATATGAAAATTAGCTAGGCATGGTGGCATGTACCTGTAGTCCCAGTTATTCAGGAGGCTGAAGTGGGAGATCCCTTGAGCCCAGGAGTTCAAGACTGCAGTGAGCTATGATCACACCACTGCACTCCAGCCTGGGTGACAGAGCAAGACCCTGTCTCAGGAAAACAAACAAACAAAAGAGGAGCTAGCATCCTCTAGCTCCATCTAGCCTCCCTCCTCTCATTCAAACATCTTGAGAGATAGATCTATGCAAAGTACCCATCTCATTATGTCCAATGGCTGTTCATTATGTACAAGATAAACTACAAGCTCCTTATTTGGCTCACAAGGGCCTTGCATGATCTAGCTCCTGCCTACCTGATAACCTCACCTGGTGACCTGTATGTCACCACAGTATCTATTCAAACTCCTTAGTCTGATACCCTATTTTTGAAGTAATTTTCTAGTAACTAATTAAGTTCCCTGTGTAAATACTAGGAATGGGGTTGGGTGGAGGGGAGTAAAGTATGAGTCTTGTATAATGAGACATAAGTACCACCATTATTAGAAAGCTATGTCTTTCATTGTAATCAATTGGACTTATCAGTCTCTCCTGAGCTGGGTTAGTATGAGCCAGACCCCCTGAGGCTAATCCACTCTGGCTGCACTGAACAAATTAACACTTGCACCCACAAAAACTGAGAACCAGATCCTCTGCTAGGGACCCCACCAAGGTGAAGCTACACTGAAAGGCTGCCTGAAGCCAGATCTTCCTTCTTTGACATCTTTCTTGTCACCTGTCAGTATCCATCTCTATAAGGGAGACAGGGTATGGGCTTTGGAGTCAGGACTAACTGGGGTCAAATCCTAGTTTCCCAATTGACCATACTAAATACAGGCCTTAGAAAATCACCTTACTTCTCTGAGTCTATTCCCAAGATTGTAATACCTATATATGTGATGGCTGTAAGATGAAACAGGTTTCATAGAAGCACTTGCTCCTGGGAAACAGTAAGGAGTGTTTTCAAATCTGTATGGTGACAAAGATTAACCTGAAGATCAGATGTGATACTGGAGCCACTTTGACCCTGATGGGGAGGTAGAGCTGCACAAAGAAGATGAAGATATTTTTCCTTTTGATGTTCCATGAAATTATTTGTTATATGTATTTCAGAAAAATCTTGGAAAATGTATACCAGTCATGAAGATATTGGGTATGATTTTGAAGATGGCCCCAAAGACAAAAAGACACTGAAGCCCCACCCAAACATTGATGGCGGATGGGCTTGGATGATGGTGCTCTCCTCTTTCTTTGTGCACATCCTCATCATGGGCTCCCAGATGGCCCTGGGTGTCCTCAACGTGGAATGGCTGGAAGAATTCCACCAGAGCCGCGGCCTGACCGCCTGGGTCAGCTCCCTCAGCATGGGCATCACCTTGATAGTGGGTATGTTCATGTGTGACCTGTCGTAAAACTGAATCGTTATCAAATGACAATTCCCCACTGTAAGTGATGTTTTATATTGTTGTAACATTCGATATTGGATGTTACTAGCTACTATTTTTCAATTGTGATAAAATATGCATAACATAAAATTTACCATTTTAGGCCAGGCACGGTGACTCACACCTGTAATCCCAGCACTTTGGGAGGCCAAGTTGGGTGGATCAGTTGAGGTCGGATGTTCGAGATCAGCCTGGCCAACATGGCAAAACCCTGTCTCTACTAAAAATATAAAAATTAGCCAGGTATGGTGGCATGTGCCTGTAATCCCAGCTACTCGGGAGGCTGAAGCAGGAGAATTGCTTGAACCTGGGAGGTGGAGGTTGCAGTGAGCTGAGATTGTGCCATTGCATACCAGCCTGAGAGACAAAGTGAGACTCCCTTTCAAAAAAAAAAAATAATTTTACCATTTTAAGCATTTTGAGTCCCATTAAGTACGCTCATATTTTTTCACAACCATCACCACCATCCATCTTTAGAACTTTTTTTCATCTTCCCAAACGGAAACTGTATTCAATAAACATGAATTCCCCATTCCCATCTTCCCTCACCCCTGGCCACCACCACTCTACTGTCTGTCTCTATGAATTTGACTATTATTCTAGGTACCTCATGTAAGTGAAATTATGCAATATTTGTCCTCTTGTCTCTTGTGTGATATAACAATTTAAATATTTTAAACATTTGGAGTATTTTAAAAATTGATCATTTTGGCTGGTCCAGTGGTAGTGGATTATCAGAACTTATTAATATTAGTGTCACTAAAGTTGGTATACAACCCCTGACTGCTAAATTTAACTGGCTTTAAAAAAAAAAAAACTGTCATTTAAAAAACTTTATTTAGACCCAAACTCTGTTTGCCTAACCATTATAATTCATTATGTACCATTATAAATCTCTGCTTGTTTAACATTTATGAATACTTTTAAAGGTAAAAATTTTAGATAAAACACTATAAAAGTCCAGTAACAATCTCATTTCAGAGTTCTGATATATTTTTTTTTTTTTAAGACAGAGTCTTGCTCTGTCTCCCAGGCTGGAGCACAGTGGCACAATCTGGGCTCACTGCAACCTCGGCCATCCAGGTTCAAGGTATTCTCCTGCCTCAGCCTCCCTAGTAGCTGGGACTACAGGCACCCACTACCACGCCCGGCTAATTTTTTTGTATTTTTAGTAAAGATGAGGTTTCACCATGTTGGCCAGGCTGGTCTTAAACTCCTGACCTCAAGTGATCCACCTGCCTTGGCCTCCCAAATTGCTGGGATTACAGGCATGAGCCACCATGCCCAGCCTGAGTTCTGATGTTTTCAATTTGAAATATTATTGATTTTTCATTATTGAAAAATCTTCTAAACTGTTTCTAGAAAGCTTACTGATATATAGCTAACAGAAAGGAATAACAATATATTCTTGTATTTTCTTTTTTTTTCTTTTGAAATGGGGTTTCTCCATGTTGCCCAGGCTGGTCTCGAACTCCTGGCCTCAAGAGATCTGACCACCTCAGCCTCCCAAAGTCCTGGAATTACAGGCCTGAGCCACTGCATCTGGCTGCATTTTCTTTTTTTAAAAAATTGTTTAACATGGGAACATAGATTCAAGTTTTCCTGAATATACACTCCCTATTCTTCTATTTTCTAGTTAAACCTAACCACACAGCAATCTATGAAGTCAAATCTTATACAGCTGGAGATACTAAACCTGGGAAGTTATTATAAATATAATGCTATGATGGCTAATGTGTTTCAGTTTGAAAATGAAATAACTCTTACTGTCAATTAATATTGAATAAGCATCTATGATATACTAGGGGCTTTCCCTTACATTATCTCATTTAATTTTATTTCCTTCCCTTAACAATGCTCTGAGATAACCACCACTATGACGTTTTTCAGTTGTTTCACTTAAAGGTGAAAGCCATATATTTATATCTAATTGTCTGAATTTAAAATATTTATAATATATTTTATACTGGAAACATAAACGGCCTCTAATCTTTTTCGGTTTTGTGCGAGTATGCATATGCCAGGCCAATGTGTGTCTGATTGGAATCTGTGCCTTTTCAGTGATTCCCAATTAGTAATTAATTGCTCGAATGCAATTCAGAGACTTGTTGATCTTGGCTGGCATTCAACTCTTTTTTTTTTTTTTTTTTTTTTTACTTTTTGTAGAAACAGGGTGTCACTCTGTTGCCCAGGGTGGAGTGCAGTAGCACAATCGTAACTCACTGCAGCCTCGAACACCTGGGCTCAAGCGATCCTCCCACCTCAGCTTCCTGAGTAGCTAAAACTACAGGCATATGCTACCATGCCCTGCTGATTTTTAAAACTTTTTGGTAGAGATGGGGCCTTGTCATATTGCCCAGGTTGATCTCAAACTCCTGGCTTTAAGAGATCCTCCTGCCTCAGCCTCTCAAAGTGCTGGGATTACAGGTGTGAGCCACTCCACCAGCAATGTTATTTTTGATAATACAAACAATATTAAAGCCAGGCACGGTGGTTCACGTCTATAATCCCAGCACTTCGGGAGGCTGAGGCGAGCGGATCACCTGAAGTCAGGAATCTGAGACCAGCCTGGCCAACATGGTGAAACCCTGCCTTTACTAAAGATACAAAAAATTAGCCAGGCATGGTGGCAAACGCCTGTAGTCCCAGCTACTCGGGAGGCTGAGGCAGGAGAATTGCTTGAACCCAGGAGGCAGAGGTTGCAGTCAGCCGAGATGGCGCCACTGCACTCCAGCCTGGGCAACAGAGTGAGACTACGTCTCAAAAAAAAAAAAAAAAAAAACACCAATATTAGTAACAATGGTAGTCCTAATGATAGACAACAAGGACAAAGTGTTATTTCTCAAGTTGTGTGGCACATGTGTGTGCAAGTGTGTATGTTTACTGGAAGGGAATTAATACGGATAGTTTTAAAATTAAATAAAGGCACCATTATGTATGTCAGAAAATTACTGATAAATCATTTTTGTCTGTAACATTGTTGAACTGACTTCTTCAAATCTGCATTGTTTTGTTAAACTAGGACTGTTTGTCATAGGAAACACGCAGGTAGGTTTATTTCAGTGTCGGGCTTCAAGTTTTACGTCAGTTGTAATTCTACTTTTCTCAATAAGTTAGTAAAGGAAAACTGTGTTTCTAGAACACTTAAAATCCAGCTTTCTTTCTTTTTTAAAAATATATTTGTAAGGGGTTAAACAAAACACATGTAGATTTAATCTTGGAAGTGTATGCACGCAGTAACATCAAAAAAAGACTCAGAAGAAGGCCAGGATATGAAATGTCCCAATATTTTCCAAACCATCCAATAAGTTGGTCTTAGATATTATGTTTCATAAGTCCTATGAAAATAAGCAACAGAAACTAGTTCTGAAATTATTGGATATGGTTTTAAAGATGATCCCCAAAATAAGAACCCCTAACTCATGGTGAAATGTGATGGTCATACTTAATTTAATTGACAGGTAACTGTGTGTTCAGAATTTTGTTTGAGAGTCCCTGAATTCCAGACTGTGGAATTTCAGATTTTAGACTAATCTTTCTACAGGGAAAGCTGCCTGCCAGATAAACATTTTTTGCTGAGTTTCAGAAATCATAACATAACACAGCAGGCCTCATAGTTATATAAATGAAAGGTCTTTTATTCTATCTATTTACCTAAAATTATTGTCCATTATCCCAAGCTTCCTGGTACAGGGTGGCTGCAGATTTGTTGAGCAGCCTCAGGGAAGCTTTCCAAGCCAGAAACGCGCAGTAACAGCTCTCCTTTATTTAGCACGCACTGCATGCCACATGCACGTTAATGTACATGATCTCATTTGATCCTACAACACTGGAGGCCAGACCATTGTCTGTATCTTACAGAGGAAGAATATGCAACACTCAGAGACATTAAGTAACTTACTGAAGGTTGAACAGCCAGTAAGTGTAGAACTGGCTTTAAACCTGGTCCATGGGACTCCAAAATTGTGTCTACTATGACACTGCCTGCCATTACATCAAATGAGAACTGAAAACATACTTGAAATGAATAATACAAATGGTTTTTACGTTCTAATCATTGTAAGCACATTTGGGCTACCTGTTAAATTTAGAAAGGTCCGTGGTTTTTTCTTTTTTTCTTCTTCTTTTTTTTTTTTTTCTGAGATGGAGTCTCGCTCTGTCGCCCAGGCTGGAGTGCAGTGGCACGATCTCGGCTCACTGCAACCTCTGCCTCCTGGGTTCCAGCGATTCTCCTGCCTCAGCCCCATGAGTAGCATGAATTCATCACCATCCTGCAGAAGGTCCCAACTTTTAATAAAACGTAATCACCTCATTTGTATTGTAAACCACAAAATATCTGAGACTGGTCTCAATCAATCCGGAAGTTAATTTAGCCAAGGGTAGGGAGGTGCCCAGAAGAAATAAACACAGAATCACAGAAACAGTCTGTTACCTGTGCCTTTCTCCAAAGATGATTTTGAGGACTTCAACATTTAAAGGGGAAAAGGGGGCTGGAGGAGAAAGGGAGGGTACAGTCATCCACGTGTTGCAAGAGAAAAGGTGCAGATAGGGGAATCATCAATTTTGTATTCATCTCACACTCAGTAAATCAGCACTTTTACATAAAATAAGGTGAACATAGAGTAGCTACCTGTGGAGCTATATAACCCTTTCTCTGTGACTAACTGCTTAGGAATAAAAGGAAAGGCAGTTGCTTGCATGACTCAGCTTTCAGCTTAATTTTTTTCTTTTGGCAGAGTGAATTGGGGTGCCAAGTCTGTATTTTCTTTTCACAGTATCTACAGCAGCCTTTGTGAGGCTAGCTCTGAATCATTCTTGGGGGATGCCCTATTGTTGGGGGAATCCACAGGCTACACAAGATAAATGACTTGCTAAATCACTTTATAGCAGTGATTGTCAATCTTGATTGCACATCAGATCCACCTGGGGAGCTTTAACTTCCCCCCCCACCTCAGGCTGCACCTGGGATGGGCTCCAAGTATCAGGATTTTTTTTTAAGCTCCTAAGCAACACCACTGTTCAGCTAAGGCAAACAGTTCATTGATTTAGAGGCTCCTAACTCTTTACTATGGTGAGGGGTTACCCTAAGAGACCTGGAGTTCAAAGCATCTGTAACCATCCCTGAGAACTGCCAAGGCTCACCTGTGATTGCTCCTCTACCAGCGCTTTTTTCCAACCTGTCAGCTGCCAGGATGGGTCAATAAAATATAACTTCCTGAGGGTGTTCCCCACAGCAGTGGGACACTTTTTTTTTTAGATGAAGTCGCACTCTGTCACCCAGGCTGGAGTGCGGTGGTGCGATCTCAGCTCACTGCAACCTCTGCTGCCCAGGTTCAAGCGATTCTCCTGCCTCAGCCTCCCAAGTAGCTGGCATTACAGGCATCTGCCACCACACCTGGCTAATTTTTGTAGCTGTAGTAGAAACGGGGTTTCACCGTCTTGTCCAGGCTTGTCTTGAACTCCTGACCTCGTGATCCACCCACCTCGGCCTCCCAAAGTGCTGAGATTACAGGTGTGAACCACCACACCTGGCCAGGACACTTTATTACAGTGGGAAATGGTCCAAGATTCAGATTTCTTCTGAAAATGAAAAAGTCAGATAATGTGAATAATCTCATCCTAAAACACTGAATTACTCTATAAAAGTGTGAGTCATGGTCAAAGGATTGTATCTCAATTGTATGATTCCCCCTTCTCCTTAGATTGTGAGGGGACTTCTTTTATTTTCTGGAAATGGTGGTTTGATTTTGGCAATGCTAGTGGACCATCAGTAAACAGTGGGTAGAAAATGAAACTCAGCTGGCACAGTGGCTCACATAATCCCAGCACTTTTGGAGACTGAGGCGGGTGGATCACCTGAGGTCAGCAGTTTGAGACCAGCCTAGCCAACATGGTGAAACCCTGTCTCTACTAAAAATACAAAAAATTAGCTGGGCATGGTGACAAGCACCTGTAATCCCAGCTACTCAGGAGGCTGAGGCAGGAGAATCGCTGGAATCCAGGAGGCAGAGGTTGCAGTGAGCCGAGATGGCACCACTGCACTCCAGCCTGGGCAACAAGCGTGAAACTCTGTCTCAAAAAAGAAAGAAAGAAAGAGAGAGAGAAAGAAAGGGAAGGAAGGGGGGGAGGAGGGAGGAAACTGAGAGTCAAAAAGCTTGGGTTTTTATTTTTTTTTCAATGTACATATATTTTATAACCATGGAGAAGTCACAGCATTTCTGGGTCTCGCTTGGCTCATCTGCAAATCATAAATGACTGAAGCCCCAGCATGCGAGAGTTGATTAAGTTGTAACAGTGCCTGGCTGTTTAGTTAATGTTTTTAGCAGTTAAATAGTTATACTTTTTTAAATTTATAAAATTCCTCCAGACATGAATATTTGCACTGAGTTTGGAATTTTCTCCCTTTTTTTTTTCTCAAACGCCTTTTTAATGTAATGTTTCATAAAGCACCTCAGAAAAATTTGCTTCTGGGCCCTTTCTGTGAAGTGGAAAATATGATTGTGCTACTGAACTGTGATCTGTTGACCTTTGAAAAGGCTACAAACAGCAAACTGACAAGTCATGCATTTTTCTTTTTTTTACCCACTCATCCAAGCTAGGCATAGTCAAGTAACCATGGGTTTAGAAAAACAAAAATAAAAATGTGTAAAGAAATCAGACAAGTATCTCTAACTTACGGTATGTGAATTTCAGTTAACCCCAGTAATTCCATCAGATTTTTTATCAGTGCATTTATTTTATATATTATTTCTATAATGTGCATATTTAATAACAAATAACATTTATATAAAGTATGTTTAGGCCGGGCGCGGTGGCTCACGCCTGTAATCCCAGCACTTTGGGAGGCCGAGACGGGCGGATCACGAGGTCAGGAGATCGAGACCATCCTGGCTAACACGGTGAAACCCCGTCTCTACTAAAAATACAAAAATTAGCCAGGCATGGTGGCGTGCGCCTGTAGTCCCAGCTACACGGGAGGCTGAGGCAGGAGAATGGCGCGAACCCGGGAGGCGGAGCTTGCAGTGAGTCGAGATCGCGCCACTGCACTCCAGCCTGGGCAACAGAGCTAAACTCCGTCTCAAAAAAAAAAAAAAAAAGTATGTTTAATATATTAAGTCTATTCTAAGGAGTTAATTTACTGAATTATTTCCTGTAATGCAACAGAGTTAATTAAATTAATAAGTCTTCACCTTCATAGTTTTTAGGATTAGGCACCCACAAAACCACTAGACAAAATAAACTCATTAGCTGACTGTACCCAGATATACACATGAATATAGTTAGAACTTTAAAGGAAACTTTATTTCAGTTTAAGCCAAAAGGGAAGCTCTTTAAACAAGTTTTTAATATAGTTCATCTGCATATAAGGTTTCATAACTTTGTAATGATCAAAAATAAGATAATTAAAATATGCCATCTTACTGAATATTGAGTACTAGCTCATATAAATCTGGATTCCTATTTAAACAAGGAATCATTGATCACAAGATAAGCTTTCAGCTTCAGTGACATCAGAAATTACTACAAAATCAGGAGGAGAATAAAGAAGGTTGACAATTAAGAACTAGAAAGTCAGCCAGGTGCCATGGCTCAAGCCTGTCATCCCAGCACTTTGGGAGGCCAAGGCAGACAGATCCCTTGAGCCTAGAAATTCTAGACCAGCCTGAACAACACGGCGAAACCCTATCTCTATAAAAAATACAAAATTAGCAGGACATGATAGCACAAGCCTCTAGGCCCAGCTACTTAGGAGGCTGAGATGGGAGGATCGCTTGATCCCAGGGAGGTGAAGGCTGCAGTGAGCCGTGATCACACCACTGAACTCTAGCTTGGATGACACAGTGAGACCCTGTATCAAAACAAAAACAAGAAAACAAAACAAAACTAGAAAGTCAGCGTAAAGGAAACAATCAGAATGCGTCTCATAAAATACTGTGCTGCTGTGAGTGTTGTCACATTTTACACAATGGAAATGGATTCCCGAATCTCCATAGCCTGATAGGTCTGGTCAGAGACTGTGCACACCAGCCGGGATGGGAGTCTGTATGAAGTGATGACAACTAGCTCTTTTCAGCTTGGTTTCAATCTGGGTATCCTCATGAAAACAGGCTATTAGTTTTCTGCCTGAAGCCCAGGAGTTCTGAAGACTCCCTTCCTGTACTCCCTTTTGGTCTCAGTTTCCTTATCTGCAAAATGGGTATAATGAAGAGAGCTTAGTTTACATGGTTGTTAAACCATTAAATGACATAATTTGTATAAAGCACTTAGCAAAGTGCTCAGTAAATGTTAGCTAACAGGTAAATATGGTTATATAGATACCTATGTAAAACATATAAGCTTAAGTATGTATCTTTTGATAGGAGGAGAAGGTGAACATAATAACCTACCGTCCATATAAATCCCCAAGTTGCTTCTTGGAATATATGTCTGTACACAGACACACACATAAAGCACTTCTGTATCCTTGAAGCATAGTTTAAAAACCATTGATTGAAGGACCCGATAACAGTTCTTTTTTTCCCTCATTATACATAATACATTTTTAATATTTCTATTTTAGTCAAAAACTGAAATGTCTTTCTATTTGGAAAGAAGCCAAAGAAATAATGTAATTGAGGCCAGGTTTAAGACCAGAGGGAAGGATAGAGACTGCAGCAAACTGGAAGGGGTGTGTCCCAGTCAAACGGGCTCAGCCACTGCACAGCTCCAACTAACTTTGGTCCTGTGGGAAGGTAGTCTGTGTTGCCACTGGACTTTTTGTGAATCCTCTTAATTTTTAAACATTGGCAACTAATTCCAGACATTTTTTAGACTTTGTATGGGATCGACAAAATGTATCCACAGGCTAGAGATAGCTCCTAGACCACTGGTTTTCTTGTAGATGAAAGAATGAATGTCTATTTATTTCAGGTCTGCCTTTCCTGAAAATCCAGAACCTTGTGCTCTCTGATGAAATTACTTAAAATCATCTTTGCATGCTAAAAATGTTTGGCATATAAAGCAATGGGGGCTTTTTGTGTCATTTAACAGCTCTAGTGACATTTTATTCTTTGTCTTCACATGAAGATTTATGAGAAAGAATAAAACGGAAGCACCTTTAGTCAATTCCTTTTCCAATGCTCTGTGACAGGCCCTTTCATCGGCTTGTTCATTAACACCTGTGGGTGCCGCCAGACTGCGATCATTGGAGGGCTCGTCAACTCCCTGGGCTGGGTGTTGAGTGCCTATGCTGCAAACGTGCATTATCTCTTCATTACTTTTGGAGTCGCAGCTGGTAAGCATGTGGCTTTTTTTAAACTCGATTTTAAATGTTTTATAAGACATCTTGGCAGTGGATTTAATTGTGGAGAAAAGAGACACATTAAAACATTCTGTTCTGTTTCCTCCCCCCCACTTCACCCCAACCCCTCCCTACACTCCTGGAAATACATTTTAACATTACATTTTAATATGCCTTAAGTGGGGGGAGCCCACCTAACAGCAAAACTTGGCCTGCCTAAGAGAATCAAATTATATTTCCATATGCCTGGTTCTAAATGCCAATGCTATCTCCAGTGAGGAATAGGAAAAGGAAGGCAGTAACGTTGACTTAGGTGAATGGACCAAAGATTAAGGAAATTACATCAGTGTGGTGTGGGAAATAAGCTAAATAATAGGCCAGGGGCAGTAGCTCACGCCTGTAATCCCAACACTTTGGAAGGCCAAGGTGGGCAGATCACTTGAGGCCAGGAGTTCGAGACCAGCCTGGCCAACATGGTGAAACCCCGTCTCTACTGAAAATACAAAAAAAAAAAAAAATTAGCCAAGTGCGGTGGCACCTGCCTGTAATCCCAGCTCCTCAGCAGGCTAAGATATGAGAATAGTTTTAACCCAGGAGGCAGAGGTTGCTGTGAGCCAAGATTGCACCACTGCACTCCAGTCTGGTTGACAGAGTAAGACTCTGTCTCAATAATAATAATAATAATAATAATAATAATAATAAAGCCTCCTGTGTGAAAATAGAAAAGAAAAAACATAAATACATAAGTAAATATTTTAAAAAAGATTAAGGAAACCAATAACGTTCATTTACTCTTTAATAATCATTTGTTTTTTTTTTTTTTTTTTTTTTGAGATGGAGTTTCACTCTTGTTGCCCAGGCTGGAGTATAATGGCACAATCTTGGCTCACTGCAACCTCCGCCTCCTGGGTTCAAGCAATTCTCCCACCTCAGTCTCCCAAGTAGCTGGGATTACAGGCATGCACCACCATGCCCAGCTAATTTTGTATTTTTAGTAGAGACAGGGTTTCTCCATGTTGGTCAGGCTGGTCTCGAACTCCCAACCTCAGGTGATCCACCTGCCTTAGCCTCCCAAAGTGCTGGGATTACAGGTGTCAGCCACAGCACCCGGCCTTATAATAATTTACTCTTTTAGCCCTGTTCAAATTCATAAAATAGCATAAACCACACATATATGTAGAGACGAAGAAGCAAATCTAGAGTACAGTTAGGTTGTCATTCCCAGTGAACAGGTTAATATTGGCTGCCAGCCACCACAATCTGCATATCCATTATGCAAAATATATTCCCAGCCACAATTTCCTTTATCAGCAGGTAGTGTGATTCACACAGATGAGTAATTACTTGTACAATTGCATTTTAAATAAACTGAATCCAGCTTGACACTCTTTTTGAGTACAGAGCTACAATGAATGCGTTAGCATAAGAGTTAAAAGTGAGCTTGGAATTCTGGCTTTTCTTTTTTCATTATTATTACCTGTGTGACTTTGGGCAAGTTATTTAACCTACTTATACCTCAGTTTCCTTACCTGCAAAATGGGTATAATGAAGAGAGCTTAGTTTACATGGTTGTTGAAATGATTAAATGACATAATTTGTATAAAGCACTTAGCAAAGTGCTCAGTAAATGTTAGCTAATAGGTAAATATGGTTATATATATAAAACATACGAGCTGAAGTATGTATCTTTTGACAGGAGGAGAAGGTGAACATAATAACCTACTGTCCATATAAATCTGCAAGTTGCTTCTTGTAATATATATCTATACACATACACACATAAAGCACTTCTGTATCCTTTGAAGCATAGTTTAAAAACCATTGATTGAAGGACCTGATAACAGTTCTCTTTTTCCCTTATTATACATAATACATTTTTGATATTTCTATTTTAGTCGTAATTGACAATGGTAAATATTTGTGGAGTCAAATGTGATGTTCTGATACATGTATATATTGTAGAATGATTGAATAAGGCTAATTGACATATCCATCACCTCACATACTTGTGATGAGAACATTTAAAATCTACATTTAGCAATTTGAAAAATATAGAATACATTAGTACTAACTACAGTCACCATATTGTACAACAGATCACTAGAACATATTCCTCTGGTTAAAACAGTTCTTTAAAAATGTCAGATGTTGGCCAGGAGCAGTGGCTCCCACCTGTAATCCGAGCACTTTGAGAGGCCAAAGCAGGTGAATTGCGTGAGCCCAGGAGTTTGAGACCAGCTTGGGCAACATGGTGAAACCACGTGTCTACAAAAAAAATACAAAAATTAGCCACACACGGTGATAGTCCCAGTTACTTGGGAGACTGAGGTGAGAGGATCATCTGAGCCTGGGGAGTTCGAGGACGCAATGAGCTGTGATCGCACCATTGCATTCCAGCCTGGGCAACAGAGTGAGTCCCTGTCTCAAAAAAAAAAAAAAAAAAAAAAGAAGTCAGATATTTTCCCTGAGTACATTAGAAACTCTTCCCTATAATAGTCCCGTGAATAGGGCTAGCAGTGGGATTTTTGTGTTATAGGCGAGGAAATAAACACTCCTTTTGCTGAGACTAAAGAGCCAGGTTGGGGTCTCTGGACACATAGTGCAATCAAGGGAGGCTTAAGACAGCAGAGGCCCTCAGAGAAGACGTTCATTCTCCCAGCTACTTGCTAAGCACGTGCCATGTGATCTGGGCAGTCCTGGGCACACCAGTGGTGAAAATACATGGTCCTGCCTGCCTGCCTGGAGCTTCTATTTTTCTGATGGGAGAATGCTGCTCCATTTTGTTATTGGAGGAACTTGTGCAGCAAAGCCTGTTGGGGAAAATGGCGGGCTAGAAACCTGCTTGGGTGGATGGTCTTTCTGCTGCTTATCCCTGGGAGCTGCTTTTTAAATAATCAGTGTTATTGCTTTGTTAGAAATAAAAAGCATAAATAGATGCTAATTAAGGAAATGCAGGTGATCTTTGCTGCGAATTCTGGATATGGCCACTGATGTTGCACTGTGTCTTTTCTTCCCCCCGTCGGCCTGTACAGGCCTGGGCAGCGGGATGGCCTACCTGCCAGCGGTGGTCATGGTGGGCAGGTATTTCCAGAAGAGACGCGCCCTCGCCCAGGGCCTCAGCACCACGGGGACCGGATTCGGTACGTTCCTAATGACTGTGCTGCTGAAGTACCTGTGCGCAGAGTACGGCTGGAGGAATGCCATGTTGATCCAAGGTGCCGTTTCCCTAAACCTGTGTGTTTGTGGGGCGCTCATGAGGCCCCTCTCTCCTGGTAAAAACCCAAACGACCCAGGAGAGAAAGATGTGCGTGGCCTGCCAGCGCACTCCACAGAATCTGTGAAGTCAACTGGACAGCAGGGAAGAACAGAAGAGAAGGATGGTGGGCTCGGGAACGAGGAGACCCTCTGCGACCTGCAAGCCCAGGAGTGCCCCGATCAGGCCGGGCACAGGAAGAACATGTGTGCCCTCCGGATTCTGAAGACTGTCAGCTGGCTCACCATGAGAGTCAGGAAGGGCTTCGAGGACTGGTATTCGGGCTACTTTGGGACAGCCTCTCTATTTACAAATCGAATGTTTGTAGCCTTTATTTTCTGGGCTTTGTTTGCATACAGCAGCTTTGTCATCCCCTTCATTCACCTCCCAGAAATCGTCAATTTGTATAACTTATCGGAGCAAAACGACGTTTTCCCTCTGACGTCAATTATAGCAATAGTTCACATCTTTGGAAAAGTGATCCTGGGCGTCATAGCCGACTTGCCTTGCATTAGTGTTTGGAATGTCTTCCTGTTGGCCAACTTCACCCTTGTCCTCAGTATTTTTATTCTGCCGTTGATGCACACGTACGCTGGCCTGGCGGTCATCTGTGCGCTGATAGGGTTTTCCAGTGGTTATTTCTCCCTAATGCCCGTAGTGACTGAAGACTTGGTTGGCATTGAACACCTGGCCAATGCCTACGGCATCATCATCTGTGCTAATGGCATCTCTGCATTGCTGGGACCACCTTTTGCAGGTAAACTCTCTGAGGTTTTAAGAGCTCAGAGTGCATGTACATATGGTGCGTTATGTTATAAAGTCCCAGATAAAGAAGAAGGTTTCCATTTGTGTACATTTTCCTTTTATCTTCCCATTCCTGCCCTTTACTTTCTCATTTATACATTTTAGCAAGTTAAAGCCTATTCTTTCTTTTTTTTTTTCAAGACGGAGTCTCGCTCTATCGCCCCAGCTGGAGTGCAGTGGTGCGCTCTCAGCTCACTGCAACCTCTACCTCCCAGGTTCAAGTGATTCTCCTGCCTTAGCCTCCCATGTAGCTGGAATTACAGGTGTGCACCACCACGCCCGGCTAATTTTTTATGTTTTTGGTAGACATGGGGGTTTCACCATGTTGGCCAGGATGGCCTTGAACTTCTGACCTCGAGTGATCCACCTGCCTCAGCCTTCCAAAGTGGTGGGATTACAGGCATGAGCCACCACGCCTGGCCAAGGCCATTCTTTTATGTAGAATATAGATGAAATGCAGATGAACTTTTGATCCTATCCACATGATAAAGCAGCCAGGCTGGTAGAGTGAGGAAATAAAGTGGATGGGGTGATGGAATACTGACGGGCTCCTTACCCATTTGAAGGTGGCCTCTGGGCAGTTCCAGCTGATTTTTGTCACCAAGAAATACTGAGAATTGTTGCCAGATCTTCTGTTGTTGTTTCCCCCCAAGGGAAGCTAAGAATCTGTACTGTTAGGTAGCACTAACAGATTTCCAAAACACCATGTGGCAGGTGCAACAGAACACATCCATGGACTTGATCCAGCCCTACATTCGCTTCCTATTGTTGCGATAATAAGTTGCCAGAAACTTATGGTGGCTTAAAACAATACAGATTGGCCAGGAGTGGTAGCTCACACCTGTAATTCCAGTACTTTGGGAGGCCGAGGCAGGAGGATCACTTGAGCTCAGGAGTTCAAGACCAGCCTGGGCAATACAGCGAAACCCCATCTACACACACACACACACACACACACATACACACACACACACACACACACACACACACACAAATACAGACTTATTATCTTACTGTTCTGGAGGTCAGCAGAGCTGAATTCCTTCTTGAGGCTTTAGGGGGGAATTTGTTTCCTTGTCTTTTCCAGCATCTGGAGGCCACTTTCATTCTTTGGCGCGTGCCCTCTTGCTCCATCTTCTAAGCCAGCAGTGTAACTCACGTCTTCCCACTTCTCTCTGATTCAGACTCCCTGCCACCTCCTTTCACTTTTTTTTTTTTTTGAGACGGAATCTCCCTCTGTCACCCAAGCTGGAGTGCAGTGGCGTGATCTCAGCTTAACGCAACCTCCGCCTCCCAAGTTCAAGCAATTATCCTGCCTCAGCCTCCTGAGTAGCTGGGATTACAGGTGTGCGCCACCATGCCCAGCTAATTTTTTTTTTTTTTTTTAAGTAGAGACGGGGTTTCACCATATTGGCCAGGCTGGTCTCGAACTCCTGACCTTGTGATCCCTCCTGCCTCGGCCTCCCAAAGTGCTGGGATTACAGGCATGAGCCACCATGCCCAGCCACCTCCTTTCACTTATAAGGGTGTCTATGATTACATTGGGCTCACCTGGGAAATCCAGGCTCATCTCCCCAGCCCAGGTCCTAAATTAATCACACCTGCAATGTCCCTTTTGCCCTATTAGGTCACATATTCACTGGGTCCAGAAATTAGGACTTCGGTGTTTTGGGGGGTGGGAGCATTCTGCCTACCACAGGCCCGGAGGCCACTAGTTGGCAACATCTAGGATACATTCTCTGTCATGTATTCCCTTCATTTGCAAGAAGCAAATTAACCAGAGAACTTGGTATTCAGGCATAGCAGAAGCCGTGAGTACCAAGGAATCTTGTGTCTGGGCCAGTGCCTTCGTGGAAAGGCAAGTCAGGTTTGGGCAGATAGACTCATGCCCCAAGACACCAGGTACTGTGTGAAGATAACGAGGTCTGTCTTCTGTCCAAGAACTGGAGACAGGAGTCTGCATAGCATGGCAGAGGCTGGGGCAGAATGCCAACACAAAGGTGCTCTCTGGTGGTGGCCCTCAGACAGCCAGGGCTGGTGGTGATTGTCAGAGCTGCTAGAGGTTTTGTGCAGAGCCTCAGGCTAACCCAGTGGAGCCTCACCTGTTCAGATGTCCCCTCTCCCCAGCCACCCCCAAGCACCCTCCTGTCTGGGCCCTCCAGGCCCTTTATTCTAATACCTTCTGGCAGGAATATCTCTCCCCAGTGGGTGAAGGAATCCCATGGGTACAGGACAAAGCCCTCCCTGCCCCCTTTTTTCCCAGTCTTTCTGTAAGTCATAAAGTCACCCTCTCCCTTAAGACCCCCCACTGGCAGAGAGCTTGCACCAACAAACACGCTTTTAAATCCGCTTGAAATTTGAAGTACAAGAAATCATAGATTTTTGCCTGTACAGCGGACAACACCAGCAGTTGGCTGACTAAAGGTTTAAAGTCCAAGAGTCACTTTAGGAATCCCCAGGGCTACATATAGGACTCCTCCTGGAGCAAGCTGCTCCTGTTGTCTGCCTGTGCACAGAAATGCAGATGCAGCATTTTTAGGTGAAAATTGACTATAGCAACGGAGCAAACTATACTGGCAGCTGAAAGGTCTAAAATTGCTCACTGATCTCATTATGTAAAATTCTCTGTCAGGTCAGAACGCATTTGATTATAACATCCTGACAATGATAGTTTAAGCAGATTTCTGTCACATAACCAGAAATATAGAGTTCAGGGACTGGAGGATATTGGGGCAACGTCTCAGACATCCTCTTGGCCCTTTCCTCATGCTGACTGCCTCATGGTGACACAATGGTTGCTGTATCTCCAGCCACTACATCATCATTTATAGCAGGGAGAAGGAAGTGGGGAAAGGCTCAGTCCCAGCAAAATTCCACTTACATCTGATTGGCCAGAACTATATCACACAGCTAGTTCAAGCTTCAAGGGGAGCTGTGAATGCAGTATTTTGCTTTCCAGCCTCTGTACTAGAGGAAGGAAAGGAGAAAAGAATTGGGATTGGCAGTTGAATCAGTCCGCCAATGGTGCCTGCTAGAGATGTTAAATATCCATTGGAGGTATGGGGACCTAGTAGTGGCTCCTCCACCCTCTTGTTGGAGGTCCTTCAGATACACTGTATGCAGAAATGGACTCTGTCACTGATGGTTCTTTGCATGATCCAGGGGTACTTTCTTCTAATGGGCAGGCTTGGGTTGTTTTGTCTTGATCTGTCAGATTTCAATGGTAGCATCACAACACAACTGTGAGGTATGGCATGAGTAATTCTCATGGGCAATGTTAGTCAACGCACCAGAGTTTGCCAGGATAGTTTCCTTATCCCTTCCCTGTGGTCATGTGCTGTCCACTCATCTGCATTCTAGTGAGCTTTCTTGAGTGGAAGAGAAAGGAATGATAAGTAGATGACAGGGAGTTATACTCAACCCTCAGTCATCAGGTCTTATCTCTTGACTGCTTCAAGGTTCCTCCCCAGAGGTGGATTCTGTAGTGGAATGGGATCCACCATGGACGGTAGAAATCGTTGTATTAATGGTTGGGAGCCTTCAATGATGCGTATCATATGCTGCTATGGAAACCCCAAAATCAACATTCAGATGTGCCTGTCTAGGCCAGCAAGCTAAAGGGGACTTTCTTTATTTGCATTTGTTGGTTTCTTCATCTTCCATTGAATTCATGCTCTAAGGAATGATGAACAACATTCATTGGCTACCTGCATGATGTTTCATTTATTGACTTTCCAGGCCAAGAAGCCAAGATTGCAATGAGATGCAAGCCACCGTTTATGTGCACTGTGGGCTCAGAGTGACTGGCAACATGCGTGACTAAATGACCACATTGCACTCTTGCTAGAAATTCGAGGTGTGCTAGAAATTATTACTTAGCTGGGTTTGCTGCAAGGAAAATTACTGTTCACATCACCTTCTTTTTAAAAAAAAACAGTTTCAAGAATGTAGAATCAGAGATATTGAACAGACATTTCAACCATGTCATTCAGCAGCATGGACTTCTTGTTCTAATTTATTTATAATATTGTTGGGCATTTTGTTCAACCCCTTTAAAGATGTAATATAGGCTGGGTGCGGTGGCTCATGCCTGTAATCCCAGCACTTTGAGAGGCGGAGATGGGCGGATCACCTGAGGTCAGGAGTTGGAGACAGCCTGGCCAACAAGGTGAAACCTCATCTCTATAAAAATACAAAAATTAGGCACCTGTAATCCCAGCTACTTGAGAGGCTGAGGCAGTAGAATTGCTTGAACCCGGGAGACGGAGGTTACAGTGAGCTGAGATCATGCCACTGCACTCTAGCCTGGGCAACAAGAACAAGACTCTGTCTCAAAATTAAAATAAAATAAAATAAAATAAAACAAAATTATGTAATAGTAGTACATACTTTCCTAGATGTTTCAGTATATAATATGGCAAAACCTCAGCCATCAGATTTGACCGACCAATATTCCACACACATCTCTTCCATTCACATAAAATCTAACACCTTAACAATAATTTGCAATGTTTTCCACCAAAAGCTGGGAGCCTTTATTTAATTAATACGAAAAACATCTATTACTTATTTGACAGACTCAAATGAAAAGAAAATGCACTTTAACAGGGAACCAGATTTTACTTTGAAGCTGTAGGTTTGAATTGGTGCTTGGATGAGGGTTGCCAAGAATCCAGGGTTGCCAAGAATCCCGGGTTCCAAATCCAAGAACTGAGGTCAAACCTGCAGGAGGGGTGGTGAAGGATGCATGAGGAGGGCAGCTTGTAGGAACTCTCTTCTCTCTGAAAAAGTTGTGTCAACTTGTGCTGAGAGTCAAAGCTCCTGGTAGAGTCCTGTCTCTCTTGACCTGCTTTACATCCGACTGGGTTTGAATTTAAACTAGCAGAAATATTAAAACAGGCACCAAAGGGAGATGGCAGGATCCAGAGTTATTTATAAATAAATCCTAAAGGTGGATTGGAGAAAACCTATGGGATTAACTTGACATGAAATTTAGGACTACTCCTACAATTTGCACTATGTTAAATTGTTCAGTGAAGTTGGATGTGCTTTTTTTAAAAAAAACTGACATGAGTTATGTTTGAAGCTTGGGCATGTGGAGATGCTTTTACACATGCTTATATTTTTAGAGGAAAGAGGACAGTTTTTAAAAAAAAATAATAATAATAATGAATTTGGCCGGGAACAGTGGCTCACGCCTGTAATCCGAGCACTTTGGGAGGCTGAGGCGGGTGGATTATCTAAGTCAGGAGTTTGAGACCAGCCTTGCCAACATGGGGAAACCCTGTCTCTACTAAAAATACAAAAATTAGCCAGGTGTGGTGGCGCATGCCGCCTGTAATCCCAGCTACTCGGGAGGCTGAGGCAGGAGAATTGCTTGAACCCGGGGGAGTGGAGGCTGCAGTGAGCTGAGATTGTGCCACTGCACTCCAGCCTGGGTGACAGAGTGAGACTCCGTCCCAAATAATAATAATAATAATAATGAATTCAATTTAAGACTGTAGCAATATGTAATATACTTAACAGACATTTTTTATATTCTGCAGAGTAAAGATGAAGGATGGGATGGGGAAAAGGGGATCCTAGGGTGCTCTGAGGGTGACAGTATTTATTACTATCCCACCCAGAAGGGGGAACAGGACATGTTCAGACAAGGAGCCAAGAGAAATGTATTTGAGATGCTAACAAATTCAGCATGGCTTGTGCTGATGAGCGGGGGAGAGATGTAGGCAGGGGCCACATCACAGAGCCTGGAGCTTATAATCAACCACTTCCACCAAAACGTAAATAAATAGTCTGAACGAAATACAGCTTAATTTTCCAGCCAGGTAGGATTTTGTCCTATTTTCGAGGTTCACGTTAAACAGCAATAACTGTTTGACTTGTTTCAGCCATTTGAAACAAGCCGTTCAGCTGTTTGTTAGTTACAGCCATCATTTCTGCTCTCAATCACTTGATCATGTGGACAGCGGGGATTTAGCCATTAAAATGACCTAGTCAGCTTTCCTATGGAGATGAGTGGACTATGAGAACCTCATTTGTATTTATTGATTTTTTTAAAATTGTAGATTACAGTTATTCCCATCATGTATTCTGCAGATACAGATCACTCTGCATTATCTGCAAGTGAATTGTTCATTTTGTCCTAATTCACAATGGTCCACAGTTGCCAACTGGTAACACTGAGTAGAAGTTGGGTGTGTTTTTGTTCATAGGTCAGTGTCAATGTGCCTTTCCAATTCAATTCTGAAGCTGAAGCATTATTTTTGGATTACGTTTAATCTTTTTTGTCCCCCTTGTCTCCAATTATAGATTAAGAAAAGATGATAGAACACTTTACTGAGTCACTTCTAAAGAGTCAGATTTTTTTTTTCTTTTCTATTTTTTACATCAAATAACAAATTCAAAAACTTGGTTTACTTTTAAAGTAGATCCAGAATTCATACCTTTTAACGAGTTGTTTTTTTAAAGAAAAGATTATAAATTTGTATGCTATTGTTTGTTTTTCTTTATGAATGTCTTGACTGATCCCTGTAAATAGATAATCCAGGCATATTCATCACACACTAGATACAATAAACAAAGAGATACAGATAACAACCAGGAAGTCGGAGGGACTGGTTTACACCTTTCCTGGTTGCTTTTGTGTGGCTGTTTCTTGATGGGAGAAGTTTAAGTGCATTTACGCATTCATTTGCCAATTCGATTTTTTTAAAGATGTTTCTGAAAAGTGGCCACGGAATACTATGTTTGATCATAAAATCTTATTTTTTTATTTCATTTTATTTTTTGAGATGGAGTCTTGCTCTGTTGCCCAGGCTGGAGTGCGGTGGCACGATCTCAGCTCACTGCAACCTCTGCCTCCTGGGTTCCAGCAATTCTCATGCCTCAGCCTCCTGGGTAGCTGGGATTATAGACATGCACCACCACACCCAGCTAATTTTTGTATTTTTTAGTAGAGATGGGGGTTTTGCCATGTTGGCCAGGCTGGTCTCGAACTCCTGGCTTCATGTGATCTGCCCGCCTTGGTCTCCCAAAGTGCTGGGATTACAGGTGTGAGCCACTGATCCTGGCCACTAAATCATTTATATTTTAAGTCTCTGCTAATTAATGTACTTACTAAAAGGGAAAAAAATGAATGTTCAAAATTTACATTTTTACCATAAATAAAACTCTTGTGTGTAACTCAATCCTCTCAGTTTGCGTAGTTGACTATGTGGGAACCATGACTTGTGATCCATTCTTAGAATTAATCACTGAAATATAGGAAACATATTTCATAGATTCTGAGACACATTTTTCTCATATTTTAATGTCTCAAATTAGAATGCCTTTTACAAAGTCCTGAGGAAATACTGAGTCATATTTGAATTGACAAGGATATTTATTTCTTACTGATACATAAAATAATGGCACATCATTGTCTTAGAATTCATGAAATATAGTGGTATTTTACAGAATGTCTAATAAGATTATTATATTAAGCTGTTAGATTATAATATTAAATTATTATTTGAAAATAACATAATTTAGTCAGCATCTATGGCAGTATCTTTGGCAACTTAGAGTTTTATAAATGTAAATATTAAAGTTTTGTGACTGTAAATGTGAATTTTATAACACCTGAAGATTTTGATTCTTTCTAGAACAAATGTGTACCCTCAAATACTTCAGAATGAATGAAGAAAGTTCAAATGTCTTCTGCCCAGCCTCTTTTGATACACACTAAAAACTTCAGAATCGTTTTTGTAGGTTTTAGAAAAATGCGTGTTTGCACTTGTGAAAAAAGAAAATCATTGGATTCGCATTTCACTGCTGGCCTTGTGCGGGCCTTTGAGTGAACCAGAAGGTTCTCCCCATGAGTCAGCTGGGAATTGCTTCAAATGCCTTCCAAAGCAACCAAGTGGCTTAACGAATGCAGTCCTCCGTAGGCACGGGGAACACTGGTGTACAGCACACCCTTTAAAATGGCTAAATGAGAACCAAAAAATATAAAAAACAAAAAAAAAAAGGAAAAGAAATGGATAAATGAAACATTTTATTGGTATGAAATGACATATAAATTCTTGTAGAAACATGTACAGCAGCAATAAATGCCTGCTTCATGTTCTTCACTTTCATTGTATCAACTCCATGACACTGAATATATTCTTTTTTGTTTTGTAGGGTGGATCTATGACATCACGCAAAAATATGATTTTTCCTTCTACATATGTGGTTTGCTTTACATGATAGGAATACTCTTTTTACTTATTCAGCCGTGCATTCGAATTATAGAACAATCCAGAAGAAAATACATGGATGGTGCACATGTTTAGTATCATGTAATGTTCCGTGTAGGTTTCATTGTAATACTCATGCCTACCTCGCATGGTTGCTGTGAGGCACCTATGACAGGACGTGGGAAAGCATTTTGTACGGTAACTGGCACTGTCATTTGTAAATGCCATTGTCACAGCCTCATTTGTAAGCAGCACTGCCTCTCTGTTTGGGGAGATGTAATGCTGGAAGATCTTAAGGACTACATACATTCTAGAGATGACAGTGTTGTTCAAAGACAGCCTAGTAAGTAATTGGTAGAAATGCCCTTATAAAAACCATTCTCTTGTCATCTACTGGGACTAGGGTTTTAAATACAGCTTTTAAAAACAAAAACAGGGAATAAAAGCTTTTCAACTCAACCACTTCTTTGTAAGACAAAACTGAAGTATCTGTGTGCTTCCAGAAAGCTTACAGATAAATGGGTTTCAAGCACAAGAATATGACTAGATTTCAGAAATTAATTATTACAGGGAGCTATTGATCTACTAGCATCAAACAAAGGCAAGCTCTAATTCCACAGGTAATACAATTTAGTGCAATTAAAGAAACACGGCTTGTATTTTTATGAGGGAATTCTGCAGCTAGGGATTGTGACTCCTAAATCCTCCTCTAAAAGAAGGCACTTGCCATTAATCCTAATTCAGTGCTATCCAGTTATAAATGGAATCTTGAGACAAAACCTTAACAAAGAAATAACAGTAATGATTTCCTTAGCAGAAGCCGTATTTGTACGCACAACATTAAATCAAGGGCTACAATTCAAGCACTTTTATTCGTATCATTGGCCTCTTAGATGATATAAGCATGAGGTGGGGCCTGTAATATTTTTTTCTGAGTTTCTTCTGCCCAAAAATATAATATAGAACTAATTGCTAACTGACAAATAAAGTTAATAGTTAAATCATCTCCAAGGAATGTTGCTAATCCAAAGTATAACACTATCAATTTGTGAGGATAATAAATGGAATGCCATTAGTGTAGATGTCTGTGCCACATCTGACACTGGAGTAGTGATAACAAATAGCCCATCTCTAGACTCTCGTGTTGTTATATAGACCATTCATTTGCCTGAGCGTGGCACAGTTTTAAAAATAGTTCTCTTGATTGATTTCATACAGAAGATGACTGTGATCCATGACATCTAATAATGCCCTTTCTTTATCTGAGATGTCTATTTTTCTAAGCCAAACGTTTTTCAGACTGCAGAATGTTCTTCCCAGATCATTTGAAATTTCTGGCTGCCTTACTTGTTTACAGATAGTTTAAGACTATTTAAATTTCTACTCACAATTTGATCATCACACACACACAAATCCTTGAATATCATTGCCAGTGTCTTAGGTCAAATTTACCTAAAGTGAATACAGCCCATTCTCAATTATCCTTCACAATTAGACGCAGGAATGCTACTAGGAATTGGAATCAAACAATGCCACCCCAAGCGTAATTTTAGCCAGCAGTTTCAGTTATACTCAACCATGCCCTTCTGAGCTGTTAACAAGTGATTCAATGGACAAGTTCTCTTTTTGTTCCATCTCCATTATTTCCTGCTCTAATGTATAGTGGGAGTGGTTGTGTAATGAAAGGACCACCAAAATAATAAAAGGCAGCTAATGGAAAGGAGAGACAAAAGCATGGTTAATATATATACTTAATATTACCTCCAATGACTCGGGAATTGCCTGTAAATTATTATAGACAATAGATTGCATGTCATACTCCATTTGGTTCAACACAACAACCTATGTGTTATCATTACAGCTTTGGCTGCTGTTAAAGAATCCAGCTCTCTATTTTGATAAAGATAATCTTAAAGCTGAGGCAATGCTCCCTCCTCTATCTCTCTCTGTGTAATTTACCATAGAATTAGGATGATTAGATTGAAACACATGTTGTATGTTTTAAAAACTACATTGCTTCATTACTTTCATTTTCCGACAACATCAAACTAACAAGAGGCAGTGTTAAATATTTTAAATGGTGCTATAGCCAATGTATTTGAATGCTTGCACTGCTGGTTGTGTATCATCAATATGAACTTTTTATCCAATGACTCAACTCTAATTACATCTAAGTTAGACTTGCTCACGTTCAGTTTGTACAGTTGTGTGTTGACTTACTATGTTTTGAAAGTGGTGACTTCTACCGAATGAGTGGAAGTTCCCATTGTCAAAAAAAATAAAGACCTGCTTGCAGTATTCATGTTGACAACAGAGTAAAAGAGAATACTGTAAAGAATTACTGCAAATATTTCCTGTTTATGTTATTTGCCGTTGTTTGAAGATATTATAAAGGGTTAATTGTATATTTATATCATGTGCTTTATCGTTTTCCCCTCATGTATCCAAGTAATTTTTATTTACATACAACTAAATAAATGTTGTCCTCTTTGAAGACGGTCAGTGAGTTTTTGTATAAAATTTCTATTTTGTTGGCCTCGAAGAGAATAATCCTAAAATGTAGGTGGTAATTATTTGTTTCATTCTTTCCCCTGAAAAACTATTTCTCTAGGTATATTCACAAACCACATGGACAGAATCACCTAGAATGATTATGAAAAGTGCTGAGTCTAAGTATTAAATTTAAAATGCACACATCTTTGAATCCAGCAATTGTATTTCTAACATCATTTTCTACATGTGAACACAGACTAATATGTAAGGATTTTTTGTTTATGGTTTGTTATATAAAAGACTGGGCCGGGTGCAGGCGGTTCACGAGGTCAGGAGATTGAGACCATCCTGGCCAACATGGTGAAACCCCGTCTCTACTAAAATACAAAAAATTAGCCTGGTGTGGTGGCGGGCGGCTGTAGTCCCAGCTACTTGAGAGGCTGAGGTAAGGGAATCGCTTGAACCCGGGAGGTGGAGGTTGCACTGAGCTGAGATCGCGCCCCTGCACTCCAGCCTGGCGACACAGCAAGACTCCTTCTCAAATAAAAAAAATTAAAAAAAAAAGACTGGAAAGAATTTAAATGTCTACCAATAGATAACCGTTAAAGTATAGTACAACTGTTAAAATACAGTATAAAGTATTTTAAAGTATAGACAATAATACAGCGGAATTTATAGAATTATTAAACAAAAAAGGCAGATCTATATGTAGAATTAGGAAACAGCCTGAAGATATAGTGCTTTTAAAAAAAAAAAAAAAAAAAAAAAGCAAGATAGGCTGGGCGTGGTGGTTCATGCCTGTAATCCCAGCACTTTGGGAGGCCAAGGCGGATGGATCACTTTGAGCTGAGGAGTTTGAGACCAGCCTGGGCAATATGGCGAAACCCCATCTCTACTAAAAATACAAAAATTAGCTGGGCGTGGTGGTGGGCACCTGTAATCCCAGCTACTCAGGAGGCTGAGGCAGAAGAGTCATTTGAACCCAGGAGTTGGGTTGTGCCATTGCACTCCAGCCTGGGTGACAGAGCAAGACTCTGTCTCAAGAAAAAAAGAAAAAAAAAAAAGCAAGATAAAGCAATATGTTTAATATGCCCCCAATTATATGTTTTCATTACAAAAAAAAAGTCATTCATATATATAATAGGCTTAGACATGAATTGACAATTGCTGGGAAGAAACATAAGGAAACATAAGAAAACATTAATAGTTGTTGGCTCCAGGGAAGAAAATCTGGGGACTAAGGTAGGTCTGATTTTTTTTTCCTTATGTACATAATGCTTTTTCAATTTAAAACTTGTATCCAAAATTATTTTGAATGCAGATACTTGGGCCTACTTAAAACCTAGAGAATTGAGAATGGGACCAGTAAATCTCCCTTTTTAGATAAGCTTCTCAGTAGATTCTTATGCATATTAAAATCGCACACCCGGTCTCAACATATTTAAGGGCAAAATATTCCAGTGAATTTCAAATACTTGTCCTGAACCTCTCTCGTTATTTCCTTTTATACAGCATTCTGGTCAATTACTATCTATAAAGACTTCACAGTATATAATCTTTTACTCGGTCCTTTTCCAATCAACAAATGTGGACTGGGCTTCTATAGGAGCAAGGCAGGCTAATGCAAAACCCCTGCCCTCAAGCAGCCTGCATGCATAAGTAACCTACTACTCCAGTGCAGGAAGAGTGATAACAAAGCCAAGGGAAATGACTCCTGACGTGTTTAAATGAAGCTAGAGCCTGCCATGGTGGCTCACGCCTGTAATCCCGGCACTTTGGGAGGCCAAGGTGGCTGGATCACCTGAAGTCAGGAGTTCGAGACCAGCTTGGTCAACATGGTGAAACCCCATCTCTACTAAAAATACAACCATTAGCCAGGTGTGGTGGCATGTGCCTGTAATCCCAGCTACCTGGGAGGCTGAGGCAGGAGAATTGCTGGAACCCAGCAGGCAGAGGCTGCAGTGAGTCGAGATCATGCCACTGCACTCCAGCCTGGGCGACAGAGCAAGACTCCATATCAAAAACAAACAAAAAAAGGTGTAATTAATAATATGAAAGAAGTAGGGCTGGGTGTGGTGACTCACGCCTGTAATGTCAGCACTTTGGGAGGCTGAGGCTTGAGCCCAGGAGTTTGAGACCAGCCTAGGTAACATAGTGAGACCCTGTCTCTACAAAAAAGTTTAAAAAGTTAGCTGGGTGTTGTGGTGTGCACCTGCAGTCCCAGCTACTTTGGAGGCTGAGGTGGGAGAACTACCTGAGCCCAGGAGTTCAAAGTTGCAGTTCAGGAGCCGGGATCACATCACTGCACTCCTGCCTGAGTGACAGAGTGAGACTCTGTCTCAAAAAAAATAAGAAGTAGCAAAGTTCAATGAAACAATTAAAGAACTATCACTAGGAATGACCACTTGTCAAATGAAAGATACAGACTACAAGTGCTAGTGTTACAGTTCTGAAACTTGGGTTTCAGACACAAACAGCTTTAAATAGTGATTCCTCTAGACCTCTAATAAACAAATACACCCCACCATTGGTGTAAATTTCAGAAAGAAAAAACCAGGAAACAGGAATGTTTGCTATTAACCCAGCTAAAACCTGATAAAAATATTTTAAGAGCTGTATAGTCGAAAGTACATTTAATTAAAACCAATATTTAGGCTATATATGTATACATACATTTATTTGAGTCCTCTGTTCTCTCTGTAACAGCTTCTCAGTCAACTGAATTTCTTGCGAAACTCCTGCTAACTATATGTGCTCCCTCTGTTTCTCCTCTCATTGACATGATTTTTGCCAAGGATAATGTAAAACCTTACTGGCCATTTGGAAAACAAGAGCTTCTGAAAGTGGCTACTCTAGGACTTGTTCTTCCATTTACTACTGTCTCTTCTTCCTCTTGCCACTTTTGACACCAAGAAAACTTCTAGCAGCCCAAGGACCCTTCAGGAACACAGAAAGGACATCACAGACTCCTCCTTTTTGGGTAGGGTACCTCTGTTTTTCCTCACGGAGCCCCAAGAATCGTGGGTGGACAGGCTCCTCTCAGTCTAAAGTGCTACTCTTTTTTTGTTGTTTTTTTTGAGACAGTCTCACTCTGTCACCCAGGCTGGAGTGCAGTGGCATGATCTTGGCTCAGTGCAACCTCTGCCTCCTGGGTTCAATCAATTCTCCTGCCTCAGCCTCCTGGGGAACTGGGACTACAGGCACATGCCACCACGCCAGGCTAATTTTTATATTTTTAGTAGACATGGGGTTTCACCATGTTGGCCAGGATGGTCTCAAACTCCTGACCTCAAGTGACCCTCCTGCCTCGGCCTCCCAAAATGCTGGGATTACAGGCATGAGCCACTATGCCCGACCTAGCTCTACTTTCTTTTATATTGAATTCCTTGATCTTTTCAACTTTCAGATGCATACATGTTTATGTGTTTTAGTTATATGTTGTGTCTACATATACACATATGTCTATACTTGTGTTTGGATATTGTCTACATGGTACCAAATTGCCGTAACAATAAATGAGTAATCAAAAATTAAATAAATAAGCCCAAATATTTTTCAAGTTCTTGTGACTTGAGTAAATCTTTTGGTAAATATGAGTAGTTTAATATAGTTGGTTTAATAAAAACAAATGTCTTTTGACTTATCAGCAAAATATGCATGTATTTAATGTTAAGGTGATTGCTTTTATGATACTTAGATAACATATGATAATATTAATAGCAAAATGGTTAATACAAAATTTAAGTTGAGATGATGGCTAGATTTGTCTAACGGCTCATGAAATTTTTCCAAACATAGTTGTTAAGAAAGAATAAGGCTGGGCACGGTGGCTCATGCCTGTAATCCCAGCACTTTGGGAGGCCGAGGTGGGCAGATCACCTGAGGTCAGGAGTTCGAGACCAGCCTGGCCAATATGGCGAAACCCCATCTCTACTAAAATTACAAAAATTAGCCAGGCATGGTGGTGTGCACCTGTAGTCCCAGCTACTCGGGAGGCTGAGGCAGGAGAATAGCTTGAACCCAGGAGGTAGAGGTTGCAGTGAGCCGAGATCGCACCACTGACTCCAGCCTGGGCGACAGAGTGTGACTCCGTCTCAAAAAAAAAAAAAGAATAATTAAAATAAATGTAAATAGGAAAAAAGTTTATAAATTGACATAATAATTATGTTTTATAATATATTTACTTTAAGAGGTTTCTAGGCTGGGCCCAGTGGCTCACGCTGTAATCCCAGCACATTGGGATGCCAAGGCAGGCAGATCACTTAAGGTCAGGAGTTCGAGACCAGCCTGGCCAACATGGCAAAACCCCGTCTCTAGTAAAAATACAAAAATTGGCTGGGTGTAGTGGTACATGCCTATAATCCCAGTTTACTTGGGAGGCTGAGGCAGGAGAGTTGCTTGAACTCAGGAAGCAGAGGTTGCGGTGAGCTGAGATCATACCACTGCCCTCCAGCCTGGGTGACAGAGTGAGACTCCTTCTCAAAAAATAAAACAAAATAAAAGGTTTCTATATCCTTAGAGTTTTGCTAAGGCAAATTACATGATAAATATTCATTAAATATGTAGGTCATTTCCGAATAAGATATAATGCTATGACATTCAGTACTAAATATTAGTTTAATCTTACATACTTTTGGCTTCTTATTTCAGAGAAACGAAATATATCTGGATGTTAGTAAATATGTCCTATTCCACATTGAAAAATGGTTCCATGGCTAGGCGTGGTGGCTCATGCCTATAATCCCAGCACTTTGAAAGGCTGAGGCAGGCCTGAGGTAAGGAGTTCGAGACCAGCCTAACCAACATGGAGAAACTCCGTTTCTTCTAAAAATACAAAATTAGCCAGGCATGGTGGCGCATGCCTGTAATCCCAGCTACTCGGGAGGCTGAGGCAGGAGAATCTCTTGAACCTGGGAGGACGTTGCAGTGAATCGAGATCATGCCATTGCACTCCAGCCTGGGCAACAAGAGCAAAACTCCATCTCAAAAAAAAAAAAAAAGAAGAAGAAGAGAAAGAAAAATAGTTCCATTAGAAAGCCCATGTTTCCCACAGGCTTTAAAAAAGAAAAGAAAAGAAAAGAAAAGAAAAAAAGCTTATGTTTTTAAAAACTGTAAAATGTGTATTCATAAATTGTTGGGATGTGATTGACAGTTACTATTCCTTCCTCTATACTCTGAAAAACCAACGAGGAACCAAAGATATTTGGCTTTTGCTGGCTATATCTACCAATATTCACCATATTAGAAATTGAAACTGAGGGCCGGGCTCAGTGGATGACACCTGTAATTCCTGCCCTCTGGGAGGCTGAAGCAGGAGGATCACTTGAGCCCAGGAATTTGAGACCAGGCAGGGCAACAGAGTGAGACCATGTCTCTACAAAAAAGTACAAAAATTAGCCAGGCATGGTGGGGCACACCTATAGTCCTAGTTACTCGGGAGGCTGAGGTAGGAGGATCACTTTAGCTGAGAGATTGAGGCTGCAGTGAGCTGTGATCATGCCACTGCACTCCAGCCTGGGTGACACAGTGAGACTCTGTCTTAAAAAAACAGAAAAATCAAAACTGAGAAATTAAAAAACATTTACATATTTCTTCATTTTAAAATAATAATATTGAAACTACTATGTTAATATAAGTAACATTTTTATGAAAAGTAACTGCTTTTTTAAAAAAATGAGTAAGAACAGTAGTATTGTTTGGCCAGGCGCGGTGGCTCATGCCTGTAATCCAGCACTTTGGGAGGCTGAAGCAGGCAGATCATGAGGTCAAGAGATCGAGGCCATTCTGGCCAACATGGTGAAACCCCGTTTCTACTAAAAATACAAAAAATTAGCCAGGCGTGGTGGCGGGCGCCTGTAATCCCAGCTACTCGGGAGGCTGAGGCAGGTGAATCACTTGAACCTGGGAGGCAGAAGTTGCAGTGAGCCGAGATCACGCCACTGCACTCCAGCCTGGTGACAGAGCAAGACTCCGTCTCAAAAAAAAAAATAGTAGTATTGTTTTACATTTTTGCAAATTTCATTAATGTTTGGCTTAATAGAAAATAGGTTGATTCTCATATTTGCTAAATGTATTTTTGATACCACATCAGACTCAAGAAGTGGTATTTCTTAAAGGTTCATTGTAGTGTAGAATCTGAAACCATATGAATAAACTTCCCATACAATATTACATTAAAATCCATTGATCTAGTTTACACTTTGAATCTTTTGCCCATTTCTGATTTTGTAAAATGATGTTTTGATCACTTGGAAAATATTGCTCCACTGAGTTTTGTAGCTCTTCTAAAATTTTTTCATATTTTATACAATATTTTGAAAATCACAATTATTATTTGTGTAAAAAATCAGTTATTCCATTTATATGGAATGTCTGGAGTAGGCAAATCCACAGAAATAGAAACTATATTAGTGATTGCCAGAGCTGGGGACAGATGGGAATAGAAAGTGACAGCTCATAAGTACGGGGTCTCTTTTTGAGGTGCTGAAAATGTTCTGGAACTAGATGACAGTGACGATTGCACAACTCTGAATATAATACAAAAAACACTGACATATATACTCTTTTTTTTTTTTTTTGAGACGGAGTCTCGCTCTGTTGCCCAGGCTGTAGTGCAGTGGCCCGATCTTGGCTCACTGCAAGCTCCGCCTCCCGGGTTCATGCCATTCTCCTGCCTTAGCCTCCCAAGTAGCTGGGACTACAGGCGCCGGCCATCACGCCTGGCTAATTTTTTGTATTTTTAGTAGAGATGGGGCTTCACCGTGTTACCCAGGATGGTCTCGATCTACTGACCTCGTGATCCACCTGCCTCGGCCTCCCAAAGTGCTGGGATTACAGGCGTGAGCCACCGCGCCTGGCCATATATACTCTTAAAGGGTAAATTTTATGATATGTGAATTACATCTCAATTTTTAGAATCACATGTGTTAATACTACTAGGCAGTCTGATGAGATGGGTGGTAATAAAACTTTCAAAGTATTTTAAAGTACTTAAAAATACTTTAAGCATTGGAAAGTGGACAAGCTCATGGAAGTTGGTGTAAATTATCCAAAATATTATTTTTCTTTTGAAAGTTTGAATATTATCATTGGCAAGGAAATCTGCACTTGTTTTCCTTGAAGGGATAGCCTCATTTCCAATAATGTGTCTGCCAAGTATAAACATGGTGTTTCATGAAAAAAGGGGTAGTTGAGCTCGCGATTCATCACACAACTGCTTTTCCTCATGACAACCGTGACACTCTGATGTGCAGCAGATGCGGTCTTGCTTCCTCCCACCTTTGTCACACAGTATTAAAGATAGTGCGGTGGCTCACGCCTGTAATCCCAACACCCTGGGAAGCCGAGGCAGGCCGATCACTTGAGGCCAGAAGTTTGAGACCAGCCTGGACAACATGGTGAAACTCTGTCTACACTAAAAACACAAAAATTAGCAGGGCGTAGTGGCAGGTGCCTATGATCCCAGCTACTTGGGAGGCTGAGGCATGAGAATCACTTGAACCCGGGAGGCGGAGGTTGCAGTGAGCTGAGATGGTGCCACAGCACTTCAGCCTGGGTGATGGAGGGAGAAAAAGTAACCACTTCTTAAAAAAATGAGTGGCCGGGCACGGTGGCTCACGCCTGTAATCCCAGCACTTTGGGAGGCTGAGGCCGGTGGATCACGAGGTCAGGAGATCGAGACCATCCTGGCTAACACGGTGAAACCCCCTCTCCACTAAAAATACAAAAAATTAGCCGGGTGTGGTGGCAGGCACCTGTAGTCCCAGCTACTCGGGAGGCTGAGGCAGGAGAATGGCATGAACCCAAGAGGCGGAGCTTGCAGTGAGCCGAGATCAGGCCACTGCACTCCAGCCTGGGCGACAGAGTGAGACTCTGTCTCAAAAAAAAAAAAAAAAAAAAAAAAAAAAGAGTAAGAATAGTGGTATTGTTCGGCCTGTTTCAAAAAAAAAATAAAGGACTTTGATTAGTCAGTGTTGATACCGGATGAACACAAGCAAAACATCAAGCGCAACCTAATCTACTGACTTGGCCATTTATAAGACATCAGCACAATATGCAGAGAAGAGATTAACTCATCCTTCATGTTTGCTGCTAGAGCTTTAATATGACAAGTTACTGTGTCATTAGAAAGTGGCACTGTTTGGCAAAACCGTGTCTCTACCAAAAATACAAAAATTTGGTGGGCGTGGTGGCGGGCATCTGTAATCCCAGCTACTTGGGAGGCTGAGGCAGGAGAATTGCTTGAACCCAGGAGGCAAAGGTTGCAGTGAGCAGAGATCACGCCACTGCACTCCAACCTGGAGGATAGAGGGAGACTCCACCTCAAAAAAAAAAAAAAAAAAAGTGGCACCGTTGTGATTTTCTTTTGCTGAGTTTCCATCCAGCAAGCACTTGGCAATGCCAGCTGAATGGGCTTGTCCGCCTTTCTCAGGGCAGTACGGTAACTTACCCACTTCAACGGCTTTTTCATTTTGGTTTAAAAAGCTGTAATGATACATTCTGGGCTTTTAAGAAACATCATATCTACATTTAAAATATTCAACTCCTTTTTTCTTTAAACTCTGAATGATTCCTCTCAAAGTGATGCCGTAACTTGAGGGGTACCAAAAAAGGTAAATTTTTAACACTATAAAGCCAAGGAAAAATACCTTCTGAGTCATATTTATACTTCTTTTTACTAGTTTTTCCCTTATGTGAGTTTGAAAACTCCTTAATATGTCAGTTTCATCTTTTTTTAGCATCTTTAGTCTCAGTGCAGCTGTGGGCTAAGAAAGCAAGATTTCCCATATCCCCCTTTAAAGCAAATGATCCATCTTTAAATAGAATAAAAATATAAATGTTTAAGTTTTCAATAAAATATTAAATCCTAGAATTCACATTTTAGGGTTTAAAAGCTATTTTTAAAAGTACTTTTGGCTGGGCAAGGTGGTTCACTGCCTGTAATCCCAGCACTTTGGGAGGCCAAGGCGGGTGGGTCACCTGAGGTCAGGAGTTCGAGACCAGCCTGACCAATATGGTGAAACCCCATCTCTACTAAAAATACAAAAAGTAGCTGGGTGTGGTGGCACGCACCTGTAGTCCCAGCTACTTGGGAGGCTGAGACAGGAGAATTGCTTGAACCTGGGAAGTGGAGGTTGCAGTGAGTTGAGATCACACCACTGCACTCCAGCCTGGGTGACAGAGTGGGACTCCCTCTAAAAAACAAAATAAAACAAAAGTATTTTTAAATATTATTGCAAAGTAAGACAACAAAGTATATCTACCTCTTGTATTTCCACACAGGTAAACCTCAGGATACCAATTTACTGGATGAGAATAAGGTTGCATAAAAGATAGCAGGTATAGGCTGGGCGCGGTGGCTCACGCCTGTAATCCCAGCACTTTGGGAGGCTGAGGCGGGCAGATCACGAGGTCAGAAGTTCAAGACCAGCTTGGCCAACATGGTGAAACCCCGTCTCTACTAAAAATACAAAAATTAGCTGGGCGTGGTGGCGCGTGCCTGTAATTCCAGCTACTTGGGAGCCTGAGGCAGGAGAATCATTGGAAACCAGCCTGGGCAACACAGCGAGACTCAGTCTCAAAAAAAAAAAAGATAGCAGGTATAACAAAGATAACTAGCAAGAGCACGGTAGAAGTACTGAAAACAAACTAGGTTAGCCTCTGAAAATTCAACATATTCATACCCTAAACCTATTACCTTAGAAAAGTCTAGAAAACACAAAAATAGACAAGCATATGTTCCACTAGTCATCAGAGTAACATCACAGTTCACATAGCCTCTGGAAAATTCCACTGCTTACTTGTGAAAGAATGAATACAAAAGCGGCCAGGCCTGGTGGCTCTTCCCTATAATCCCAGCACTTTGGGAGGCTGAGGCGGGAGGATTGCTTGAGCCCAGGAGCTTGAGACCAGCCTGGGCAACATGGTGAAACCCCATCTCTACTAAAATATAAAAATTAGCCAGGCATGGTGGCACGTACCTGTGGTCCCAGCTAGTTGGGAGGGTGAGGTGGGAGGATTGCTTGAGCCTGGGTGGTAGAAGTTGTAGTGCACCAAGATTGCGCCATTGCACTCCAGCCTGGGTGACAGAGTGAGATCCTGTCTAAAAAAAAAAAAAAAAAAAAAAAAAAAAAGAATGAGTGAATGAATGAAAAAGGTAAATAATGTCCTAGTATTATTATGAAAATAGTTCTGACCTCACAGATGACTGAAGGGGTTTTGAGGACTCCCAAGATCCCAGCAGCACACTTTGTGCTAGAGGAATCAGAAGGAGAGATGGCTGAAGTGTGAAGTGGCCCTGGAGGCTGGGCATGACTTGGTTAGGGGGCTGGCATGATGACGGGGCAAGGGGAGAACAACATGGGTGAAAACACAGACCCGGAAAGCACAGGAGGAGCTCAGGTTCAAAGAATAGCCTGAAGTAACCAAGAATAGGGATGATGCCAGGCTGCACAGGTAGGGGAAGGTTGTTTATACAAAACCTTGACAGATAAGCCAAGAGAAGTTCACGCTGATAAGCTTAATCTCTGCAAAGTGGGAGGTCGGATTGATTGTCAAGTCATGAGTCTCATAAATATTAATCAAAAGAACAGGATGGTGGCCAGGCATGGTGGCTCATACCTATAATCCTAGTACTTTGGGAGGCCGAGGTGGGAGGATCACCTGAGGTCAGGAGTTCGAGACCAGCCTGGCCAACATGGTGAAACCCTGTCTCTACTAAAAATACAAAAATTAGCTGGGAGTGGTGGCACATGCCTGTAATCCCAGCTACCCAGGAGGCTGAGGGAGGAGAATTGCTTGAACCCGGGAGGCGGAGGTTGCAGAGAGCTGAAATCGAACCACCACATTTCAGCCTGGGCCACAGAGTAAGACTGTCTCAAAAAAAAAGGCCGGGTATGGTGGCTCTCACGCCTGTAATCCCAGCACTTTGGGAGGCTGAGGCGGGTGGATCATGAGGTAAGGAGTTCAAGACCAGCCTGGCCAAGATGATGAAACCCCATCTTTACTAAAACTACAAAAATTAGCCAGGCGCAGTGGCGGACGCCTGTAGTCCCAGCTACTGGGGAGGCTGAGGCGGGAGAATTGCTTGAACCCGGGTGGCAGAGGTTTCAGTGAGCCAAGATCGCACCACTGTACTCTAGCCTGGGTGACAGAATGAGACTCCATCTCAAAAAAAAAAAAAAAAAAAAAAAAAAAAAAGAACAGGATGGTGCTGAGAATAAACTCTACTCAGAGGAGCATATCAGAATCTCCAAGGAAGAGGTGTCACCTTCCTACTCCTTTTAGCCCCTCCCCTACTACCCCCAACCAAGGAAGCCCCATGAGAACAGGACTAGGTCTGTCTGCTTCCATGGCATTCCCAAGCGTGGAGCGCAGTGCCTCCAGGCACAAGGCAGACACTGAAACACCACCTGGAGAAAGTCCTCTGGAAGTGTGCCCCATTTCCCAAGGGTGCGTGAAAGGAGGAAGAGTCACTGAGCTCTCTCCAGGGCAGCATTCCTTGGATGGCCTTGGATTCACCAGCAGCCCTTTAGGACCTACTCTGCTGGTCAGTAAAGGAACAGCTGCAGGACTTTCAGAGGTGGAAACAGGAGAAGAATCCTTCAAAGGTGGAAGAAAAAGAGTAGAGAGGTAGGAAGTAAAGCTGGCTAGCGAAGAACCTTGGATGTTAGGAAAAATGGGGAACATTTACTGACTGAACTTGCTTGTGGGCAGGGCCGTGTTCTAGTTATGCAAGTGTCTCCAGGGCTTAGCTCAGTGCCTGGCACAGAGTAACTAATACATAAACAGTATTTTTATTTATTTATTTATTAGTTTTTATTTATTTTCGAGACAGCATCTCGCTCTGTCGCCCAGGCTGGAGTGCAATGGCGCAGTCTCAGCTCACTGCAACCTCCGCCTCCCGGTTCAAGCAATTCTCCTGTTTCAGCCTCTAGCCATCTTCTCAACTTAAATTTCCTATTAACCATTTTGCTATTAATATTATCATATGTTATCTAAGTATCATAAAGCAATCACCTGAACATTAAATACATGCATATTTTGCTGATAAGTCAGAAGATATTTGTTTTTATTAAACCAACAATATTAAACTACTCATATTTACCAAAAGATTCACTCAAGTCAAGTGAACTTGAAAAATATTTGAGCTTATTTATTTGATTTTTGATTACTCGTTTATTGTTATGTTAACTTGGTACCGTGTAGACAATATCCAAACACAAGTATAGACATATACATATATGTGGGCACAACGTATAACTAATACACATACACATGTATACATCTGAAAGCTGAAAAGATCAAGGAGTTCAATATAAAAAAAGAGTAGAGCTAAGCCAGGTGCAGTGGCTGATGCCTGTAATCCCAGCACTTTGGGAGGCCGAGGCGGGCGGATCACTTGAAGTCAGGAGCAGCTGGGACTACAGGTGCACGCCACCAGGCCCGGCTAATTTTTGTATTTTTAGTAGAGACAGGGTTTCACCAGATTGGTCAGGCTGGTCTCGAATTCTTGACCTCAGATGATCCACTCACCTCAGCTTCCCAAAGTGCTGGGATTACAGGCATGAGCCACTGCACCCTGCCTAAAACAGTATTTTTAAATGAATTAACAACGGGAGCTGAGAAAGGGATACTAGATTAGAAACTCTCAGTAGTAGCTAAGAGAGTAGCTTTAGAAGATGACCAAGAGAGGCTAAGGAATTGCGGGAATAGTAGAGAACAAGGGGAAGCAGCGAGGGGAGAGTAATTGTTATAGCTGTTTGGTGGCTCAGAAGGAGAGAAATAACAGGGCACTGAGAAGGTCATTAGAATGAAGCTTCTTTCAAGGAGAGACCTATATTCTTTTTTTTGTAGAAACAAGGTCTCACTTTTCACTATATTTTTCAGGCTCATCTCAAACTCCTGGGCTGAAGGGATCCACCCACCTCGGCCTCCCAATGTGCTGGGATTACAGCCTGTCGGATTCCTATGTTCTTAAGAAAAGAAAAGGGTGCCAGGTGCGGTAGCTCATTCCTGTAATCCCAGTGTGGGAGGCCAAGGCAGGAGGATCAGTTGAAACCAGAGTTTGAGACCAGCCTGGGCAACATAGCAAGACCCTGTCTCTATTTACATAAGTATTCAAAAAAGAGAAGGAAAGAGAATCTGTGAAGAGGAGAGATGGAAGATATAGAGAACAAGGAGATGAGAAAGACCAGAATCCCTAACAATGGATAGGTGAGCACTGTAAATAAGTCAACTCCTCCCTCTGAAGGTAGAAGAAAGACAAGGTGGGCCCAGGACAGGGAGGTTTCATGCAGGAGAGAAGAGAAGCTGTGACGTTCACACTGAAAAGATTAATCTCTGCGAAGTGGGAGATAAGACTTGAAGATCCACTGTGAGAAGCCCAGGAAATAGATAATACAAGGCCTGTTAAGGCAATGCGTGGAAGCCAAAGGAAGCCAGGCTAGGTCGGTCGGGGGCCAAGGCAGCACATCTGGTGTGCCCCAGTGATGCTCTGCCGTCTGACCATAGGGAAGAGGACATAAATCGCCCGTCGGGTGGACATCCTGCAGGTTACAGGGCAAGAGCGTTTCACGCGTTGAGCGTTTCACTAATCCTGGAATTCAGAGAGGGCAGGTAGTCAAGTACAGTCAGGGAGGGGCTGCTGGATGAACAGGCAGTAAGGGACGCAGGTTAGGGCAGAGAGCAAACCGGTCACATGTACAGATTCATGGAAGCTTAGAAGAAGTGAGTTTTGGAAATGAGGCAACTCCTCAAGAAGGTAAGGAGGCTTCCCTCCAGAAGCAATGGCTCCACACCAGAAAGCTCAGATGTGAAGGCCGTGGAAGGATAAGCATTCCAGGTTGGCCAGGCTGGAGTGTGGTATGTGTGGATGGGGGGAGGTCTCCAGCGTCAAAATATTCAGAGAACAGTGAGTTGGGGAGGGAATGCTGATGTTGAATTGCAAAGACTGGAGCGGGGAAGCAGTTGTCATCTATGAAAAGGGAATTGAGCCATGGTGGAGAGCGGAGACCACTGCAATGCAGGAAAGGTGCTACAGTTGGACTGTGAGGAGAGAGTTGGGTTGAGGGTCTCCAATTAGCACTGGAGAGCAAGGTGAGAGCCAATCCCACCTCCTCTTGAATTGCCAGGTGAAATAGAAGGAGGTAAGGGTTTCTTGACAGAGGCAGATTTCCAAGTGGTCAAGTAGAGGAAAGTGGTAGGAAGAGAGCACTGAGTTTGGGAAAGAACCAGTAAGCTGTATTTACTCACCCCCTTTACTCATCCTGGTAGCTTTCCATAAGAGTGTATGAGGGGCTCGAAGAATTTACCCCTTGCTCATTATTTAAATGCCTTAAGACACTTTAGGCTAGGTGCTGTAGCTCATGCCTGTAATCCCAACAATTTGGCAGGCTGAGGTGGGAGGATCACTTGAGCCCAGGAGTTTGAGACCAGCCTGGGCAACATGGCAAGACCTCATCTCTACACAAAATGCAAAAATTATTTGGGTGTAGTGATGTGTGCCTGTGGTCCCAGCTTCTCTGGAGGCTGAGGTGAGAGGATCTCTTGAGGTTGAGGCTGCAGTGAGCTGTGTTTGTGCCACAGCACTTCAGCCTGGGCGATAGAGTGAGACCCTGTCTCAAAAACAACAACAACAAAAAGATACTTTATTAAAAATAGGCAATAATTTTGTTCATCAAAAGCTTGGCATATTCTCTGGGCAACCAGTCTTGAATGGTCTCATATTATGCTCAAGGCCCTCTCCTTATAATTTCAAATGTGACCTGCACAAATCCCATCACCTTTTCAAGTTCTATTGGTGAGATGTAGTTTTGGCTCTGAAAGGAGAGGTGCTGTGGCATTTGTGGTTAAGAACACAGACTTAGTAGGTAGAGATTTGTCTCAGTTTTATGAAACTTTGAAAAAATTAACTTGTCCTCTCAGAATAATTAGATTTTGCAGGCAATGCAGTCTGTGTCACGACTACTACCTAATGCTGCCATTGTAGTATGGAAGCGACCACAGATAACACATAAATACTGTTCCAATAAAGCTTTATTTATAAATCAGGAGGCTGGTCAGATTAGGTCCACGCCATAATTTGTAGACCCCTGAGAGAAATGACAGAAATAATATCACTTACTTTTAAGGATTGCTGTTAAGAATTCAGTTGTTTACTATCTGTTTATTTCTTGGCACATAGTAGACAATAGATAGAAGCTGCTAATATTATTATTTCTGAGGTTATTCCAGTGCAGTCTGTGGCCATGGATCAGTGGCTGTAAGACTTTTTGAATGGGCAGAACATATTTCCCAATTGAAAATAACTTTCCTGAGTGGAAAACCGTTTTTGAGGGAATATAATGCAGGTAGTCCTCTGTAGTGCCCCACTCTGACAGTTACACGTTGCAAGGGCAGACGAATGCTGCCTCAGAGTGCAGATGATCTTATTTTAAAATGAAGTAGAAGTGAAGCTATTAATTTTATTTTGTAAAATGACAATGTATATTGTTAGGGTTTTAACTGCAGGTGCCATTTTTCTTCAATGTGGTGGCACTTTGTTCACTTGATGTTTTTGGTTTTTTAAAATATAAATTTTATTGTGTGTATCTGACAGTATAGCATGATGTTATGGGATATATATAGACAGTAAAAACGTTACTATGGTGAAACTGATTAACAATATCATCTCACATAATTCCTTTTTATTAGTGCAAGTGCAGCTAAAATCTACTTATTTAACAAAAATCCCCAATACAATGCAATTTTATTAACATTAGTCCTCATGTTGTACATCAGATCTCTAAACTTTTTATCCTATATATTTCCTATTTTATATGCTTTGAACTGTATTTCCTCATTTCCTCTCTCCCTAGCCTTTGCCTGTGGTAACCACTGTTTCATTCTCTATCTCAGTATATATGAGTGCTCTTATATTTATATATATTCCAGGGCTAGGCATCGTGGCTCATGCCTATAATCCTAGCACTTTAAGAGGCTGAGGTGGGAGGATCACTTGAGCCCAGGAGTTTGAGACCAGCCTGGGCAATGTAATGAGACCCTATCTCTACAAAAAACTAAAAAGTTAACTGAGCATGGTGGCGCCCTAGTCTCAACTACTCAGGACAGGAGGCTGAGGTGGGAGGATGACTTGAGCTTGGCAGGCAAAGGTTGCAGTAAACCGAGATTGTGCCACTGCACTCCAGCCTGGGTGACAGAGCGAGACTTTGTCTCAAAAAAAAATTATATATATATATATACACACACACACATACACACACACACACATATATACACACACACACATATATACACACACACACATAAACACACACAGATATATGTGAATATATATTTATATATATAATTAAAAACGATATATATTTCACATATAAGTAAGATCAGACCATGTTTTTCTCTTCGTTTCTGGCTTATTTCACTTAGTATAATAACCTCCAGGTCCATCTGTGTTGTTGCAAATGCTAGGATCTCTTTCTTTTCTAAGGCCAAATAATATTCCATTGTATACATCTACCACATTTACTTTATCCATTTGTCCATCAGTGGATATTTAGGTTGTTTCCACATTGCTTATTGTGAGTAATGTTGCAATGAACATGGGATTGCAGACATCATTACGAGGCAGTGATTCATCTCCTTTGGATATACACCCAGAAGACGGACTGCTGGTCACATGGTAGCTCTATTTTAAATTTCTTTAGGAACCTCCATACTGTTTTCCATAATAGCTGTACCAATCTACATTCTCACCAACAGTGTACTAGGGTTTCCTTTTCTCCGTACCCCTGCCAACATTTGTTATTTATCACTTGTTTTTTCGACAAGAGCCACCTTTATGGGTGTGAGGTGGTATCTCGACCTGGTTTTAATTTGCATTTCTCTGCTGATTAGTGATGTTGATCACCTTTTTATATACCTGCTGGCCATTTTTTAAAAAAAATTTAAAGTTGAGACAGGGTCTTGCCATATTGCCGAGGCTGGTCTCAAACTCCTGGGCTTACATGATCCTCCTGCCTTGGTCTCCCAAAGTGCTGGGATTATAGGCATAAGCCACCATGCCCGGCCACTGTTGGGCATTTTTATGTCTTCTTTGGAGAAATGTCTGTTTAGATCTTTTGCCCATTTATTAATAGGGTTATTTGTTTTTTTGTTATTGAGTTGTAAGAGTTCTTTATACATTTTGGATATTAACTCCTTATCAGATATGTGGTTTGCAAATATTGTTTTCTAGTCTGTAAGCTGCCTTTTCATTTTGTTGATTGTTTCCTTTGCTCTGCAAAGGTTTTTTAGTTTGGTATCATCCCATTTATTTATTTTTGCTTTCGTAGCCTGGTTTTTTGGTATGATATCCAAAAAATCATTGCCAAGGCCTATGTCAAGGACTGAGCCCAGGAGGAGGAGTTTTCGCCTAGAAGTTTTATGGTTTCAGGTCTTACATTTAGGTCTTTTATCCATTTTGAGTTGAGTTTTATGTATGGTGTAAGGTAAGGGTCAAATTTCATTCTTTTGCAGTGGCAATCTAGTTTTCCCAGCACCATTTATTGAAGACATTATCCTATCCCCATTTTGTCCTCTTGGTGCCCTTGTTGAGAATTAATTGATCCTATGTGTTTGGACTTATTTCTGGGCTTTCAATTTTGTTCCATTGGTCTATGTTTCCGTTTTTCTGCCAGTACTATAGTGTTTTGATTAGTATAGCTCTATAATATAATTTTAAATCAGGAAGTGTGAGGCCTCAAACATTTTCTCTCAGTATTGCTTTGGCTATTCTAAGTATTTTGTGGTTCTATATTAATTTCAGGATTTTTTTCTTTATTATTTTACTTAGAGACAAGACCTTGCTCTGTTGCCCAGGCTGGAGTGCAGTAGCATGATCATAGCTCACTGCAACCTTGAACTCTTAGGCTCAAACAATCCTCCTGCCTCAGCTCCATGGTATGTGGGACTGCAGGCATGCACCACCACACCCAGCTAATTTTTAACTTTTTTTTCTTTAAGAGACAGGGTCTTGTTATACTACCCAGGCTTTTTTTTTTTTTTTTTTCTATTTCTGTGAAGAATGTCCTTGGGAATTTTGATAGGCACTGTATTAAATCTGCATATTTCTTTAGGTAATACAGACATTTGAACAATATTAAATTTTCCCATCCATGAATATATGTATTTATTTGTGTCTTCTTTGATTTCTTTCATCAGTTTTATAGTTTTCAGTGTATCAATCCTTCATGTCCTTGACTAAATTTGTTCCCAGATATTTTAAGTTTGTTTTTTCTTTTTTTTTTTTTTTGACAGTCTTGCTCTGTCACCCAGGCTGGTGTGCAGTGGTACAATCTTGACTCACTGCAACCTCTGCCTCCTGGGTTCAAGCAATTCTCCTGCCTCAGCCTCCTGAGTAGCTGGGATTACAGGCGCCTGCCACCACACCCTGCAATTTTTTTGTATTTTTAGCAGAGATAGGGTTTCACCATGTTGGTCTTGAACTCCTGACCTCGGGTGATCCACCCACCTCGGCCTCCCAAAGTACTGGAATTACAGGCATGAGCCACCGCACCTGGCCAGATATTTTAGTTTGTGATGCTGTCGTAAATGTGACTGGTTTCTTGAATTCTTTTTCAGCTAGAAAAAGAATTGTGTATAGATATGCTACTGATTTTTTTGTATGTTGATTTTGTATCCTGCAACTTTACTGACTTCATTTATTAGTTACAGTTTTTTGTCAAATCTTTGGGGTTTTCTACCTATAGAATCATGTCATCTGCAAATAGAGATAATTTTACTTCTTCCTTTTCAACTTGGATGTTTTTCTTTCTTTTTCTTGTCTGATTGCTCTTGCTAGCAAGCACTTGCAGTACTATGTTGAATAGAAGTGGTGAATGTGAGCATCCCTGCCTTGTACTGGATCTTAGTGGAAAAAGTTTTCAGTTTTTCCTTGTTGGTTATGTTGTTAGCTGTGAGGTCTTTGTAAACTGCCTTTATTATGTTGAGGAACTTTCCTTCTATACATAGTTAAGTTTTCATTAAGAAAGGATACTGAACTTTGTCAAATGTTTGTCAATTAAGATAATTATGTATTTTCTCTTTCATTCTGTTAAGATAATGTATCACACTGATTGATTTGTGTATGTCAAACCTGCTTTGCATGCCAGAGATAAATCTCACTTTGTCTTGATGTACAATCTTTTTGTGTTGTTGAATTCAGTTTTCTAATATTTTATGAAGGATTTTCGCATCAATGCTCATCAGAGATGCTGGCCTGAAGTTTTCTTTTCTTGTCTTGTGTTTTTGTCTGGCTTTGGTATCAAGATGATGCTGGTCTCATAAAATATGTTTGGAAGTATTCCCTCTAGCTCTATTATTCGGAAGTCTTTAAGAAGTATTGGTGACAATTCTTCTTTGTATGTTTGTAGAAATCAACCACGAAAGCCATCTGGTCCTGAGATTTTCTTCACTGGAAGGTTTTTAATTGCTTCTTCAATCTCTTCACTTGTTATTCTGTTCAAGCTTTCTATTTCTCATCAATTCAATCTTGGTGGGTTATACTTTTCTAGGAACTTATCCATTTCTTCTAGGTTATACAATTTGTTGGCATATAATTATTCATAATAGTCCCTTATGATTCCTTTTATTTCTGAGGCATCTGTTGGAATGGCTCCACTTTCATCTCTGATTTTATTTGAGTCTTCTTTTTTCCTTAGTTTAGCTAGGGGTTTGCTGATTTTGTTTATTTTTTCGAAGAACTAACTCTTGGTTTTATTGAGTTTTTCCTATGGTTTTTCTGTTCTCTATTTGATTTTTTCTGTTCGAATCTTTATTTCCTTCCTTCTGCTAACTTTGGATTTAGTTTGTTCTTCTACTGGCTCCTTGAGATGTAATGTTAGGCTATTTATTTAGGGTATTTCTTTTTCCTTTTTTTTTTTTTTTGAAACAGTCTTACTCTGTTGCCCAGCCTGGAGTGCAGGGGTGTGATCACAGCTCACTAGAGCTTCGACCTCTGGGCTCAAGCGATCCTCTCACCTCAGCCTCCCAAGTAGCTGGGACCACAGGCCTGTGCCACCATGCTGGGCTGATCTTTTTATTTTTTGTAGAGACAGGGTCTCCTTATATTGCCCAGGCTGGTCTTGAACTCCTGGGCTCAAAGGATCCTCCCGTTTCAGCTTCCCAAAGTGCCATGATTAGAGGAATGAGCCACTGCACCTGGCCTGGGGTCTTTCTTCTTTTTTAATATAGGCATTTATTGCTATAAACTTCCCTCTTAGATTGCTTTTGATATTGTGTTTCCATTGTCATTTGTCTCAAGATATTTTTTATCACTTGATGTTTTTAACATGACATCAAAGACATCCATTTCAAGTTGAAACCAACTACTCACAATTGAAAAGCTTGGATACGCTCTCACAGTATATTAATACAAACTGAAGATAGAGGTCATTATACTAAAACTCAGAGCAAAAAACTGTGATGAACTTTTCTGTTTTTAGTAAGGTTGTTTTATATTATTCTTCGGTATTTCAGGAGTCAGTTTGGGGTAATAAATAAAGACTGATAACCATTATATACACAAGCAGCTCACAAAACAATGACAAGTGGTACCTGGTGCATTGTCCTTACCCCTGCTTGCAGTCCCTCCCCACATGATCACCTCAGCCTTAGTTCTGGGGCCTACTCAGTAGAAGAAAACATTTTAGGCCGGGCACGGTGGCTCATGCCTGTAATCCCAGCACTTTGGGAGGCCAAGGTGGGTGGATGACGAGGTAAGGAGTTTGAGACCAGCCTGGCCAACATGGTGAAACTCTGTCTCTATTAAAAATACAAAAATTAGCCCGGTATGGTGGCACATGTCTGTAATCCCAGCTACTTGGGAGGCTGAGGCAGGAGAATTGCTTGAACCCAGGAGGCAGAGATTGCAGTGAGCCGAGATTGTACCATTGCACTCCAGCCTGGGCGACAGCAGCAAGATTCTGTCTCAAAAAAAAAAAAGAATGAAAAAATTTTGGATTCTATATTGCTGAGGCTTAATGCATACATATGCCAACCTGTTTGGGAAAAAAGTAGTAGTAGAACTTGACATTAAGTAAAATATGTTTATTATTTAGTTATAAATTAAAAATATGTATTTTCTATTGTTAATAGATTGTTCTTATACCACTAAATATATAAACCATTGGAAATTTTCAGTATTGTATAATTACAATGGTAAATGAGAACAGAGTAGAAACACAGTTGATTGAAAAGATGAAAAAGGACAAGATTATAAAATGCTGTAAGGCTGGGCAGCGTGGCTCACACCTGTAATTCCAGCACTTTGGGAGGCTGAGGCGGGCAGGTCACGTGAGGTCAAGAGTTCGAGACCAGCCTGGCCAACATGGTGAAACCCTGTTTTTACTAAAAATACAAAAATTAGCAGGGCATTGTGGCAGGCTCCTATAATCCCAGCTACTCGGGAAACTGAGGCAGGAGAATCACTTGAACCCAGGAGGTGGAGGGTTCCATGAACTGAGATTGCACCATTGCACTCCAGCCTGGGTGAAAAGAGCAAAACTCTGCCTCAAAAAAAAAAAAAAAAAAAAATTGTGTGGCATTTCACTCTGAAATGTTAAGACATAAAGCAGATTTATCCATCCACATGAAAGCAGAAATAGAAATGAAAGCTGTTAATAGAAGCAGAAAGTCAAGACCATCGCTGCCTATTACCATGTTATGGGATCGTCACATGGAACCTCACATGGAAAATGAGATGGGGGAGGGAGGGACAAAGTGTTTCAACCACTGAGGATGCTGGGGAGACACAGGATGTTCACTTGATGATATTGTTCCTATTTTGGCAAAAACAATTGTAATCAAGTAATAAGGCACTCAGATTATTATGGCAAGTAAGTATTAAAATAATTTAATAATCTGTATTATTTTAGCTATTATTTAACAATAGTTAACATATTAATGGCTCTTTTTTTATTTACTTTAGCATTTATTTTTATAACATTTTTATATGTAATATTATTATATACTACATATAAGTATATATCGTAAGTATAATATATATGTGAGTAGGTATATACATAGTGTTTTCAAATTGCCATATTTATGTTCTTATTGATTGAAGCTGAATCAACTATTGCGCATGTCCATAAGCTTTCAGAATCTGTTTGTTGATAAAATACTACACATGAAGCTTTAATCATCTTGCACTGATGTTACCAATAAGTTACAGTTACATATTTATGAAGTTATGTTGACATACGTAATTGTGGTTGTGTCTGCATCCTCACGATAAAACCTACGTTCTGTCATTGAAAATTAGGCCATGAGTGAAGTCTGGGAGCTCAGGGAGAGCCAAGGCAGCTAGAGCTCTGCAGAGCACGTGCCTTCTTGCTCTCAGCTGCCTGCTGGTTACCTTTACCTGTACCTGCCCTAGCAAACTCTCCTAAGTGGAGAATGAGGCCTGGGTCTCTTGACAATTAAAGCTTTGCTCTGTTCTTGGACTAAATCCAGACATAACCACGTCAGGCTCCTCATCTGCTGGGAAGCAGATTGCACTGGATTTCACAGTCACGGAAAACTTTTGACTGTGTGTACCTCCAGCAATGAGAAGCAGAGAGGGCTAGGTTGACGGTCTCAAACTGGCACCGGGGAGCCCCGTGACTGGGTTTTAAGGGTGTGTGAATGAAGATTAAAATCTTGTTTGATATTAACATGGGTTCAGTTTTTTTTTTTAATGTCACTAAGCCATGCTGTAGAGCCCTTCTGGAAGGACTTAGGTGGGACAAAGAGCCAGAGTCCACAACTTCTGTATTGTTCACAGGGCCCTAGTGCATCCTGGGAAGTTTCTCTGGCACCGGAGGTGAGTTTTCCTAGGTAGGAAAGTGAAGGTTGCAGGAAAGAAGAAATTATAAGGCTATATTATAATGTGATGTGGAAGTAGAAAGCTACTTTGCTCTGTAACCTAAAAGGAGTCATTAGATTATTTGCTGCTATGAGTTCATTTTCTAGGGGTACTTAATAATCATGAAAGTGCAGGGAGAAAAACATTTTTAAGTAAGCCTTCTCAGTGAAGTGACCTTTCTCCCCAGGACTGTATTCTTTTTACCCCTCTGCCATGTTAACAGCATGCAAACCATATTTACATTTTTACTTAGTTAACTCATAGTCTGTTTTCTTAAATATCCTTGTTAAAAGTGGTAGCTGTTCACATTCCTTTGGGGAACAGCATTTCTCTAAGAAATGTTTATAGGTTTTAGCCAGACATAGTGGCTCATGCCTGTAATCCCAGCACTTTGGAAGCCAGAGCAGGTAGATCACTTGAGGTCAGGAGTTCAAGACCAGCCTGGCCTACATGGCGAAACTCCACCTCTACTAAAAAGAAAATACAAAAAAAAAAAAAAAAAGAAAAGAAAAGAAATGTTTATAGGTTTATTTAACAATGTGAAGTAGTCCTGGGAAGTTGTACTTTGAGCAAGGTCCGCAAGCAGGATGCCTGCACTTCTCCAGTCATGCTCCAGCACCAGGTCGGAAGCTGTCTACATGCGGGGATGGACCCTGGCATCCTGGGCTCACAAGGATAGGGCCCTGAATATGGACTTAGCAGAACAAAGTTGGGAAGGCAGCTGCACCCACCCTGAGTGCCTCCCGTGGTACGTGCCCTTCACAGTTCCTGGTGGGGACACTCAGCCACCAGCTTCATGGCTGGACGCAGACGACACAATGCCAGGAAAAAATTCAAAAGCCCCATTACCCTTTCTAATGCCTAGATAAAATAGATGTCTAATAAAAACCTGCTAATAATCATTTATTGTTTGTTTATATACAATAGAAACCTCTTTTATAATGGGTGTGGGATAAGGATGATGATGGCCTATGGGGCTCCCTGTCTTACAGCCCTTGTCCTCGGGCCATGATTTGACCTCAGAATGACGGTGACTCTAGCAAGGCACTGGGGAGCCAGACTCTGCTGCATTTGTGTGCAAATCCCCTACGAGTTTCAAATGGCTCCACGCATCAACAAAACCTCTTAGTTCTTAAGAAAAGGAGACAGAAGAGATTTGGACACTGAAGAGAAACACAGCCATGCCTGAGCTCCCTGCTGGTAGGAAAATGTGTGCCTAAGGTTGCTTTTCTCTCAGGTTTCCATATTTTTGTTTCCTCTTGCGGAGCTGCCGCTGGAGCTGGAGCTTGTTGGTGAAGAACAGCTGTCTCCAGCCTGTGTCCTCCGCCAGGGCCCTCACGTCAGGAGTGATGGTGTCGCAGGTCGACTGGACTATCTGTTCCCACAGTTTATCAGACATGCACAGCTGTGGGTGGGAAAAGTCAGAGGTGGGTTACAGCACACATGTGTTAACTCATTATCAAACTCTTGCTGCCTGTGGGACACTGGAGAAACACTACCTGTGCCAGACACAGGTCCTGCCTTGAGAAACCTCCTCTTTGAGGAAAACAGCCAGACACAAATATGTAAGTGCACATATATCTAAAGGACATACCCTTCTGCACACACTTAAACTTCCCAGTGACGGCAGTAGAAAGAACATCCTCCTACCAACACCAGGCAACACAACACTCCCTCGTGCAAGGGAAAATGTGTTATTCTCCACCTTCACCCCCACCCCACTGCGGCCAAGTCCCATCAGTCACTGTCAACATCTGGATGAAGTTTGTTGCCTCTAGTTAATTCCAATTCATCTCTATTTATCTATGTATGTATTTATTTATTTTTATTTTTATTTTTGAGATGGAGTTTTGCTCTTGTTGCCCAGGCTGGAGTGCAATGGCGCAATCTCGGCTTACTGCAATCTCTGCCTCCTGGGTTCAAGTGATTCTCCTGCCTCAGCCTCCCAAGTAGCTGGGATTACAGGCATGCGCCACCACACTGAGCTAATTTTGTATTTTTAGTAGAGACAGGGTTTCTCCATGTTGGTCAGGCTGGTCTTGAGCTCCCGACCTCAGGTGATCTGCCCACCTTGGCCTCCCAAAGTGCTGGGATTACAGGCGTGAGCCACTGTGCCCAGCCTTATCTATTTTTTTATCTATCTATTTATTTTTTTTAGACAGAGTCTCACTCTGTTGCCCAGGCTGGAGTGCAGGGGTGCGATCTCGGCTCACTGCAACCTCCGCCTACTGGGTTCAAGTGATTCTGCTGCTTCAGCCTTCCAAGTAGCTAGTACTACAGGTGCACACCACCATGCCTGGCTAATTTTTGTATTTTTTTTTATAGAGACAGGTTTTCGCCACGTTGATCAGGCTGGTCTCGAAGTCCTGACCTTGTAATCTGCCTGCCTCAGCCTCCCAGAGTGCTGGGATTACAGGCGTGAGCCACCGTGCCCGGCCGGAAGTTGTATTTATAACTTTCTCCCTCTACCATCACCCCATCTTCTGTCTGTCTTTAGCCAGCACTTCAGCTCATCAAGATGCTACCCCTGGTGATGTGATCCAAACCTTCTCCAATTCCTGCAAGGTGTGAGCACTTCTTGGTCTTGAAAGTAGAAGATGTTCTATTCTTCTATTAACTTTTGCCACTGCACACCATAAAAAAAGAATGAAACCATGTCCTTGCAGCAGTGTGGATGCTGCTGAAGGCTGTTATCCTAAGCAAAGTAACACAGAAATGGGAAACCAAATAGCGCACATTCTTACTTGTAAGTGGGAGCTAAATCTTGGGTTCACACAAACATAGGCATGATTGCTGTCCCCTCATAATGGAGCACCAGGGCAGCCTCCCTGGCCCATACCCAGCTTCCCCCTGCCCATCCTACCTCCTATCCCAAACAGCACCAGCCCTGGCCAGCCCTGTTGTGCTGTGCCCCCCTGTGTCCTGACTTCCTCCTGGGGAGGAAGAAATGTGTAAGTGTGACCTCTACCTCCTGACACCACTACGTTCACTTCTGAACAGAAAGCAGTCACCACTCCTTCCTTCCATACTTCATGATCTTCTAAAAGTACTCCAATAAGGGAAGAGAATGAATTACAAATAGAAATGAATAGTACAATAAGGCATAATTGCTTAAGATCCTTTCTGCGCAAACATCAACACAACAGCTATTATAGTCACATAATGGTTATTGCTAAACAGCAACACTGAATCATATGATATCTACAGACCTTAAAGCATTTTGATGTTAGAAGGGTCACTCATTATCTTATCTCTCCTTCAACAGTCCTTCAAGGTTTAGTTCCTCTACTCAGATTACAACCTATTCTAAATATAAACAAAGGAAAACTTTAAAAATGTCTTAATATGAAAAACAGATCATTTGACCTTCCTTTAAAAGATCTGAACTCCAGCACCAATGTGGATTACTATCCCATTACTAGCACAGTACATTTCAGGATATCAATGTGTCTTGTAATAGAGATTATGGGTGGAAACTACAAGATTTGGGGGGAAAGGAAATAATTCTCAAAAGAGCTAAAATTTCCACTAGTATAACTTCATTTATGACTCATCAAATTTTATACTGAAAATATTTACAGTTTTGTTTTATATTATAAGTTCGTGTACAAAATACCCCCATCTATGACTCCCAAACCCTGACGATCTTTTGCTTAGTAGTTGCCAGGTTGCAAAACGAAAGGTTCTATAGTTTTGGCTACTCAGATCCAAAGCCCAGCTAACCATGGATTTAGCGCCCCCCGGTGGTGGTGCATGAATTTTGCATACATAAATTGTCAAGTTGAAGAGAATCTTAGGGCTTATCTATTTAAAACCTCTCCCTTTGCAAATAGGAAAACCAGGGCTGAGAGAAGAGAAGGGAGAAGGATGCTGTTCCAGGTTCATGCTGGGGAGTGGCTGAGCGAAGAACAGAACAGAACCCAGCTCTCCAGCCTCCTGCTTATTTAAACACACCACACTGCCTGCGCAGTGATGCTAGGAGATCTCCTCCCGCAAGCTTCCAGCCTTCTAGAGTCCCCTGAGACATTTGATCTGTACAACCTTAATATCGATTGGTCAAATTCTTGGGCCAGGATGAGCACAGTGGCTCATGCCTGTAATCCCAGCACTCTGCGAGGCCGAGGTGGGTAGATCACTTGAGGTCAGGAGTTTGAGACCAGCCAGACCGACATGGTGAAACCCTGTCTCTACTAAAAATACAAAAATTAGCCAGGGGTGGTGGCAGGCTCCTGTAATCCCAGAACTTTGGGAGGCCGAAGGGTGGATTATTTGACATCAGGAATTCGAGAACAGCCTGGCCAACATGGTGAAACTCTGTCTCTACTAAAATACAAAAATTAGCCAGGTATGGTGGCATGCGCCTGTAGTCCCAGCTACTTGGGAGGCTGAGGGAGAATCGCTTGAACCTGGGAGGTAGATTGCAGTAAGCCAAGATTGCTTCACTGCACTCCAGCCTGGGCAACAGAGCGAGACTCTGTAACAAAAAAAAAAAGAAAATTGTTGGACCAAACCCTTAGAATCAGGTTGCTGTAAACACAAGAAAACACATTAAGAGCACAAGTGCTGGTTCCACCTCAGATCTACCAAGCCAGATGCTCAGGGGATGGGCCTGGCATCTGTGTTTCCACCTGTGCCCCAGGGGCTTCACCTGCTTGGCCAGACATGGGAATTATGATCATAGAGGGTTTGTAGACATGAGGAAAAAATCTCTCTCTCCACAGCCAACAAAGGACAGAGGAGTGGTTTTCTTCCTAAGTGGTTCTCCCGGTGATTCCTGAGTCACAATCAGGATGAATGTGTTTATATGCCTGTCATGACCATCTCTTTCCCGGCCTGGGCCTCAGCCTTCTCATCTAGCTGCACTGGTGGTTTCTCCAGACTTATCTACTGCATTTTGGAGGAAATGGATAGCATCAAGGCCTGGTGCTATCAGGGGCAAGCCACTAGGCACCCCAGGCAGGTGCCCAAATGGCAGCACACCTTGGTGAACTTGTCTCAGTCCGAGACTGGCCCCACCCTGACAGGTGTGGAGCTCTACTTTCCAGTATGCTGGTTGCTCATCCACAGCTCCAGGCTGCAGGCTCCAGGCCTTGGTCAACATAGAATCAGAGCAAAGGCAGAAAGCTGGATGATCCTGATTGCTGGTGGCATTAAGTATAACTGGATACTTCCATCCTCAACTGTGGAATAGCACCATGGACTCCCTGGGCTGGGGTGCCTTTCACAGAGTCCCTACACAGTCTGGCTCTTGGGAATGTGTCTTTATGCTTCTAAGGCAGAAGCGATACTACGGCGTCAGGTCTGGCCGTGGGAGCCTTTCTGTCTCGTAGAGGTGACCCTGCACACCGCACTCTTAACAGGCTCCATGAAAACAACACCTTGACCATGTGCCTGCAGATCTGCCTGCTACTCCCCAGCCCCTCCCACTTCATTCCCAGCCATATTCTTCCTTTGCTCTGCTCAAGAATGTAAGCTCCTTAAAGGCAGGGACACGTGCATCTTTTCACCTTCAAGTCCCCAGAACCTACCACTGTGTCCGGCCCACAGCAGGGGCTCAGTAATTACATACTGACTGCACAGAGCCCTGAAGTGTATCCATATATCACTCGGTCCAGCAGTCGGGTGCCTGAGGGAAACTCCCTGGCCATATGACCTCGGGCACATCAGTTAGACTTGCTGAGTTTTAGCTTCCTTATGAATAGGATGGCAGGGCGCAGTGGCTCACGCCTGTAATCCCAGCACTTTGGGAGGCCAAGGCAGGCAGATCACCTGATGTAAGAAGTTAGAGACCAGCCTGACCAACATGGCGAAACCCCGCCTCTACTAAAAATACGAAAATTAGCTGGGCATGGTGGCATGCGCCTATAGTCTCAGCTACTTGGGAGGCTGAGGCAGGAGAATTGCTTGAACCCAGGAGGCAGAGGTTACAGTGAGCCAAGATTGTGCCAGCCTAGGCAACAGAGCAAGAGTCTGCCTCAAAAAAAAAAAAAAAAAACTAAAATAAAATAAAATAGAATGAGGATAATAATAGTATCTACATCTAAAGATTTCTATGAGAACTAAATAAAAAATGTAATTAGAAAACTTAGTGGAATGCTAGACATACAGTAGGTGCTCAATAAATGTTCTTATGGGCTGGGCGTGGTGGCTCACATCTGTAATCTCAGTACTTTGGGAGGCCGAGGTAGGCAGATCACTTGAGGTCAGGAGTTTAAGATCAGCCTGGCCAAAATGGTGAAACCCCATCTCTACTAAAAATACAAAAATTAGCCAGGTATGGAGGAGGACACCTGTAATCCCAGCTACTCAGGAGGCTGAGGCAGGAGAATCACTGGAATCTGGGAGGCGGAGGCTGCAATGAACGAAGATTGTGCCACTGCACTCCGACCTGAGTAACAGAGTGAGACTCCATCTCAAATAAATGAATGAATGAATAAATGAATGAATGAATGAATGTTATAGTCTGTGACCCAAGGTACATACTTATTTCCTTTTTTCCATATGCATGGAGGCGCATATTATAGTCCCAGTATACTACCTATATCATGCATATTTCAATATATTTCTTTGAGTATTTTAAATAGTTACACTTAGCAATTTTTTCTACAGATAAACATGCAATGCAAATTGTATATAAAGTATGGAGCATCATTTATAAATACAGAGGGTAAACAAAAAATCTGGTTAAATAAATTATCTTCACTGTGTGTGGTGGCTCACACCTGTAATCCCAACACTTTGGAAGGCCGAGGCAGGAGGACTGCTTGAGCCCAAGATTCGAGACCAGCTAAGGCAAGATAGCAAGACCCAGTCTCTACAAAAAACACAAAAATTAGCCGGGTGTCGTGGTGTGCACCTGTAGTCCCAGACATTTGAGAGGCTGAGGTGGGAGGATTGCTTGAGCCCAGGAGGTGAAGGCTGCAGTGAGCTGTGTTTATGCCACCACACTCCTGCCTGGGTGACACAGCAAGATGACCCTGTCTCAGGAAAATAAATAAATAAATAAATAAATAATCTGTCCATGCGCTGATATCCTATGGCAATTTTTTTAAATGGAGGAAGATTGATAGGTACTGATGTTTTATTTTATTTTTGAGATGGAGTTCCACTCTTATTGCCAAGACTGGAGTGCAATGGGTCAATCTCGGCTCACTGCAAACTCTGCCTTCTGGGTTCAAGCGATTCTCCTGCCTCAGCCTCCCAAGTAGCTGGGATTACAGGTGTGTGCCACCATGCCCAGCTAATTTTGTATTTTTAGTAGAGACGAGGTTTCACCATGTTGGTCAGACTGTTCTCAAACTCCTCACCTCAAGTGATCCACCTGCCTCGGCCTCCCAAAGTGCTGGGATTACAGGTGTGAGCCACCATGCGTGGCCAGTACTGATATTTTAAAAGTGTCTAAAATATGTTGTGAAGTAGAAAAAAAAACAGATGGAGAACAATATATAATATGTTACTACATGCTTTTTAGAAGGGTGTGTGTACCGGTATATGTACTTGCACATCCCACACACATATGGTTCTACATGTGTAGAATATCTCCGGAAGGACATGCAAAACACAGTTAATATGGTTGCCACTAGAGATGAGAATCAGAGGAATGAGGGTCAGGACTGGGAGGGGCAATAACTTTTTAGTTTATATACAAGGATACATAATTTTTAAACATTTCCAATCTGACCATTGCAATGGATGTCAACTTTCTTTTTCAAAAATATAAACAAAATTGATATGGAAGCATTCAACCACCGTTTTCTGGGAGGTAACTCTGGGCTAGACACTCTGTTAAGGTGGGTATATGAAGTTAGGTGACACAATCCTTGCCCTTGAGCTTGGCAGAGAGACAAGTCAAGGGGGTGGGGCAAGCAAGCACAAAAGCCAATCAAGGGGCATTTGGGAGATCCAGGTGGTGGTTGAGTCAGGAGGAGAATATTCCTGGAAAAGAGAGCAGTGTTAAGCAAAGGCAAAAGGCACAGTAGAGCACAGCACACAGAGAGCTGCAAGGAGCTGACCTGGCTGGGGCAGAGGGTGGCAGGAGGCAGGGCAAGGGCCCCGTGGCTGTGCTGGCTACGACTGTGGACCTCATTCTGAAAATGACAGGAAGCCATTAAAGGCCAGTGAGCAGGACAATGGCATGACCAGAGTACAATGTAAAATGGCCACCCTGAGCTCACATGGACAAGCAATCACTGAAGCAATGAAGGGGTTCCCAGGAGAAAACCCACCAGAGTCCTGGAAGCAGAGATGAGTCAAGAAGCAGAAGACTTGGTTGGGCATGGGTGGCTCATGCCTGTAATCTCAGCACTTTGGGAAGCCAAGGCAGGCGATTACCTGAGTTCAAGAGTTCAAGACTAGCCTGGCCAACATGGCGAAACCCTGTCTCTACTAAAAATACTAAAAATTAGCCGGGTGTGGTGGCACATGCTTGTAGTCCCAGCTACTTGGGAGGCTGAGGCAGGAGAATCAGTTGAACCTGGGAGGTGGAGGTTGCAGTGAGTTGAGATCACACCACTGTACTCCAGCCTGGGCAACACAGCAAGACTCCGTGTCAAAAAAAAAAAAAGAAGAAGAACACCTGAAACAGGCCCTTTTGATACAACAAACACAAGGTTGTTGTGAATGTGCCAGAGATATTTTGCAGGCATGGACCGAGGGGAAAATGAAAGAGGAGCTGTAGGCTGACATTAGACTAACACCTCTCAGAATTTTGGGTTATCCTAAGACCAGTGAATTTTTTAAAAGGCAGAACAAAATAAAATGATAATAAAGAACAAAAATAAGGTTGCTGCTGACTTTCACATTTTGTCAAATAAGAACAATTTTTAAAGTGATCATGTATTATTGCCACCACTTCATAAAAAAAAGAACTTTTTTTTTTTTTTTTTTTTTTTAAGACGGAGTCTTGCTCTGTAGCCTGGGGTAAAGTGCGGTGGCCCGATCTTGGGTCACTGCAATCTCCGCCTCCTGGGTTCAAGCGATTCTCTTGCCTCAACCTGAGTAGCTGGGACTATAGGCGCATGCCACCACACCTGGCTAATTTTTTGTATTTTTGGTAGAGACGGGGGTTTCATCATGTTGGCCAGGATGGTTTTGATCTCCTGACCTCGTGATCCATCCGCCTCGGCCTCCCAAAGGTGTGAGCCACTGTGCCCAGCCAAGAAGGAATATTTCAACCCTCCCCAAAATAGGAAAGATCTAACATCCACTGAAAGACGGTCATTTAAATAAAACAAGTTTAGCTTTATCAAAAACTTTATATCATCCTTATTATTCTCATTTCATCATGGGTTATAAAGTCACTAATGCTGCTGGTTTGCTGAGCATTAACTGCTATGTAAACCATTTTTGAAGAAGAGAGATTGGATAAGGATAGTTTTTGTTTTTTGAAGGATGAAACTGATTTGAGAAAAAAATTAATGCCGGGCATGGTGGCGCATGCCTGTAATCCTAACACTTTGGGAGGCTGAAGCAGGAGGATTGCTTCAGCCCCAAAATTCAAGACCAACCAGCGCAAGATGGCAAAACCCTGTCTCTACAAAAAATACAAAAATTAGCTGGGTATGGTGGCGCAGGCCTGTAGTCCCAGCTACCCAGGAGGCTGAGGTGGAAGGATCACTTGAGCCCAGGGGGTGGAGGTTGCAGTGAGCTGTAATCATGCCATTGCACTCCAGACTGTGTAACAAAGCAAGACCCTGTCTCAAAAAGGAAAAAAAAAAAATTAACGTACGGGGGGGAAAAAACAGAGAAAGATTTAATTACTAAATGCAGTGTAGTAAGCTAGATTGGACATAAAACAGCAAAAGGACATTATTGAAAAAACTAATGAAATTCTAATAACATCTGTATTTTAGTTAATAGTGTTGTACCAATATTAATTGCCTAGTTTTTATAAATGTACCATGGTTATGTAAGATGTCAACATGGGGGAAGCTGGGTAATTAAAAGTTAAAAAAAAAATAACAATAGGCCGAGCAATGGCTCATGCCTGTAATCCCAGCACTTTGGGAAGCTGAGGCAGGCTGATCACTTGAGGTCAGGAGTTCGAGACCAGCCTGGCCAACGTGGTAAAACCCCGTCTCTACCAAAAATACAGAAATAAAATAAAATAAAATAAAATTAGCCAGGTGTGGTGGCTTGCACTTGTAATTCCAGCTACTCAGGAGGCTGACGCATGAGAATCGCTTGAACCTGGGAGGCGGAGATTGCAGTTAGCAGAGATCATGCCACTGCACTCCAGCCTGGGTGATGGAGTGACTTTGTCTCTTAAAAAAACAATAATAGTAACAATAACAAACAGAAGAGAAAGGAAATAAGTGAAATTCCCAGGAGTAGGCCCTGGAACCACGTGTCAGGTAGCACTGATCTTGAGCAGGAGAGGAGCAACTCCCTCCCTGAGGTAAAGAGGAAGGAGCTGGACTGGACACAAATAATTTGGTAATAAACTTGTCCCCCGGAATTTGAAAAGGAAGCCTTTTTTTCATTAATAAAGTAGTTAAATGAAAATAACTTATAAGGTTGGGCATGGTGGCTCATGCCTGCAATCCCAGCACTTTGGGAGGCCGAGGCAGGTGGATCACCTGAGGTCAGGAGTCCAAAACCAGCCTGGACAACATGGCGAAACCCCGTGTCTACTAAAAATACAAAAATTAGCCAGGCACAGTGGTGGGTGCCTGTAATCCCAGCTACTCGGGAGGCTGAGGCAGCAGAATTGCTTGAACCCAGGAGGCAGAGGTTGCAGTGAGCCGAGATGGTGCCATTGCACTCCAGCCTGGGCAACAGAGCGAGACTCTGTCTCAAAAGAAAAAAAAAGAAAAAAGAAAAAGAAAATAACTTATAAATGAAGTGTGTAACAGGTAAATGGAACAGAGATAAAACTTAGATTGACAACAGAAATAAGTGGTTTTCCTTCTTTCCCTGTGTGCAAATAAGAAAAAAAGTGGTTGGCTGGGTGCAGTGGCTCACGCCTGTAATCTCAACACTTTGGGAGGCTGAGGTAGGTGGATCACTTGAGGCCAGGAGTTCAAGACCAACCTGGCCAACATGGTGAAACCCAGTCTCTACTGAAAATGCAAAAATTAGCCAGGCATGGTGGCAAGCACCTGTAGTCCCACCCAGCTACTCAGGAGGCTGAGGCAGGAGAATCCCTTGAACCCAGGAGGTGGAGGTTGCATGAGCTGAGATCTCACCACTGAACTCCAGCCTGGGTGACCGAGCGAGACTCTGACTCAAAAAAAAAAAAAAAAAAAAAAGAAAAGTGGTTAATGTTATGCGGGGAGAATAAAAGCAGCAGCCCTGAGTCATGTTCCATCTTCTAATAATTCTGCTCTGTAAAGATGCTCAGGGCTGAAATCAGCAACCTAGAGAAGACCTACTTCAGAGCACTGGCTAAATTATGGAGAATGTTTTCAAGACTGCACTGAAATAATAGCAGGACACTAAGAGTGAAAGTAATAGTGGAAGTGAGTAAAACTTGGAGAGAAGGCAGCCGCTCAGCGTGAGAAATAACTACCAGAAGCCACTCACTTGCTGCTGTTTCCTATCAAATCCTTCCATTTACTTGCAGGAGCAGAAATTTACTGAAAGTAAATGGAAGGATTTGATAGAAAATCAAATCCAGGCCCTGCAACAGCGCAGAAACTTTTGCTAGATCCCCACTTGCATATTTTATTTACGTAGAATTCTCTTTTCATTTAAAGTATGAATAATCAGCTGCTGCTGCTTCTTTTTTTTTTTTTTTTTTTTTTTGAGACAGTCTCACTCTGTTGTCCAGGCTGCAGTGCAGTGGTGTGATCTTGGCTCACTGCAACCTCCACATCCTGAGTTCAAGCAGCAATCCTGCCTCAGCCTCCCAACTACCTGGGATTACAGGCCTGTGCCACCAGGCCCAGCTAATTTTTGTATTTTTAGTTGAGATGTGGTTTCCCTATGTTGGCCAGGCTGGTCTCAAACTCCTGACCTCAGGTGATCCACCCACCTCGGCCTCCCAAAGTGCTGGGATTACAGGTGTGAGCCACCGTGCCAGGCCCTAATAATCAGCTTCTTATCAGCACCAAGCACAAAATTTCAACTTTAGGATACTTATTTAATGGCAAAAATATATACAATAGTACTTGTTTTCAGCTTTCCATTTTTAGGTAGGAAAATCAAGTAAAAAATATATTTTGGGGAGCTAAATGATGAGAACTTATGAATACAAAGAAGGAAACAATAGATACTGGTGTCTACTTGAGGGTGGAGGGTGGGAGGAAGAGGAGGAGCAGAAAACATAACTATTGGGTATTGGGTTTAATAATTAACCTGGGTGATTAAATAATCTGTACAAAAAAACCCTGTGACATGAGTTTACCTGTGTAACAAACCTTCACATGTATGCCTGAACCCAAAATATAAGTTAAAAAATACATATATATACATATATATATTTGGACAGGAAGGTGGCTCACACCTGTAATCTCAGCACTTTGGGAGGCTGAGGTGGGAGGATCATTTGAGCCCAGGAGTTCAAGAGCAACCTGGGCAACACAATGAAATCCCACCTCTCTTTTAAAAATTAAATATGTGTGTGTGTGTATATATACACATACATATATATATATATATACATATATATATACACACACACACACTCTCAAAAGGAATATATTAAGTACTATAATACAGATTATATTACTTAAGGCCGGGCGCGGTGGCTCACACCTGTAATCCCAGCACTTTGGGAGGCCGAGGTGGGTGGATCACCTGAGGTCAGGAGTTTGAGATCAGCCTGGCCAACACGGGGAAACCCCGTCTGTACTAAAAATATAAAAATTAGCTGGGCATGATGGTGGGTGCCTGTAATCCCAGTTACTCGGGAAGCTGAGGCACAAGAATCACTTGAACCCAATAGGCGGAGGTTGCAGTCAGCGGAGATCATGCCATTGCACTCTGGCCTGGGCGACAGAGAAAGACTCTGTCTCAAAAAAAAAAAAAAAAAAAATTACATTACTTAAAATTATTTTTGGCCAGGCGCGGTGGCTCACGCTTGTAATCCCAGCACTTTGGGAGGCTGAGGCGGGCAGATCACAACGTCAGGAGATCGAGACCATCCTGGCTAACACGGTGAAACCCCGTCTCTACTAAAAATACAAAAAATTAGCCGGGTGTGGTGGCGGGCACCTGTAGTCCCAGCTACTCGGGAGGCTGAGGCAGGAGAATGGCGTGAACCTGGGAGGCAGAGCTTGTAGTAAGCCGAGATCGCGCCACTGCACTTCAGCCTGGGCGACAGACAGAGACTCGGTCTCAAAAAAAAAAAAAAAAAAAATTATGTTTTTTGAGACAGGGTTTTGTTCTGTTGTCCAGGCTGGGGTACAGTGGTATGAACACAACTCACTGTAACCTCAACGTCCTGGGCTCAAGTGATCCTCCTATTCAGCCTCCAGAGTAACTGGGACTACAGGGGCATGCCATGACACTCAGAAATTCTTTTTTTTTTTTTTTCTGAGACTGAGTTTCGCTCTTGTTGCCCAGGCTGGAGTGCAATGGCACGATCTTGGCTCACCACAACCTCCGCCTCCCGGGTTCAAGCGATTCTCCTGCCTCAGCCCCCCTAGTAGCTGGGATTACAGGCATGTGCTACCACGCTTGGCTAATTTTGTATTTTTAGTAGAGACAGGTTTTCTCCATGCTGGTCAGGCTGGTCTCAAACTCCCAACCTCAGGTGATCCAACCGCCTCAGCCTCCCAAAGTGCTGGGATTACAGGCATGAGCCACCGCGCCCGGCCATAACACTCAGCTAATTTTTTAAAAATGTACTGTGGAGATGGAATCTCCCTATTTTGCCCAAGTTGATCTCAAATTCCTAGGCTCAACCAATCCTCCCTCCTCAGCCTCCCAAAGTGCTGGAATTACAGTCATGAGCCACTGTGCCTGAATTAAAATTAATTTTAAAAATAAAGACATTTTATTGCATTATTGGGAAAAAATGTTGGCTTTTTAGATAATAAGATTATGATTTGAATCATCTTGGAAAATGTTGTATGTTCTTTTATAAATGGACATTGCCCCAACACATTACAGCTAAATACCGAGCTAGTCAGGGTTCCTCAGTTGCAAGCAACAGATTCCCATTCTGATTTACTTAAGCCAAAAAGAGATTTAATGGAAAAGTAGTATGTGTGTGATTGTGGGGTAGCATTGGGGGTTCTGGAGTTGAAGGAACAACAGAAGGGTTAGGGACCAAGGTATCTTCCAGGATCCAGGGAGTACAACTGACAAAGGTCACACTGAAGCCTTGACAATGGCTGAAATCAGCACTAACTGTGCTTCCTGCTCTTGGGTCATTCTGCTGAGGATTTCAAGCAGTGAGACAATGCATCTTGTCAGCTTCGGGCAAGGAAGAAAACAGGACACTGCAATGGACAGCCCACTGAAACACACATATTGGGAGACAGGAAATGCAGCAAAGGCTATTACTAGAAGAAATGGAAACGCGGATGTCAGGTTGTCCTCCTTGCCCTATTCTCTCTCTCTTTTTTTTTTTTTTTTGAGTCAGAGTCTCGCTCTGTCACCCAGGCTGGAGTTCAGTGGCGAGATCTTGGCTCACTGCAACCTCCACCTCCCGGGTTCAAGTGATTCTCCTGCCTCAGCCTCCTGAGTAGCTGGGATTACAAACACCTGCCACCACGCCCAGCTAATTTTTGTATTTTTAGTAGAGATGGGGTTTCCCCATGTTGGCCAGGCTGGTCTCAAACTCCTGACCTCAGGTGATCCACCCACCTCGGCCTCCCAAAGTGCCCTATTCTCTTACGCCACTATGCTTCTGCTTGGTTGTTCCTTGACTTGGAATGCCCCCTAACCCAGATCACCTGTCTTCACCAACTTCACCCTCAAAAGCTAGATAAAGTAACCTGCTTTTGTGAAGCCAGGCAGAGAAAATCACTTTGCACTCTCTTTGTACCTTGCATACACATCCCTTGTTGAACTGATCACGCTGTATTATAATTATTTGCATTTACATGAATCTCTACTATAATACTGTAAGTTCTTTGAGGGGAGGAATGTCATTTCATCTCTGCTGCTTGTGCACCTAAGACAGTGTCCATCACAAAGTTAGTACTCAACAAATGATTGCTATGTTAAAAATTTTTTTTAGAAAGCACATGGAAAATTCTATATAGACATAAAATAATTGACCGTTACCTTTGCAAATCTGTGTGATGTTTGACAAAGCCTGGCAATATCTTCAAGATCCAGATAAGAAATGATAGTCAGGAGCAAATCGTCTGAGAGCCGTTCAAGGAAGTCAAATTTACCTTTGCACAAATTGATGACATAGTCTAATATTCTTGCACCAAATATTAAGGCAGTTTGACCTGTAATTCAAAGAAGCCAACATGGTTATCATATACAGTCACATAAAAATTATAATAACAATCAGTGAAATACAAGCTTCAGGGCATTTTTCCCCTGGGAGTGACGTTAGATGATGCTAAGTCATTCCTACTTTCACCGAGCTGCCTTTGGGACTAACTGAATGCATTTTTGAGGCATCTGTTTCCAATTTCTGTCCCTGCCCTGAGATCAGAATCTTTGAGGGACACTCACTGTTTAACACAGTGATTTCTGCATCCCCTTGATCTCATCAGCACCAAACTCCAGTCTATACCACTAACGTAATTGGTCTTGGCATTACCATTGTACTCATGGCCCCTCCAAGCAGGCAGCTATGTGGAGGAAAAAGATGCTGGTCCACGTGGCTTTTCTGCCAGCCCTGCTACTGTCCATTAGTCTAAAACACATTGTCTCCTAATTTTAGCTGACATTTGATCTCTTATTTAACTTATTTTTTTTTTTTTTAGATGGGGTCGCCCAGGCTGGAGTGCAGTGGTGCAATCGCGGCTCACTGCAGCCTCGACCTCCCAGGCTCAAGCAATCCTCCCATTTCAGCCTCCCAAGTAGCTGGGACTATTGGTGTGTGCCACCATGCCTGGCTATTTTTTTAAATTTTTTTTTAGAGATGGAGTCTTATTATGTTGCCCAGGCTGGTCTAGAACTCCTGGGCTCAAGCAATCCTCCCACCTCGGCCTCCCAAAGTGCTGGGATTCCAGGCATGAGACACCACACCCAGCCTGTTATTTTTATACATTGTGTCTACACCAAACTTTCTTCCTTCTTTACCATCTCCTTTCATCCCTAACTTCATTTGATAGGAAAAAAAAAAAATAGGAACAGGGCTGGGCACGGAGGCTCACCCCTATAATCCCAGCACTTTGGGCAGCCAAGGCAGGCGGATCACCTGAGGTTGGGAGTTCGAGACCCGCCTGACCAACATGGAGAAACCCTGTCTCTAATAAAAATACAAAATTAGCCAGGCGTGGTGGCACATGCCTGTAATCCCAGCTACTCGGGAGGCTGAGGCAGGACAATTGCTTGAACCCGGGAGGCGGAGGTTGCGGTGAGCTGAGATCATGCCATTGCACTCCAACCTGTGCAACAAGAGCGAAATTCTGTCCAAAAAAAAAAAAAAGAAAGAAAGAAAGAGAAAGAAAGAAAGAAAGAAAGGAAGGAAAGAAAGAGAAAAAATATAAAGAGGCAAAGAGAAAAACATGAATATTTCATAAAAATTATTATGATTTTTTTTTGTAGAGACAGGGTCTCACTATGTTGCTCAGGCTGGATGCTTCATAGTATTTTAACTTTTGCCTAATATTTTCTGTACCTGTTCACTTATTTTCAAATTAGGAAATAGTTCATAAAGAATCAACCAATCAATGGCCTATCTAACTATGTTTGATGTAGGAAAAAAGGATTTCCCCCCAGTTCTCTGAATAAACAAGAAATGAAAACTTGTTTGGAAGGATAGATGTTTAAATGTAAACAGTGGTTAAATGTGGTGACTTTTATTTTCTTCCTTTGGCCTATCTGTATTTTCTGATCTTTGTACAATAAACCCATATTACCAGTGTAATTTTTTTAAATATTGGAAAAAAAGACTACCTCTTTTTTTTTTGAGACAGAGTCTTGCTCTGTCACCCAGGCTGGAGTGCAGTGGCACGATCTCAGCTCACTGCAACCTCCGCCCCCTGGGTTCAAGCAATTCTCCTGCCTCAGCCTCCTGAGTAGCTGGGATTACAGGCACCCACCACCATGCCCGGCTAATTTTTGTATTTTTAGTAGAGATGGGGTTTCACCATGTTGGTCAGGCTGGTCTCGAACTCCTGACCTGGTGATCCACCCGCCTCAGCCTCCCAAAGTGCTGGGATTACAGGCATTAGCCACCATGCCCGGCCAAGACTACCTCCTTTTAAGAGAGAGGAAAACAGGGTGATGGTGGGGTATGCATATAGATCACAGGGGCCCCAAAACTGGGGGCTTTGTCAGTTTCTCTTCTCCCCTTCTGACTCTGAAAGCTCCACTATGGAGTCTTCCCAAAAATGGCTCTTAGAAGAGAAAAAGTGCACTCTCTTAGATTCACTGTCCAATATTTGGCGACCACCTTCCCTATTCAACCTGAACCATTCCTTCTGGAGCAAGTAGGACAGAGCTGTCAAGGGCAATAGGCTCCCTGCAGAAGCAGGCGGAACTGTGATCCTAGAAGTTGGGCTCTCTGATTTCAGAATGGATGTAAGGTGTGGGCTGTGTTTATGTAAAAGCCCAATCGTGCCAGCTTAGAAGAGTAGCTATATAAGATTTCTCTCCCAAACAGGTTAGCCTACATTAAGGCATTAATACAGAAATAGAAAATAGAGGCATTAAGGATTTAAGTTGCTTCTGAATTCCAAGTGCTTCCCATTCAAAGCCCCTCTAAAGTACAAGGGCCTTCTTGGGGGGTGAGGAATAGCCCTTTCAAAAACTCAGCATTAAAGAGTAGGTATTGTGAAGATCCTCTGCCCACCAGCAGAAGAAGAAGAAAAAGCAGTGCTTATTTAAAGCCCTTGACATAATTGAAGATAATTTTTGAATACTTTAAAATGACAAGAAAACATGTTCAAAGCATGCTCAAATATACTTTAGAAAGTCTCCACCAATAAAGTATTTAAAGTGTAAAAGTTGGCCAGGCGCAGTGGCTCACGCCTGTAATCCCAGCACTTTGGGAGTCTGAGGAGGGTGGATCACGAGGTCAGGAGATCGAGACCAACCTGGCTAACACAGTGAATCCCTGTCCCTACTAAAAATACAAAACAAAAAGAAAAAAAAAAAATTAGCCGGGCGTGGTGGTGGGCGCCTGTAGTCCCAGCTACTCAGGAGGCTGAGGCGGGAGAATGGCGGAGGTTGCAGTGAGCTGAGATCGTGCCACTGCACTCCAGCCTGAGTGACAGAGCCAAACTCCGTCCCTGCCAAAAATAAATAAATAAATAAATAAAGTGTAAAAGTTTTAGGACATGTACAGCTAGGTATGAAATGTGATGGTTTGAAAGTGTAGGTGGTTAGAGTATTTTGAAAAAATACTCTTGCTTTTTTGGTATTTTTAAATGTAACTAACATATATTTCTTTTGAAATTAAAAAAAGTATATTAAAACAAACTCCATTCTGAAACATAAAATCACCGCCTGCCTGTTGGATTATGTGGCAGACAGTCTCCAAGACAGTTTCAGTGACTATCTTTTCCTAAACTTACACCCCCGCATATTTCCATCCCACACTGAATAGGGCTGCCCTATTAACAAAGAGGATATTGCAGAAATGATATTCAAAGGGTAGGTCATCATAAAGGCTTCTGCTTTGCTCTTCGATCACTCACTCTGCGAGAAGCCAACGGCCATGTCCTGACAAGTTCTTTTGAAGTCTTATAGTGGCTGCCCTTAGAGACAATAAATGACCAGTGTTTCCTATTCAGATCTTAGTTACTCTCGTTAGGATTGGGAGGGTCTGGAAGAAAAAGATCTAGCTCTGTTAATAGAGATTCTTTACAGATACAAATTTTCCCCCACAAAGAACAGCTTTGCAGGGCCATTTCAAAATATGGCAAATCAACATGTTTTGGGGTAAAATATGTTGATTTTCTTCTTTGTCTCATAATGTTATGCCAGAGTCAGGTTGGAAAGTAAATTATGATATATAGGGTTAAACAAAACCCATCTGATGAGACTATGATTTGTAGGGCATGACTCCCCAGACCCCTCAGATAGGAATTTGGGCAAGATAAAAAAATCAGAGTTTAGTCCTCACTTAGCAGCACTATGGAGAGGTCCATGAGACAAGAAATTGAAACCTCCTGCCAACAACCACCAGTGATTTCTCAGCCATGTGTATAAGCCATCCTTGAATGGGATCCTCCAGCCCCAATCAAGCCTTCTTCAGATGACTGAGGTGCCATTCAACCCCATGCAAGTCTCCTAATCAGAACCACTCAGTTAAGTTGCTCCCAAATTTCTGGTCCACTGGAACTGTTTGAGATAATAAACAATTATTATAGTTTTAAGTCATTACGTTTTGGGATAATCTGTTACACAGCAATAGATGATAAAGACTTGGGTACCTGCAAGAGATGTGCTGCCACAGTGGAACCTAAAATGTAAGAGTGGCTTTGATATTGAAAAGTCCATAAAAATGTGAATGAGTGTGACGAGAGGGTTGGTGAAAGCCTGAAGAGCCAAGAAGAAACCATTAGTAGAAGTCTAATGGACTCTGAGGTTTTAAAGATGAAGACAAAAGATTAAGTGAGGGCCAGGTGTGGTCGCTCATGCCTGTAATCCCAGCACTTTGGGAGGCCAAGGCAGGCAGATCACTTGGGGTCAGGAGTTCGAGACCAGCCCGGTCAACATGGTGAAACATCATCTCTACTGAAAATACAAAAATCAGCTGGGCATGGAGGCGGGCACCTGTAATCCCAGTTACTTACAAGGCTGAGGCATGATAATTGCTTGAACCCGGGAGGCAGAGGGTGCCGTAGCCAAGACTGCACCATTGCACTCCAGCCTGGACAACAGAGTAAGACTCCACCTCAAAAAAAAAAAAGATTAAATGAGAAAAAAATGCAACTTATGGGTTGTGCCATTTAGCTAAGGAAATGTCCAAGCAGAGCAGGAACATACTGCCTGATTTCTTCTTGATGCTTAAAGTAAAAGATAAGAGAAAAGAGACAAGCTAAAGGAAGGTCTCTTAAAAAGGACACAGGATTTACTGCTTTTGAACATTCTCTGCCTCTTCAGCTGTCAAACAAGCTAAAATTAAGAAGTGACTCTCAGGCAAAGATCAAATCTAGGACAATGGAAGAAAAACATGGTATAAAGAAGAAATTGGAGATGGGGAAAGGTGGCTACAAGATGCTCTGTCAAAAACCATTCAGTCAAACCTTAGGGTTTTCATGAAGCTTAACAGTGTTGTCACTCAAGAGTCAAGAGCAGAAACCCAAGGTAGAGAAGTGCTTATCTCACAGAAATATATAAGTGTGGTTTTCTCTAATGCAGTAGACCCCAATAAGAATTATGGAAAACCCATGATATTTTTAAGAGAATTATGTTGGTAAAAACACTGCCATCCAGCCTGAACTGAAAGGGTCACACGCAGTACAAAAGGAGAAGACTTTGGACCCTCAACCAGCAAGGTAGCTTTCATTCTACAGCTTCTTCTCTTGGCTTGTGCAGGGCTGCCATTTCACTGTGTGCTCACATGACTTCTTCTTTGTGAGCTTAAGGAGACAGGGAGTGAGCCTCTGGTCCGACTTCTAACAAGAACACCAATTCTATCAGATTAGGGCCCCAACTTAAAGACCTTATTTAACCTTAATTACTTCCTTAGAGGCCTCCATGTCCAAATATAGTACACTGGGAGTCAGGGGTTTGACATATGAATTTGAGGGGGGACACATTCAGTTCATAATCCTGGGAAACATTTGGAAATTTTAAACACATTTCTGAATAATTAAGGAGTCAAAGAAGATATTAGGCCAGGCACAGTAGCTCATGCCTGTAATCCCAGCACTTTGGGAGGCCAAGGTGGGCCGATTACTTAAGGTCATGAGTTCTAGACCAGCCTGGCCAAGATGGTGAAACCCCATCTCTATTAAAAATACAAAAATTAGCTAGGCATGGTGGTGCTTGCCTGCAATCCCAGCTGCTAGGGAGGCTGAGGTGGAAGAATTGCTTTGAGGTGGAGGTTGCAGTGAGCCTAGATTGCACCACTGCACTCCAGCCTGGGTGACAGAGTGAGACTCCCAACTCGGGGCGGGGGAGGGGAAAAAAAAGAAAGAAAACCCAAGAGACTGTGACCAGTAAATAAAATGAATTCACTGATTAATTAAGAAAAGGAAACCTTAACTAAAGTTTCAGGTCTATACTGCTTTACAGATTAGCTTTATAAACTCTCAAAGAATTATATACCAATCCATATGGTATACAATTTGTTCCAAAGAATAGAAATAGAAGAACTCCCCAGCTCAAATTAGGAAGTTGTGCAAACCAGCAATGATGGTAGGCAAAAGGAAAACTGTATGCTAAACTTTACTTAGGAACATATGTGGTAAAAATTCTAAACAAAACATTAGGAAATTGAGTTCACCAACATATTAAAAAAGTAAACAAATTTTGACCAGTAGGATTAATCCTGGAATGATCCAAGGATGTTATAACTTTGGTAAATATCTTACAGAATTTGCCATATTAACGTATTTTTTTAGATAACCATCTCAAAAGTATAGAAATTATTTCATATAAATATTTCTAACATCTATTATAAATGAAAACTCCTAGAAAGCTAGTAATAAAAGGGAACATCCTTAACCTGATAACCTGATATACAGAAGTTACTAAAACCCAATAACAGTAACAATAATAATGAATGGTACAAATATGGGTTGGTATCATCTTCAATATTTGCCAGGTACTGCTCTAATATGTATATATATAAAGTGTGTGTGTTATATATATTATACAATATATATAAGATATATCATATATATTATATAATTTAACCCTCACAATGACCCTATTGGATGGGTACTATTATTATTCCCCTCTTATAGAGGAAAAAAAGGAGTTCTGGAATATGGAGAGAACTTAAGAGAGAGAGAGAAACTAGGAAATGAGGAACAGAAAGGATAAGTGGCTGTTCAGGATCACACAATGAGAAAGCGGCAGAACTAGGATTGAACCCAGGGAGTTTGCTCTACAATGCACCCTCCAATCATGATGGTATATAACCTCTAATGTCAGAAATAAGACCAGAATGCCCACTATCACCATCTCTATTCAGCATTGTTTTAGAGGTCACAGAAAGAACAAAACAAGGAAAATATAAAAATACATCATGAGCCGGGTGCGGTGGCTCACGCCTGTAATCCCAACACTTTGGGAGGCCGAGGCGGGTGGATCACGAGGTCAGAAGTTCAAGACCAGCCTGGCCAAGATGGTGAAACCCTGTCTCTACTAAAAATACAAAAAAAAAAAAAAAAAAATTAGCCAGGCGTGGTGGTGGGTGCCTGTAATCCCAGCTACTCTGGAGTCTGAGGCAGAGAACTGCTTGAACCTGGGAGGCAGAGGTTGCAGTGAGCTGAGATCACACCACTGCACTCCAGCCTTGGCTAGAAAGCGAGACTCTGAAACAAACAACAAACAAAATATATCATGGCCGGGCGTGGTGGCTCACGCCTGTAATCCCAGCACTTTGGGAGGCTGAGGCGGGCAGATCACCTGAGGTGGGGAGTTCAAGATCAGCCTGACCAACATGGAGAAACCCTGTCTCTACTAAAAATACAAAATTAGCCAGGCATGGTGGCACATGCCTGTAATCCCAGCTACTCAGGAGGCTGAGGCAGGAGAATCACTTGAAGCTGGCAGGGAGAGGTTGCAGTGAGCCAAAATTGTGCCATTGCATTCCAGCCTAGGCAACAAGAGCTAAACTCCATCTCAAAAAAATAAATAAATAAAAATAAAAATACATCATGATCAGAAAGAAAAACTGCCATTACCACAAAATGATCTGAATGTCAACATACAAAAGTTGACGAAAGTCAAGAAATCCTACTGAAAAAAGATCAGTATCATTTCTTTATATACCAGAAACCATTAACTCAAAATTATAACTTAGTAAGCATTTATCTTTTGGCCAGCAATCTCACACTGAAATGATCTGTGCACACAGTTATTCATTTTGGCATTATCTGTGATACGAAAAGATTGGAAACAACCCAATTTTTATCATTAGAATTTTGATGCCTACATATAAAGAAATATTATATGCAGATAAAGCATATATATGATATGTATATAGTATATGCTTTAGTATAAAGCATATATACTCTATTAAAGCATAAATACTATGCGGTAAAAAAAAAAAAACAAAAAAAAAAAAAAACAGGCCAGCATGGTGGCTCACGCCTATAATCCCAGCACTTTGGGAGGCTGAGGTCACCTGAGGTCAGGAGTTCGAGACCAGCCTGAGCAACATGGAGAAACCCCATCTCTACTAAGAAAATACAAAATTTGCTGGGCATGGTGATGCATGCCTGTAATCCCAGCTACTCAGGAGGCTGAGGCAGGAGAATCTCTTGAACCCATGAGACGGAGCTTGTAGTGAGCTGAAATCGCGCCACTGCACTCCAGCCTGGGAAACTAGAGTGAAACTCGGTCTCAAAAACAAAAAAACAAACAAACAAAAACAAAACAAAACAAAACAAAGAATATCTCCAAAGACATGAAGCGATTTCCTGGATATACTGGTGAAAAGGTAAAGTGTTGAACAGCAGGAGCAGAATGCTATTTGTGTAAAAAACGGGTACCAGAATATAAACATATTTATGAATTTGTTTATATCTGCAGAAAGAAACACTGGAACAGTAAATAAAAGCAAAAGTGTTTACATCCAGGACAAAGCTATTACTAGCTTTCTAGGAGTTTTCGTTTATAATAGATGTTAGAAATATTTATATGAAATAATTTTCTATACTTTTGAGATGGTTATCTAAAAAAATACGTTATAATTTTGAGTAGATTCTCTGACCACATGTAATTTAGCTAAATATTAAGAACAAAAAAAGTAACTAAGAAATCTCCAACTACCTGTAAATTAAACAATATGTTTCTAAATAATCTAAGGGTCAAAGAAGAAATCAAAATGGAAATTAGAAAATGTTTTAACTGAATGAAAATGAATGAGAATAAAGACGCAAGTTATCAAAACTTGTCTATGTAGGTAAAGCAGCAGTTAAAGAAAATTTAGAGGAGAAAAAATGGCTCTAAACAATGATTTAGGCAAGGTGCAGTGGCTCATGTCTATAATCCCAGCACTTTGGGAGGCCAAGGTGGGAGGAATCGCTTGAGGCCAGGAGTTAGAGATAAGTCCCAAGACCAGCCTGCGCACCATAGTGAGACCCTGTCTCTACAAAATTATCCAGGTGTGGTGGTGCACACTTGTAGTCCCAGCTACTCCAGAAGCTGAGGCAGGAGGATCACTTAAGCCCAGGAGGTTAAGGCTGTAGTGAGCCATGATCACACCACTGCACTCCAGCCTGGATGACAGAACAAAACCCTATCTCAAAAATAAAAAATAAAATAAAATGAATAAATAAATAATGATTTATACTTCCATCTCAAGAAGCTAAAAAAGAACAACAAACCAGACTTAAGGAAAGTAGTAGAAAGGAAATAAGGGTAAGAACAGAAATCACTTTTTAAAAACTCACAAAAACAAAATCAACAGAGCTAAAAGTTAGTTCTATGAAAAAAGTTAATGAATGAAGTAAACCCCTGGCAAGATTAATTAAGAAAAAAATTAGAGAAAATGTAAATTACCATTATCATGGAATGAAAAAGAGAACACACTACAGATCCTCAGACATCAAAAGAAGAGGATATTATGAACAGATTACAACAAAAAAGTGACAATTTAGATGAAATGAAGTAAATAGGACAAATGTTAACATCTTTTGTTAGTGGTATTGAGTCTCTGTAACGTTCTTTTTTTTTTTTTTTTGAGATGGAGTCTCGCTCTGTTGCCCAGGCTGGAGTGCAATGGCCACAATCTTGACTCACTGCAGCCTCTGTCTCCTGGGTTCAAACGACTCAGCCTCCCAAGTAGCTGGGATTACAGTTGTGCGCCAACACGCCTGGCTAATTTTTTTATATTTTTAGTAGAGATGGGTCTCACCATGTTGGCCAGGCTGGTCTTGAACTCCTGACCTCAAATGATCTGCCCACCTTGGCCTCCCAAAGTGCTGGGATTACAGGTGTGAGCCACTGTGCCCAGCCAGAGTCTCTGTAATGTTCTTTTCTGTAGGTTTAAAATATTTCTGAATTTGAAAACTTTTAAAGAGCAAGCTACAGGATACAATGCATAAGATTCTTCTTTTTGGCCGGGTGTGGTGGCTCACACCTATAATCCTAGCACTTTGGGAGGCTGAGGTGGGTGGATCACCTGAGGTCAGGAGATCCAGACCAGCCTGGCCAACATGGTGAAACCTCGTCTCTACTAAAAATACAAAAATTAGCTGGGCATGGTGGTGGGTGCCTGTAGTCCCAGCTACTCGGGAGGCTGAGGCAGGAGAATCGCTTGAACCCAGGAGGCAGAGGCTGTGGTGAGCCAAGATGGCACCACTGCACTCCAGCCTAGGCTACAGAGGGAGACTCTGTCTCCAAAAAAAAAAAAAAAAAATTTTTATGTTTATTTTATTTTACTTATTTATTTATTTTAAGATAGGGTCTCACTCTGTTGCCCATACTGGAGTGTAGTAGCACAATCACAGCAGCCGTGACCTCTTGTATACAAGTGATCCTCCCACTTCAGCCTCCCCAGCAGATGGGACCACAGGTGAACGTGAATCCACACCCAGTTAATTTTTGCATTTTTTATACAGACAGGGTTTCATCACATTGCCCAGACTGGTCGTGAACTGCTTGGGCTCAAGTGATCCTCCAGCCTCGGCCTCCCAAAGTCCTCAGATTACAGGTGTGAGCTACATTGCCCAGTCCTTTTTGTGTTAATATATAACATATTCTTGTATGTATGCATAAACCATTTTTATAAGGATATAACAGAAACTCCTAATGATGGTTGTCCTGGAACTAGAAACACAGGGTCAGAGGGAGACTTATTTTCATGCTAAAACTTTTCATTTTTATTGTATTTATTTATTTGTTTCGAGACAGGGTCTCATCCTGTCCCCCAGCCTGGAGTATAGTGGCACAATCATGGCTAGCTACAGCTTTGACCTCCTAGCTCAAGCCATCCTCCCACCTCAGACTCCCAAGTAGCTGGGACTACAGGCATATGCCACCATGCCCAGCTAATTTTTTTAATTTTGTATAGACAGTGTCTCACTATGTTGCCCAGGCTGGTCTTGAACCCCTGGGCTCAGGCAGTCCTCCCACCTTTGCCTCCCAAAGTGCTGGGATTACAGGCATGAGCCACAGTGCTTAACCTAAAACTTTTCAAATTCATTTAACTTTTGTTTTACTATGTGCATTATTTCAATTTTTAATCTTAAAACATCAGTTAATAATAAATGACAAAATGTAAGATTTTATTTGGATTTGCCTTCTCTGCTCTGCAGCCCAGAGCCAGCCTCCCAGGCTCCTACCTCCTGCACTCTCCCACCTCACCATCCACTTGCAGAACCCAACCCAAGGTATGCAGAAGCTAGAGATCAAGGCTGAAGACAAAGGGCAGCTGATCAGAGAGGGCAGCAAGGAGGGGAGGAGTGTTGTAAGAGGTGTTAGTTAGGAATGAGAAAATAAAGGCCCAAGTTAAAGGCTGACGTATAAGTCTAAAAAAGAAACCTAGAGAAAATGGATTATGGAACAAGGCATGGTGGCAAAAGGGGTAAGAAAACACCTACCTCCTATTGGATGGAGTATAATTAACACAGCAGTTTTTTGGAGGGCAATTTGTGAGGATAAGAAAGTAACTGGTATTTTACGTAAATTTTAAATTACTCTAAATTGAAATATTGTGACATCAAAATATTAATGAAGTCTCATTTTAGGTGCAAATGTTAAAATAATGTAAATCACACAACTTAAAATTCTTTCAAGAGTAGCATAATTATAAAGTTGGCATAATTATTAAGGTCAAATGTGTTGCAAATGCCATTTGCGCTGCATCCTGTGGCAGTGGCATGCGAGCCAGTTCACAGAAAGACCATCCTTGGTCACGTTAACCCTGAATTCTGCAAGATTTTCAAGAATGCACCCCTCAGATAAAATCTATCAAAATTTATAAGGTATATCTCTTTGGATATAGCAATTCCCCCTGTAGGAATCCATATTACTGACATTCTCATGTAAGTGTGCAGATATAGATGTCCCAGCATGTACCTAAAGGCTTCAGTGAGAACAGCAAAACCTGGAAACCATCCGAAAATGCCCATCAATTGAGGATTGTGTATTTGTACCCACAGAATACCATACATCCTTGCAAAAGAACAGGGGACTTTATGTACACTAACAGAAAAATAATCATAATATATGAAGAGCAAAACAAGTTAAAAACCTAAAGATTAGGCTGGGCGCGGTGGCTCACGGCTGTAATCCCAGCACTTTGGGAGGCTGAGGCGGGCGGATCACAAGATCAGGAGATCGAGACCATCATGGCTAACATGGTAAAACCCCGTCTCTACTAAAAATATAAAAAATTAGCCGGGCTTGCTGGCGGGCGCCTGTAGTCCCAGCTACTTGGGAGGCTGAGGCAGGAGAATGACGTGAACCCGGGAGCGGCGTTGCAGTGAGCCGAGATCACGCCACTGCACTCCAGCCCGGGCGACAGAGCGAGACTCCGACTCAAAAAATAAAAAAAAAATAAAACCTAAAGATGTAATTGATTTGATTTTTTTTGTTTGTTTTTGAGATAGAGTCTTGCTCTGTTGCCAGGCTGGAGTGCAGTGGCATGATCTCGGCTCACTGCAACCTCCACCTCCAGGGTTCAAGCGATTCTCCTGCCTCAACCTCCTGAGTAGCTGGGACTACAGGCACGTGCCACCATGCCCAGCTGATTTTTGTATTTTTAGTAGAGACAGGGTTTCACCATGTTGGCCAGGATGGTCTCCATCTCTTGACCTCGGGATCCACCCGCCTCGGCCTCCCAAAGTGCTGGGATTACAGGCGTGAGCCACCGCGCCCAACCTGATTTTATTTTTATAAACATATATACAATTCAAACAGAAAGAATTCAAATACAAATGAAACTATTTAGAATGGTCGTCTCTGGGGAAGGGAGCTTGGAGGAGAGAAACAATTTTCACTTTTTAAATATTAAAAACTCCAACAGCTGGAATTTTTTGAGTACTTATTATGTGCCAGGCAAATTCTAAGCACTTCATTCAATTAGTCCTCATAAGGATCCTGTGAGATAGATGCCATTATTATTCCCATTATCAGCAGTTGAGGGAACTGAGACCTAAAAAGATTAAATAATTTGGTTAAGGTCACATACCTAGTGGGTTTAGGGCCAGGATTGGAATGGAAGTAGTCTGTATTAAGCAACATTCTTATTCACATGCTAACAGTTCTGTATACTTGGTAGTGTTAAGAGTAATGTTTAAATTAATAAACATGACAGTTTTGATTCTTAAAAATGCAAACCTGGGCCAGGCTGAGTGGCTCATACCTGTAATCCCAGCACTTTGGGATGCCAAGGCAGGTAGGATTGCTTGAGCTCAGGAGTTTGAGACCAGCCTGGGCAACATAGCAAGACCTCATCTCTACTAAAAAATAAAAATAATTAAATTGGCTGGGCATGGTGGTGTGCACCTGCACTCCCAGATACTCAGGAGGCTGAGGTGGGAGGATTGTTTTGTTTGTTTTTGTTTTTTTTTTGAGATGGAGTTTTGCTCTTGTTGCCCAGGCTGGAGTGCAATGGTGTAATCTTGGCTCACTGCAACTTCTGCCTCCCAGGTTCAAGCGATTCTCCTGCCTCAGCCTCCCGAGTAGCTTGGATTACAAGCATAAGCCACCACGCTTGGCTAATTTTGTATTTTTAGTAGAGACGGGGTTTCTCCATGTTGGTCAGGCTGGTCTCGAACTCCCGGCCACAGGTGATCCACCCACCTTGGCTTCCCAAAGTGCTGGGATTACACGCATGAGCCACCGCGCCCGGCAGGAGGATTGTTTGAGCCCAGGAGATGGAGGCTGCAGTGAGCTGTGATTGCACTACTGCACTCCAGCCTGGGCAACAGAGTGAGATCCTGTCTCAAAAATAAATAAAATAAAAATGCAAATCTGTTAAAAAAATTCAGCAACGTTTTTGATTTTGCAATTTAGTAATATAAATCACTGTGGTAGACATAATAATGCCCGTCCCCAAAGATGTCCATGTCCTAATCTCCAGACCCTGTGAATATGGGACCTCACACGGCAAAAGTAACTGTGCAGATGTGATTAAATTAAGGATCCTTTTTTTTTTTTTTTTTTTTTGAGACAAGCTCTTGCTCTGTCTTGGGTCACTGCCACTTCTGCCTCCCAGTTTCAAGCGATTCTCCTCCCTCAGCCTCCCAAGTAGCTGGGATTACAGGTGCCCACCACCATGCCTGGCTAAATTTTGTATTTTTAGTAGAGACGAGGTTTCACCATGTTGGCCAGGCTGGTCTCAAACTCCTAACCTCAAGTAATCCACCCGCCTCAGCCTCCCAAAGTGCTAGGATTACTGGTGTGAGCCACTGTGCCCAGCCAAATTAAGGATCTTGAGATGGGAGATAATCCTGGATTATCTGGTGAGCCTAATGTCATCACAAAGTTCCTTATAAGGGAAAGACGAAGGCAGGAGAGTCATAGTCAGAGAAGGAGACATGACCACGGAGGCAAGGTGAGAGTGATGCCTCGTGAGAAAGACAAGACCTGCCATTGTTGGCTTTGCAGATAGAGGAAGGAGGCTGGGCACAGTGGCCCACGCATGTAATCCCAGCACTACGGGAGGCCAAGGCAGGCAGATTGCTTGAGCTCAGGAGTTTGAAAGCAGCCTGGACAACAGAGTGAAACCCCATCTCTACAAAAAATACAAAAAAATTAGCCAGGCATGGTGGCACATGCCTGTAGTCCCAGCTACTTAGGAGGCTGAGGTGGGAAGATCACTTGAGCCTGGGAGGTGGAAGTTGCAGTGAGCCAGGATGGCCCCACTCCACTCCAGCCTGGGCAACAGAGTGAGGCTAGGTCTCTCAAAAAAAAAAACAAAAACAAAACAAAAAACTCAAGTGTGTGGCACCTCACCCTGTCACTCTCTTGTTCCTGCTCCTGCCATGTAAGACACCTGCTCCCTCTTTGCCTTCCACCATGACTGGAAGCTTCTTGGGGCCTCCCCAAAAACAAGCTGCTATGCTTTCTGTACAGCCTGCAAAACCATGAGCCAATTAAACCTCCTTTCTTTATAAATTATCCATTCTCAGGTATTTCCTTATAGCAATGTGAGAACAGACTAATACAACAGCAAACCATAAGGACATGCTGGGAATTTTTTTTTTCTTTTCCTTTTTCTTTCTTTCTTTTTTTTTTTTTTTTGAGACAGGGTCTCATTCTGTCACCCAGGTTGGAGTATAGTGGCACAATCACAGCGCACTACAGCCTGGACCTCCCAGGCTCAGGTGATCCTTCCACCTCAGCCTCCTGAGTAACTGGGCAGGCAGGCACCACCACGCCCAGCCAATTTTTGTATTTTTTGTAGAAACAGGGTTTTGCCATGTTTGCCAGGTTGGTCTCGAACTCCTGGCTTCAAGTGATCCGCTTAAGCCTGGCAGGTGAAAGTTGCAGTGAGCGTGATCGTGCTACTGCACTCCAGCCTAGGCAGCAGAGTGAGATCCTGTCTCAAAAAAAAAAAATCTGTTCATATATCAGGTATTTTGTCTTGCTTTTCATTTTGTTAAAGTTTTTTTTAGAGATGGGGGGGTGGTCTCACTGTGTTACCCAGGCTGGTCTCAAACTTCTGGCCTCTAGTGATCCTCTCACTTCAGCCTCCCAAGTAGTTGGGATTACAGGCGTGAGCCACTGCGCCTGACTTTGTATCAGGCCATTGAATGCTCACCGTGGCTATATGGAGTAACCATTATCTCCAGTTAAGGATGAGGAAACTGACTCACAGAGGGGAGGAGCAATCAGCTGTGATCACACAGCGGGCTGGTGGCAGGACAGAGATTTCAACGCCAGCTTACTGAGTCCCAGTCTGTGCTACCATGAACCCTCCTCCTTCCTCTGAAGACAGAGGACTTCCTGAAGGATTCTCTAAGAAGGGGGTGTACAGAGACTACCAACACCATGGTTTGGAGTTTTCCCCTTAGAGACACAGGAGCCTTTGAACTTGCCGGGCTGATTTAATTTGGTATCACAGTGCTGCTGCTGGCGGGAAACCACCTGGCAGCCCCGAGACTGCAGCTCTGTAAACTACCATTTAAAAAGCCTGGTTAGTACATGCCTTGGCTGAATCCCTCAACTCTCCTGCTGTCCAGCAGGAACACAGCCAGCAGGGAGGCAGGCCTGCTGTCAGACTCATAAAATCTTCGCTATATTGCCTTTTCTCTTCCAGTATCAGAACCCCTCAAGTAGTTATCCTGAAGTGAATCCCCTCCCCCAGTATCTTATCAGGAGCTTGACCCCTCCCCCCAATCTCTTATCAAGGGCAGGGCTTGGAAGGTGCCTGGAGCAGGCAAGAGACTGGTGAGGTCTGCAAGTAAGCCAGCAATCAGAAGGCAGTGGGAGGCTTTTGACTCCCATCTCTGGCCCAAATCCCCATCTCCAGGTTTTTGTGGAAGACAATCAGAAAACCACATGGTCTCAAGGAACAATGCAGCATTAACTAGACACATAGCTCTGGGGAAGGTCCTACAGTGGTTAGAAAATAAAATGGAGGCAGGGCGCCGTGGCTCACATCTATAATCCCCGGCACTTTGGGAGGCCGAGGCAGCCAGATCACTTGAGGCCAGGAGTTCGAGACCAGCCTGGCCAACATGATGAAACCTCATCTCTACTAAAAATACAAAAATTAGCCAGGTGTGGTGGTGTGTGCCTGTAGTCCCAGCTATTCAGGGGCAGGGGCGGGGGCTCTGTGGCATGAGAACTGCTTAAACTTGGGAGGTGGAGGTTGCAGTGAGCTGAGATCGTGCCACTGCCGTCCACCCTAGGCGACAGAGCAAGACTCTGTCTCAAAAAAACAAAAAACAAAAAAAACGAATGTTAACTTGAAAATGAAATGTGTTTTATGGAAGTTTACTTTATAGTGAGCTGCATAGAAACATGTCTGGTCCACAGTTAAAGTTAGGCATGCCTGGGCTGACTGAAATTCAATCAAAAGTAAATAGTCTTCTGCCAATATGATTGTTCTTTTTTTTTTCTTCTAATCTCAGTCACATTTTCTTCTCTTTTTCATTATTTGACATGGTTGTTCTTAAGCCAACAATGAATTTTATAAATATTTGCCATAAAGGAGTTAATGATATTGCATACAGATAGTAAGACAGTGAACCACTCAATCCAGCAGACTTTTTTTTTTTTTAACTCCGCCTCCCGGGTTCAAGTGATTCTCCTGCCTCAGCTTCCCAAGTAGCTGGGATTACAGGCTTGCACAACCACACCCGGCTAATTTTTGTACTTTTAGTAGAGACAGGGTTTCACCATGTTGGCCAAGCTGGTCTCAAACACCTGACCTCAGGTGATCCACCTGCGTCTGCCTCCCAAAGTGCTGGGATTATAGGTATGAGCCACTGCACCCAGCCCAACTTTTAACTATTTAAGAAAGCAAAACAAAACAAAACCTTCCCTCTCTAAACAAAACAAAAAACAACAACAAACTATCACATTTATATATATATATACACACACATACATAAAACAAAACTATCACATACATATATATATATATACACACACACTATATATATTTATATGGAGTCTTGCCATGTTGCCCAGGCTAGTCTTAAACTCCTGGGCTCAAGAAATCCTCCCACTTCAGCCTCCCAAAGTGCTAGAATGACAAGTGTGAACCACCACACCTGGCCTATTGCATACTATTATTGTTAAATAATGGATTTTTTTTTTTTTTTTGAGACAGAGTATCACTCTGTTGCCCAGGCTGGAATGCAGTGGCACGATCTCTGCTCACTTCAACCTCCACCTCCCAGGTTCAAGTGATCCTCAGCCTCCCGAGCAGCAGGGATTACAGGCGCCTGCCCCCACGCCCGGCTAATTTTTATATTTTTAGTAGAGACGGGGTTTCACCATGTTGGCCAGGCTGGTCTCAAACTCCTGACCTCAGGTGATCCACCCACCTGGGCCTCCCAAAGTGCTGGCATTACAGGCATGAGCCACTGTGCTCGGCCTAAATAATGGAATTTTTTAAAGAGTGTTGATTATCAAAGATCCACTCAGAGTTTGCCTTCTAAATGAGATTATCGTGCTTGATTTTTTTGAGTTTCAATGCTTAGTCCTGGCAATGTCAGTATTTAGCTGTAAGATCCTCCTTTCTGAATTTCATGGCAATAATATTTATTTCACAAGGATGTTATAACAATAAAATGAGAGTGAAAGTACTTGATATTAATAGAAATAACATTGTTAACTATAATAAGAATCTCTAAGGTGTCTTCTAGCTTTAAAATATTACTATTATTATTATTATTATTTTTTGAGATGGAATTTCACTCTTGTTGCCCAGGCTGGAGTGCAACGGCGTGATCTCGGCTCACCGCAACCTCCACCTCCTGGGTTCAAGCAATTATCCTGCCTCAGCCTCCTGAGTGGCTAGGATTACGGGCACCCACCACCATCATGCCCAGCTAATTTTTTGTATTTTTAGTAGAGATGGGGTTTCACTGTCTTGGCCAGGCTGGTCTTGAACTCCTAACCTCAGGTGATCTGCCCACCTTGGCCTTCCGAAGTGCTGGGATTACAGGCGTGAGCCACCGTGCCCAGCTATTATTATTATTTTTGAGACATTCTTGCTCTGTTGCCCAGGCTGGAGTGCAGTGGCATGATCAGGGTTCACTGGAGCCTCAACCACCTGGGCTCAAGCAATCCTCCCACCTCAGCCTCCTGATTAGCTGGGACTACAGGCACGTGTCACCACACCTAGCTAATTTAAAAAAAAATTTTTTTTTTGGTTTTTGTTTTGTTTTGTTTTGTTTTTGTGGAGACCAGGTCTCACTCTGTTGCCAAGGCTGGTCTTGAACTCCTGGGCCCAACTAATCCTTCCACATTGGCCTCCCAAAGTGCAAGGATTACAGGTATGAACCACTGCACCTGGCAAATTTTTATTTTTAAGGAGTAATTATTAAAGAGTTTAGTCGAAGAAAGTCCCTTGAGAGACACATTCTAAAGTAGATTAAGATTAAACGACATTAACAATTGGGATTTGCTTCACAATAATCCAGTGGGAACAGTGGGTTTCATCTATAGGTCTGGGTCACATTTTGAGTATTGCTGAAGATGGGTCATGAGTACATGGGAGTTAGTTAAAAACCATTCTGGCCGGGTGCAGTGGCTCACGCCTGTAATTCCAGCACTCTGGGAGGCTGAGGCAGGTGGATCACCTGAGGTCAGGAGTTCGAGACCAGCCTGGCCAACATGGTGAAACCTCATCTCTACTAAAAATACAAAATTAGCCTGGCGTGGTGGTGTACACCCGTAATCCCAGCTACTCGGGAGGCTGAGGCACAAGAATTACTTGAACCTGGGAGGTAGAGGTTGCAGTGAGCTGAAATCATGCCACTGCATTCCAGCATGGGCAACAAGAGCAAAACTCCATCTCAAAAAAAAACAAAAAACAAAAAACAAAACCATTCTGTCTGCTTTTTATGTTTGAATTTTTCATATTGAGAAGTGTTAAAATAATTAATTGGGAAGCAATTGGGCTTAGACGTCTCCAGTGTCCTGAGTTCTTATGCAAGCAAACTGAAACCCAACTCAGAACAGATGGTTGGGCCAGGTGCAGTGGCTCATGCCTGTAATCCAGCACTTTGGGAGGCTGAAGCAGGAGGATCACTTGAGGCCAGGAGTTCAAGAACAGCCTGAGCAACATAGTGAGACCCTGGCTCTACAAAATTTTTTTTTAATAAAAAAAATGTTTTTTAAATATAGATGGTTGTAGCATAGGAAAAGGAAATTTCTCTTTACCCAGTCAGAAACCGCCAACTAACCTCTAACCAGAGACTTTACCAGTCAGAAACTGCCAACTAACCTCTAACCAGGGAATTTCCACTGTAACCAATCAAATATTTTGTCTTCCTTCAGAAAACACCGTATAAAAGTTTTCCCTCAAGCCCTTGCCAGTAAAGCCCAAACCACTTGGTTGTTTGCCACTGCCCAATTCATAAATATTATAGCATAAAACTATATTTACTTGATTTTAACTTCATTAATGGAGTCCACATGTTAACCTAGGATCTTTTTTTTTTTTAAGACAGAATTTTGTTCTTGTTGCCCAGGCTGGAGTGCAATGGTCTGATCTCAGCTCACTGCAACCTCTGCCTCCTGGGTTCAAGTGATTCTCCTGCCTCAGCCTCCTGAGTAGCTAGGATAACAGGCATGTGCCAACATGCCCGGCTAATTTTTGTATTTTTAGTAGAGACAGGGTTTCACCATCTTGGCCAGGCTGGTCTCGAACTCCTGACATCATGATCCACCCGCCTCGGCCTCCCAAAGTGTTGGGATTACAGGCATGAGCGACCGCGCCCGGCCAAATGCTAATATGTTTTCCAAGAGAAAAAAACAACAGTTTTCTAGTTTTTAAGAATCTAACATTGTATATGTAAGTACATAACTGCATATCAATATTTCAAGTGAAAATATATTTGAAACTTCTTTAACAAAATCTACCACTAACTAATGAGAACTTAACAGGGGTATATAATATGTTCCGTTCCTTACCTTGAAGATGTGAATTCTCTAGGAAGTCTTCATGGGTTTCTTTTGCTTCTCCAGGTTTTGTTGATCGATACTCACTCCTTAGAGAGATCTTCCACCATCTAAAGATTACCTATAATTAAATACAAAGTGATATGAATTAAAATTGATTTCAATACTAACAGTTACATTAAGTTTGGGGTTTTGAAAATTTGCATAAGGCTATGTGTCCAACATTAGCTATAACTTTGCAGTCTGGCATCACATCAAATTAGAATTAACCTCTGGGCATCAAAGAACATTTTCCTTAGAGATTAAAATCACAAAACCATAGTGCTAGAAGGAACTTTTAAAATCGATCAGGTCGGCCGGGTGCAGTGGCTCACACTTGTAATCCCAGCACTTTGGGAGGCCGAGGTGGGTGGATCACTTGAGCTACTTGGGAGGCTGAGGCAGGAGAATTGCTTCAACACTAGAGACGGAGGTTGCAGTGAGCCGAGATCGCGCCACTGCACTCCAGCCTGGGTAACAAGAGTGAAACTCCATCCCCCGCCCGCCCCCCCACCAAAAAAAATAAAATAAAATAGATCAGGTCAAAGGCTGGGCATAGTGGCTCACATCTGTAATCCCAACACTTTGGGAGGTTGAGGTGGGAGGATTGCTTGAGCCTGGGAGTTCTAGATCAGCTTGGGCAACATAGTGAGACCCTGTCTCTACAAAAAATTTTTTTAAATGAGCTGGGCATTGTGGTGTGCTCTGTAGTCCCCACTACTTGTGAGGCTGAGGTGGGAGGATCCCCTGAGCCCGTGAGGTTGAGGCTGCGGCTGCAGTGAGCTGAGATCGCACCACTGTACTCCAGCCTGGGTGACAGAGTGAGACCCTGTCTCAAAAAAAAAAAAAAAAATCCATCAGGTCAATTGATGTTAAAATCACCCGGAGCCAAATGGTTATCTGTTTCCGGAAGATGTCTGAGAATAAACATTCCATAATTTGGGGAGCTAATTCCAAAGAAATTGCTCAGCTCTCCTCCTTCCTTCACTGTCTACAGGTACAGACAAGATGAGTGGATAATTTTCCCACAGAGAGCAACAGTTACATGGACAGAGATAGGGAAAGCATCATTATGCTTAGTTTGATGCATGAAAAAGTGTCATTACACAGGACACTTCTTGGTAATGGATCTGCTGATGGCACATTTGTCTTCTCTGAGAATTTTGGTTTATCTGAAGCAAACTTCATTTCCATGGTTATGGACTGCACTTAAAGGCTGTGTTGATTTCATGGCAGTGTCAATTAATGGGCCTGATGAGAAGCCCCTTGAAACATATCTTATATTATGTTTTTAAACCTGTAATGGAGCTGGGTAGGTAATTAAGATGACAAAACTTCCACCGATTTGAGAAACAGACCAAATTATGTCTGCATTTCGATGAAGGCTAGGAGGAGAAAGATGGGAAATACAGTCACACTGGGGGCTACAGCTTCAACATTAGAATTTGGCAGGGACATAATTCAATTAACAACAGAGGGGTATCAAGCACTGCAGTAGAAATGGCATGCATTTTACAGCAACACAGGCCTGGGCAATCTCTCTGCACTGCAAGTTTCCTTTCCATTAAACATTATTTAATATTAATGGGCAAGGCCTCTATGTTATAATGACAGTCAGTGATCCTTCCAGCCAGATCAAGCAACAAAATCCTTGGTTGAGTGGGGGATTCCGGAAAAAATGGAGATCGAGCCCAGGGCACCGCTCCAGAAATGTTACATTGCTGGGCTTGCCTCTTAACTTGTTCATAAAAAGGCAGAGAGATGCCTGTACAATCTGTTGGCCTCATATCTTGCATACCATTCATTTCATCAAGGAAAAATTATTTCGACATTCCTTATACTAACTAATGAACCCTCTGGTACTGATTTAGAAGGCAACATCTGCAGTGCTTGCCACAATGGCCACTGGAGGGACGCTCTCCATGGCACACATTCAAGTTAAGTCACACACACAGATAAGCTTCCCACTGGCCCTTCCGAGGTATTTAAAGTAAATTACTGAGAATATAACACTTGCTTAAGGAAACACAGCTAGCTAGGACCAGAATCCAAGTCTCCTCACTGCTAACTCATAAACACAGAGTTCCTTTGGAGGCCTGATGCTTTTTTTTATGTATAACCTTCACACTACAACCCATTAGACCACTCTACAGAGCAGTACACAGAAAACTAATGTTCATAATCACAACTTAACTGCAAGATTCAATTATGTTCCATGTATTGTACTTATTAAAACAGAATTAATAGCTATTTTCTTCTTCCTTTTTGTTTTTGAAACGGGGTCTTGTTCTGTCACCCAGGCTGGAGTGCAGTGGTACGACCCCAGCTCACTGCAGCCTCGACTTCCTGGACTCAAGTGATTCTCTCATCTCAGCCTCCTGAGTAGCTGGGACCACAGGCGCGTGCCACCACCACAAGGCTAATTTTTGTATTTTTTTGGTAGTGATGGGGTTTCACCAAGTTGCCCAGGCTGGTCTCAAACTCCTGGGCTCAAGTGATCTGCCCACCTCAGCCTCCCAATGTGCTGGGATTATAGTCATGAGCCACTGTGCCCAGCCGAATAGACAAATTTAAAATTTTAAAGAACTTTTTTTTTTTTTTTTGAGATGGAGTCTTGCTCTGTCCCTAGGCTGGAGTGCAGTGGTGCGATCTCAGCTCACTGCACCCTCCGCCTCCCGGGTTCAAGCAATTCTCCTGCCTTAGCCTCCTGAGTAGCTGGGATTACAGGCGCCCACCACGGCACCTGGCTAATTTTTGTATTTTTAGTGGAGACGGGGTTTCACCATGTTGGCAAGGTTGGTCTCAAACTCCTGACCTCATGATCCGCCTGCTTCGGCCTCCCAAAGTGGTGATATTGCAGGTGTAGCCACCGCACCTGCCCTAAAATTTTAGACATTTTTTAAAAATATGGAACACTCCATGAATTTCCATGTCATCCTTGCGCGGGGGCCATTCTAATCTTCCCTGTATAGTTCTAGTTTTAGTATATGTGCTGCCAAAGCGAACACAATAATAAGATATTTTCTAACACTTATTTTTTCTCAAATTGGTGATTTTTTTAAGTGATAAAACCCTGTATTGGTGAGGACAGGGAAAAATGGAAGCCCTTTAAAAAAATCGTTGAGAGGAGTGTCAACTGGTTTGGCAATAGCTATCATAAGCCTTTCAGGTATCCATACCCTTTGACCAAGACATCCAACTTGGAAGAATTTTTAACGAATTTATTGACAAGGTACACAATATCTTTTTCTTTTTTTTTTTTTGAGACAGAGTCTTGCTCTGTCCCAGGCTGGAGTGCAGTGGCAGGATCTCGGCTCACTGCAACCTCTGCCTCCCAGGTTCAAGCTGTTCTACTACCTCAACCTCTCGAGTAGCTGGGATTACAGGCGCACGCCACCACGCCTGGCTAATTTTTGTATTTTTAGTAGAGACAGGGTTTCACCATGTTGGCCAGGCTGGTCTCGAACTGCTGACCTCGTGATCCTCCCGCCTCAGCCTCCCAAAGTGCTGGAATTACAGGCGCGAGCCACCACCCCTGGCCACAATATTTTTTAATGAGGATGGTTGTCATAGCTGAATTATGACAGTAAAAAAATCAGAATTGAGCTGGGCGTGGTGGCTCACACCTGCAACCACTTTGGGAGGCTGAGGCAGTGGGATGATACTCATCCCACTGAATGTCGGTGGGATGACATGAGAGAATATCCAAAGTGCCCTGCCCGATGCCAGACACAGAGTATGCTCCATAGGGGCAGGTCTTCCCTCCTCCTCTCTCCCTCTGTTCACTTGCTGGTCACTTACTGGTCAGTCCTTCATATTTATAGTGATAAATTCAGCCCCAAAAGCCAGGAGGTCAGAACCATATTTTTTTCATCAGCTGTCTAATAGTATTCAATCATAGCTATACTTCATCGAGATCTATTTTCCTAATCATAATCTTCAAAGATAATTATTTCAGCTTTCAGTCGGACCTGGTATTTGATTTTCCTAATTACTAGTAATTGTTAAAAATTGCATACTTGGTAGGCCGGGCACGGTGGCTCATGCCTGTAATCCCAGCACTTTGGGAGGCCAAGGCGGGCAGATCACCTGAGGTCAGGAGTTCAACTGAGACAGGCCTGTCCAACATGGTGAAACCCAGTCTCTACTAAAAATACAAAAATTAGCTGGGCATGGTGGCAGGAGCCTGTAATCCCAGCTACTTGGGAGGCTGAGGCAGGAGAATCACTTGAACCCAGGAGGCGGAGGTTGCAGTGAGCCAAGATCGTGTCATTGCACTCCAGCCGGGGACAAGAGCAAGACTTCATCTCAAAAAAAAAAAAAAAAAAAAAGAATTGGATACTTGGGCCAGGTGCAGTGGCTCATGTCTGCAATCCCAGCACTTTGGGAGGCCAAGGCAGGAGGATCACTTGGGCCCAGGAGTTCAAAACAAGCCTAGTCAACACAGTGAGGCCCTGTCTCTACAAAAAATTAAAAACAAAAAAAATTAGTTGGGGTTGGTGGTGCGTGTCTGTGCTGAGGTGGGAGGATCACTTGAGCCCAGGAGGTTGAGGCCGTGGTGAGCCATGATTGTACCACTGCACTCTAGCATGGGTGAAAAAATGAGACCTTATCTCAAGAAAAAAAAAAAGTTAAATTAATTATCTTCAAACAGAGTGGATGTGATTGGGAATCTGTGGCAGATGCTGTTTGCCACAGAGAATTCAATTGCCCACCTGCCCTTCCATTTCTCCAGTATCCTCTCACATAGCTTGTGCTCAGAGTATAGGCCTCATCAGTAGCTCTAGGAGGCAAGCCTGATCGGTTTAAGTCATTTCTGGGTAGATTTTTTTTTCCCCCTGCCAGCAATTGGTATGGGCATAGGCATGTGATAAAGTTTTAGCCAATGAGATACCAGAGGTCTGCTGGGACTCTGAGAAAGATTTTATCACTTGTTTTTTGTTTGTTCTTTTTTTTTTTTTTTCTTTTGAGATGGAGTCTTGCTCTGTCACTCAGGCTGGAGTTCAGTGGCGTGATCTCTGCTCACCAAAACCTCTACCTCCTGGGTTCAAGCAATTCTCTTGCCTCAGCCTCCTGAGTAGCTGGGATCACAGGCGCTCACCACCATGCCTGGCTAATTTTTTATATTTTTAGTAGAGACGGGGTTTTACCATGTTGGCCAGGCTGGTCTCAAACTCCTGACCTCAGGTGATCTGCCCGCCTCGGCCTACCAAAGTGCTGAGATTAGAGGCGTGAGCCGCCTCACCTGGCCATGATTTTATCACTTGTAAAAAGAGACACAAGAAAACACAGCTCCTTTTGAGGAACTGACAATTTTTGTGTGTTGATGCAATTGCTGGAATTGCTACAGCCATTTTGGACTATGAGGGGAGCCAGGAAATTAAGACAATGGTTTTCATCACTTATTTCAGAGTTACTGAAAGAGCTCTTTAATTCGTCATTAGGCATGTATTTTAGAACATTATTGTTAGTAATTATACTAATTAACTCATTTTATAAGTTATAGTAACATTATATTAATTTTAATATGACAAATCTATGTTACCCGTGAATATATCTAAAAAAGGAAAATATAAGTGGAATACACAGACGAAAGTTCTCCTAAAAGTTATCTATCTTCAGGATCTGAGTGTTCTGAATCACATCCTAAATGAATGTCTGCAGTGTTTCACACGGAATATTGTCCTCTGTGACATCAAGAACATTGGTGATAACAGTAATGAGGTGCTGGGCTCTTAAGCTGGTGCTGCAATTACATAGAGATGGCTTCCTTTTGATTTCAACTCTGAGGATGCTGTAAACATGTCAGGCTCACACTATGCCCTCCCATAACTATTTACAGCCTAGGTTAAAAGTGCACTCTTCTCTAGCTTCTGGATTTTCTTCCAAACTGCTACCTTGATGCTCAGGTTTCTGAGTTGTTTCCAGTTTCTGCCTATTACAGATATATACATTTTTTTCTTTAAATAGAGATAGCATCTCACTATGTTGCCCAGGCTGGTCTCGAGCTCCTGGGCTCAAACAGTCCTCCCACCTCAGCCTTCCAAAGTGTTGATATTACAGGTGTGAGCCACTGCACCCGGCCCCAAATAAAGTTTTTATAAACATTTGTGTGTAGGTTTTCGTATGAATATAAGTCTGCATTTCTCTGGGATAAATGCCCAGGAGTGCAATTGCTGGGCCATATGGTAGCTGAATATTTAGTTTTTTTTGCCACTGTCAAAATGTTGGCACTTAAAATGGTAATGGGCACTTTACATTCCTATCAGCAGTATATGAATGATCCAGCTTCTCTGGGTCCTCACCAGCATTTGGTAGTGTCACTATTTTATTTTAGCCATTCTGATAGGTGAGTAGTGCTGTCTCACTGTGATTTTAATTGTTCAATATCTTTTCATGCATTTATCTGCCATTCATATATCCTCTTCGGTGAAATACCTCTTAATGTCTTTTGTCCATTTTCTAACAAGATTGTTTGTTTATATATTGTAAATACTAATCCTCTGTCAGATATGTGGTTTACAAATATTTTCTGCTATTCTGTTCCATCTCTTAGCAGGGTCTTCACAGAGCAAAAGTTTTTAATTTTGACAAAGTCCAATTTATCAATTTTATTTTATTTTTATTTTTTATTTTTCTGAGACAGAGTCTCTGTCACCCAGACTGGAGTGTGGTGGCGTGATCTTGGCTCACTGCAACCTCCGCCTCCTGGGTTCAAGTGATTCTCCTGTCTCAGCCTACTGAGTAGCTGGGACTACAGGCATGTGCCACCACGCCCGGCTAATTTTTTGTATTTTTAGTAGAGACAGGGTTTCACCGCGTTAGCCAGGATGGTCTCAATCTCCTGGCCTCGTGATCCACCCGCCTCAGCCTCCCAGAGTGCTGGGATTACAGGCGTGAGCCACCGTGCCTGGCCTGAATTTTTTTTTTTTTTTTTTAATTTGTGAGTGTGGTGGCCTCCAGCTGTAGTCCCAGCTACTAGGGAGGCTGAGGTGGGAGGCTTGCTTGAGCCTGGGAAGTCAAGGTTACAGTGAGCTGTTGATTGTGCCACTGCACTCCAGCCTGGGCAACAGAGGGTGACCCTGTCTCAAAAAAGAAAAAAAAAACAACTTTGTTTGATCTTGGTAGAATTCTAATTATGCGTCTTTAGATTTTGGTAATGCTTGAGAAAATTAAATATATTCAATTCATGATTATAGACTGAAATGCTTAACAGAATTTACTCAAGTTTATAAGGGGTATATAAATTTAAGATAATTTGAGCCTGGTGTGGTGGCTCATGCCTTTAAGAGGCCAAGGTGGCTGGATCCCACTTGAGGTCTGGAGTTTGAGACCAGCCTGGCCAACATGGTGAAACCCCGTCTCTACTAAAAACACAAAAATTAGCCAGATGTGGTGGTGCACGCCTGTAATCTCAGCTACTCGGGAGGCTGAGGCATAAGAATCACTTGAACCTGGGAGTCAGTGGTTGCACTCAGTGGAGATTGCACCACTGCACTCCAGCCTGGGCAACAGAACAAGACTCCATTTCAAAAAATAATAATAATAATAATTTGGCCGGGCATGGTGGCTCATGCTTGTAATCCCAGCACTTTGGGAGGCTGTGGTGGGTAGACTGCTTGAGATCAGGAGTTTGAGACCACCCTGGGCAACATGGCGAAATACCATCTCCACAAAAAATACAAAAATTAGCCAGGCATGGTAGCACACGCCTGTAGTCCCAGCTTGTAGTGGGGCTGAGACAAGGGGACTGCTTGAAGCCCGAAGGTCAAGGCAGCAGTGAGTGGTATTCCTGCAACAGCATTCTAGCCTGGGTGACAAAGCAAGACCCTGTCTCAACAAAACAAAACAAAAATTTCAGAGAATTAAATTTGCTAGATATATAAGTTTTGTGTCTTTATATGTTTAAGACAGTTTAAGTTTGTGAACAGTGCATAAATGTTTGAGATTTTAATTTGTCAAATGTATAATTAAACAATCAAAGTACAATGAAAATAAGAGTTTTAAGTTTTAACACAAAATTATTTGATTTATAATTGAATTTACTAGGTTTGTAAGTTGTGTGTTGAAAGTTTAAGGGAAAATACATTTTTAATTCATAACTTTAATTGAATATTATAATATTTAATACTAATTAAATATAAATAATTATAAAATAGAACTTCTCAAATCAGATTAAAAATATTGATTTAGGAATAAATGATTTAGGAACCAGTGGGTGGCCATTTGAAAAAAGAAGTTGAATCTCCGAATAGACCAATAACAGGCTCTGAAATTGAGGCAATACTTAATAGCTTACCAACCAAAAAAAGTCCAGGACCAGACGGATTCACAGCCGAATTCTACCAGAGGTACAAGGAGGAGCTGGTACCATTCCTTCTGAAACTATTACAATCAATAGAAAAAGAGGGAATCCTCCCTAACTCATTTTACGAGGCCAGCATCATCCTGATACCAAAGCCGGGCAGAGACACAACAAAAAAAGAGAATTTTAGACAAATATCCCTGATGAACATCAATGCAAAAGTCCTCAATAAAATACTGGCAAACCGAATCTAGCAGCACATCAAAAAGCTTATCACCATGATCAAGTGGGCTTCATCCCTGGGATGCAAGGCTGATTTAACACATGCAAATCAATAAATATAATCCAGCACATAAACAGAACCAAAGACAAAAACCACATGTTTATCTCAATAGATGCAGAAAAGGCCTCTGATGAAATTCAACAGCCCTTCATGCTAAAAACTCTCAATAAATTAGGTATTGATGGGACATATCTCAAAATAATAACAGCTATTTATGACAAACCCACAGCCAATATCATACTGAATGGGCAAAAACTGGAAGCATTCCCTTTGGAAACTGGCACAAGACAGGGATGCCCTCTCTCACCACTCCTATTCAACATGGTGTTGGAAGTTCTGGCCAGGGCAATCAGGCAGGGGAAAGAAATAAAGTGTATTCAATTAGGGAAAGAGGAAGTCAAATTGTCCCTGTTTGCAGACGACATGATTGTATATCTAGAAAACCCCATTGTCTCAGCCCAAAATCTCCTTAAGCTGATAAGCAACTTCAGCAAAGTCTCAGGATACAAAATCAATGTGCAAAAATCACAAGCATTCTTATACACTAATAACAGACAAACAGAGAGCCAAACCATGGGTGAACGCCCATTCACAATTGCTTCAAAGAGAATAAAATACCTAGGAATCCAACTTACAAGGGATGTGAAGGACCTCTTCAAGGAGAACTACAAACCACTGCTCAATGAAATAAAAGAGGATACCAACAAATGGAAGAACATTCCATGCTCATGGGTAGGAAGAATATCGTGAAAATGGCCATACTGCCCAAGGTAATTTATAGATTCAATGCCATCCCCATCAAGCTACCAATGACTTTCTTCACAGAATTGGAAAAAACTACTTTAAAGTTCATATGGAACCAAAAAAGAGCTCACATTGCCAAGTCATTCCTAAGCCAAAAGAACAAAGCTGGAGGCATCACGCTACCTGACTTCAAACTATACTACAAGGCTACAGTAACCAAAACAGCATGGTACTGGTACCAAAACAGAGATATAGACCAATGGAACAGAACAAAGCCCTCAGAAATAATACCACAGATCTACAACCATCTGGTCTTTGACAAACCTGACAAAAACAAGAAATGGGGAAAGGATTCCCTATTTAACAAATGGTGCTGGGAAAACTGGCTAGCCATATGTAGAAAGCTGAAACTGGATCCCTTCCTTACACCTTATACAAAAATAAATTCAAGATGGATTAAAGACTTAAATGTTAGACCTAAAACCATAAAAACCCTAGAAGAAAACCTAGGCAATACCATTTCAGGACATAGGCATGGGCAAGGACTTCATTTCTAAAACACGAAAAGCAATGGCAACAAAAGCCAAAATTGACAAATGGGATCTAATTAAACTAAAGAGCTTCTGCACAGCAAAAGAAACTACCATCAGAGTGAACAGGCAACCTACAGAACGGGAGAAAATTTTTGCAATCTACTCATCTGACAAAGGGCTAATATCCAGAATCTACAAAGAATTCAAACAAATTTACAAGAAAAAAACAAACAACCCCATTAACAAGTGGGCGAAGGATATGAACAGACACTTCTCAAAAGAAGGCATTTATGCAGTCAACAGACACAGGAAAAAATGCTCATCATCACTGGCCATCAGAGAAATACAAATCAAAACCACAATGAGATACCATCTCATACCAGTTAGAATGGCGATCATTAAAAAGTCAGGAAACAACAGGTGCTGGAGACAATGTGGAGAAATAGAAACACTTTTACACTGTTGGTGGGACTGTAAACTAGTTCAACCATTGTGGAAGACAGTATGGCGATTCCTCAGGGATCTAGAACTAGAAATACCATTTGACCCAGCCATCCCATTACTGGGTATATACCCAAAGGATTGTAAGTCATGCTGCTATAAAGAAAGACACATGCACACGTATGTTTATTGTGGCACTATTCACAATAGCAAAGACTTGGAACCAACCCAAATGTCCAACAATGATAGAGTGGATTAAGAAAATGTGGCACATATACACCGTAGAATACTATGCAGCCATAAAAATGATGAGTCCATGTCCTTTGTAGGGACATGGATGAAGCTGGAAACCATCATTCTCAGCAAACTATTGCAAGGACAAAAAAACCAAACACCGCATGTTCTCACTCATAGGTGGGAACTGAACAATGTGAACACCTGGACACAGGAAGGGGAACATCACACACTGGGGCCTGTTGTGGGGTTGGGGGAGGGGGGAGGGATAGCATTAGGAGATATACCTAATGTAAATGATGAGTTAATGGGTGCAGCACACCAACATGGCACATGTATACATATGTAACAAACCTGCATGTTGTACACATGTACCCTAGAACTTAAAGTATAATAAAAGAATATAAATATATAAAAAATAAATAAATAAAAAAGAAAAAAAAAGAAAATTCATTCATGCCTCACGCCAGGAAAAAGTGCAAGTAGATCAAAGATCAGCATATAGGCGAGGTGCAGTGGCTCAGCCTGTAACCCCAACACTTTGGGAGGCTGAAGTGGGAACTTGGGCCCAGGTGTTTGAGACGAGCCTGGGCAACATAGTAAGACCCTCATCTCTACAAAAAAAAAAAAAAAAAGGAAGGAAGAAAGAAAGGGTCTGCGTATTAAAAAATCAGACCATATAAGTCCTAGATGGAAAAAAATGGTGAATTCCTTTAACATATTTCAAACTGTGTCTCAAAATCCAGAAACAATCAAAGAAAGACTGATAAACTCTACTAAATAAACATAAAAACTTATTCCATGGAAAAATCTCCAAAGACCTTTATAGTAGAAATGTTTAAAGCAGCTTAGTTCATCGTAGCTCCAAACTGGAAATAACCAAAACAAACATCAACTGGTAAACAGGTAAGTACATCCATATGACAAAATGTTACTCAACAATAAAAAGAAATACTGATACACGCACCGGGCGCGGTGGCTCACGCCTGTAATCCCAGTACTTTGGGAGGCCGAGGCGGAAGGATCACGAGGTCAGGAGTTCGAGACCAGCCTGGCCAACACAGTGAAACCCTGTCTCTACTAAAAATACAAAAAATAATCGGGCGTGGTGGCAGGTGCCTGTAGTCCCAGCTACTCAGGAGGCTGAGGCAGGATAATCACTTGAACCCGGGAGGTGGAGGCTGTGGTAAGCCGAGATCGCACCAACTGCACTTCAGCCTGGGTGACAGAGCGAGACTCCGTCTCAAAAACAAAGAAACAAAAAGAAATACTGATACATGCAATAACAGTTGAATCTCAAAGCATTAAGATAAGTGAAAGAAGCCAGACAGAAAATGCTATGTTCCATACATAACATTCCATTTACGGCATGTTAACAAAGAAAAAACAGAAATCAGATCAATGATACCAAAGAATTAGGGATGGAAGAGGAAACTGACCACAAAGAGGTATGAGGACAATTTCAGGTTGATGGAAATAGTCTGTATCTTGATAATGATGGCGGTTATACATTTTTTTAAATTCATGCCACCTGAAAAGAGTGATTTTTACTGTATTAAAAGCATATCTCAAATGTGATTTGAAAACAAAAACCATCAAAACAAAGTAAAAAATAAAATAATGATAAACTGAAAAACATTTGCAATTAACATTACAGACAAACAGGCAATCTCCCTAAAGAGTTTGTATAAAGAGAGAAAAATATCAACAAATAGTTCACAGGGAAAAAAAAAATTCACAAGTCTCATAGACATATAAAAAGATGCTCAATTTTACTCATAATAGTAAAGCATATTAAAATCATACTGAAATATTATTTCTCATCCATCCAGACTAGCAAAATCCAAAAGAATAAAAACACACTCCATTTGTAAGGATCTGGGGAAACAGGAACTCACCACTGTGGTACAAAATGTATGGAGGGAAATTTGGCATAATCTAATAAAATTATGGATGCTTTCATCCTGTGACTCAGCAATTCCATTCATAGGATTACATACTACAGACAACAGTGCCACACATAAGAAACACAAAGGATAGGCTGGGCGCGGTGGCTCACGCCTGTAATTCCAGCACTTTGGGAGGCCGAGGCGGGTAGATCACAAGGTCAGGAGATCGAGACCATCCTGGTTAACACGGTGAAACCGCATCTCTACTAAAAATACAAAAAATTAGCCGGGCATGGTGGCGGGCGCCTGTAGTCCCAGCTACTCGGGAGGCTGAGGCAGGAGAATGGTGTGAACCCACGAGGCGGAGCTTGCCGTGAGCTGAGATCACGCCACTGCACTCCAGCCTGGGCGACAGAGTGAGACTCCGCCTCGAAAAAAAAAAAAAAAAAGAAAAAAGAAATGCAAAGGATACATGTATAAGTTTCTTCATTGAGGTATTACTGGCAAAAGCTAAAAAAAACAACCTGGGGGGCCGGGCACGGTCGCTCACATCTGTAATCCCAGCACTTTGGGAGGCCGAGGTGGGCGGATCACGAGGTCAGGAAATCTAAACCATCCTGGCCAATATGGTGAAACCCCATCTCTACTAAAAATACGAAAATTAGCTGGGTGTGGTGGCAGGTGCCTGTAATCCCAGTTACTCAGGAGGCTGAGGCAGAAGAATCGCTTGAACCTGGGAGGCGGAGGTTGCAGCAAACAGAGATCATGCCACAGCACTCCAGCCTGGGCGACAGGGTGAGACTCCATCTCAAAAAAAAAGCAACCTGGGTCAAGCAATAGGGGACTGAATGAATGAACTTTGACATAACCTCACAAAGGAGTACTCAGTTATGTGCTACCCTAAAAAAGAATGATGAAGCTGGGCGTGGTGGCTCAGGCCTGTAAACCCAGCACTTTGGGAGGCCAAGATGGGTGGATCACCTGAGGTCAGGAGTTTGAGACCAGCCTGGCTAACATGGTGAAACCCTGTCTCTACTAAAAATACAAAATTAGCCAGATGTGGTGGTGCATGCCTATAATCCCAGCTACTCGGAAGTCTGAGGCAGGAGAATCGCTTGAACCCAGGAGGCGGAGGTTGAAGTGAGCCGAGATCGCACCACTGCACTCCAGCCTGGACAACAGAGTGAAACTCCGTCTCATAAATAAATAAATAAATGCCAAGGCTGCTGAGTGCAGTGGCTCATGCTTGTAATCCCAGCACTTTGGGAGGCTGAGGCAGGAAGACTAGTTGGGGCCAGGAGCTTGAGACTAGCATGGATAACACAGTGCAACTCTATCTCTACAATAAAATAAAATAAAATAAAATAAAATAAAATAAAATAAAATAAAATAAAAATCAACTAGGTGTGGTGGTGCATGCCTGTAGTGCCAGCTATTTGGGAGGCAGAAATAGGAGGATTGCGTTAGTCCAAGAGTTTGAGGCTGCAGTGAGCTATGAATACACCACTGCACTCCAGCCTTAATGACAGAGCAAGATCCTGGTTTCAAAAAAAAGAAAAAAAGATACCGAAATTAACTTTATTCATTATCTAATTATTTATAAGTAGTTAGAAAATGAATATGGGAAGAAATATACCCTACATTGCAACAGTTCAAAACAATAAAATACCTAAAAATAAATAACATAAGGAGTATAAAACCTAATTTTTTTTTTTTTTTGAGATACTCTGTCACCCAGGCTGGACTGCAGTGGCACAATCTCGGCTCACTGCAACCTCTGCCTCACAGGTTCAAGTGATTCTCATGCATCAGCCTCCCTGGTAGCTGGGATTACAGGCGCATGCCACTGTGCCCAGCTAATTTTTGTGTGTTTTTTGTAGAGATGAGGTTTCGCCATGTTGGCCAGGCTGGTCTCAAACTCCTGGCCTCATGTGATTGGCCCAGCTCTGCCTCCCAAAGTGCTGGGTTTACAGGCATGAGCCACCATACCTGGCCAAAAACCTAATTTTAAAACTATTCAATTTTATTGATGGCCCTAAAGCCAATACCTGAACAAATTGAGAGGCATTTTATAGTCTAAGATTAAAATTTTAATTTCCTTTTTAAAAAAACTACCCCTTCCCAAATGAATATGTAAACCTAATGCAAAGCCAATCAAAATTCACCTTTTTCGGGGAAAGAGGACAAAATTATTTTAAATTCATGTAGTAAAATAAATGTGGCTGGGCGCAGTGGCTCATGCCTGTAACCTCAGCACTTTGGGAGGCCGAGGCAGGCGGATCACAAGGTCAGGAGATCGAGACCATCGTGGCCGACATGGTGAAACCCCGTCTCTACTAAAAATACAAAAATTAGCTGGGCGTGGTGGCATGCGCCCGTAGTTCCAGCTACTCAGGAAGCTGAGGCAGGAGAATCGCTTGAACCTGGGAGGCGGAGGTTGCAGTGAGCCGAGATCGCACCACTGCACTCCAGCCTCGTGACAGAGCAAGATGCCGTCTCAAAAATGAAAAAAATAAAATAAAATAGTGTGTGAAAATTGCCAAGAAAATCTTGGGAAAAAAAATTGTGTCTTGCAATATATTAGAAAGTAATATAAGGCTATTATAAATTAGCATGGTATTTGTATATAATAAACAAATATATTGGTGGAAGAGTTCACCAGTATCTTCAGGTATATATGGAAAAGGTAGTATTTCAAATTGGGAAGAAAGGATGATTTACTTAATAAATAGTATTAACATGATAAGCCATCCATCTAAAAGGAATAAATTTATTTTTTTTTTTTGAGATGGAGTCTCGCTCTGAGGCCCAGGCTGGAGGGCAATGGCGGTGATCTCGGCTCACTGCAACCTCTGCCTCCCAGGTTCCAGCAATTATCCTGTCTCAGCCTCCTGAATAGCTGGGATTATGGTGCCCGCCACCACACCCAGCTAATTTTTGTATTTTTAGTAGAGTTGGGGTTTCATCATGTTGGCCAGGCTGGTCTCGAACTCCTGACCTCAGGTGATCCGCCCGCCTTGGCCTCCCAAAGTGCTGGGATTACAGGCATGAGCCACTGCGCCCAGCCTAAAAGGAATACATTTAAACTGCTACCTCCAACGACACTCAAAAATAAATTCTAGGCTGGGTGTTGTGGCTCAACACTTTGGGGTGGCTTGAGGCTAGAAGTTTGAGACCAGCCTGGGCAATGCAGCGCAACCCCATCTCTACAAAAAACTAAAAAGTAAAAATAAAAATTAGCCAGGCATGGCGGCACATGCCTGTAGTCTCAGCTACTAATGAGGCTGAGTCAAGAGGATTGCTTGAGCTCAGGTGTTCGAGGCTGCAGTGAGCTATGACGGCACCAGTGCACTGCTGTGTGGGCGACAGAGTGACACCCTATCCCAACACCACCGCCCCCCCGCCCAAAAAAAAAAGACCGGCATGGTGCCTCACACCTGTAATCCCAGCACTTTGGGAAGCCAAGGTGGCAGGATGGTTTGAGCCTCCGAGTTTGATACCAGCCAGGGTAACACAGCTCACCCCACCTCTACAAAAATAAAAAATTACCCAGGTGTGGTGCCGTGGGCCTGTATGTAGTCCCAGCTCCTCAGGAGGCCGAGGTAGAAGGATCACTTGAGCCCAGGAGGTTGAGACTGCAGTGAGCTATGATCTTACCATTGCACTACAGCCTGGATGACAGAGCGAGACCCCATCTCAAAAATAAATAAATAAAAGTAAATAAATAAATAAATTCTAGATGGATATGAGAAATGCCAAAGTAATACTATAATATTTTAATAATAATAAATAATTATAATATCACATTCATTTCAGAAAAGGGTACAGGAAACAGGGATAGCACCCCCACACTAAGAATCATTATGCATGCTTTCAATACCATCCTTATTATCAGGCTGAAACCCTGAAATTAGAACTTTAGAGTTGACTGATTAGAAGCTGTTATTTTAACTGTACACTTCAACAGAGATGGTAGTTATTCATTTTGCTTCCTCTCCTAGGTCTTCAGATCCAGAAATGTAACTTTGGCAGTATTCTTTTTTTTTTTGAGATGGAGTCTAGCTCTGTTGCCTAGGCTGGAGTGCAGTGGGACGATCTTGGCTCACTGCAAGCTCCACCTCCTGGGTTCACGCCATTCTCCTGCCTCAGTCTCCTGAGTAGCTGGGACTACAGGCGCCCACCACCACGCTCAGCTAATTTTTTTGTATTTTTAGTAGAGATGGGGTTTCACCATGTTAGCCAGGATGGTCTCGATCTCCTGACCTCATGATCCACCCGCCTCGGCCTCCCAAAGTGCTCGGATTCCAGGCATGAGCCACCGCGCCCAGCCTACTTTGGCAATATTCTTTATAGAAAAATGTTCTATTACAATAAAGCAAACTGGAGAATTCATGATTGCTGTCATTTTCTCCTCACCATGCATAAAAACTTGGATGTTTACACCTCAGACACAATCTCACATTAGGCAGGTTTTCTGAAAGCAAAACTTGCACAAGATTTTGCACAAGGGAAGGAGGATACGTAAGTAAAGTATAAATACCAATGGTCAAAATCTTTCCAAAAGAAAATGAGGGAGGCCATGCTCAGTGGCTCACACCTGTAATCCCAGCACTTTGGGAGACCAACATGGGAAGATCACTTGAGGCCAGGTGTTCAAGACCAGCCTGGGCAAAATAGCAAGATTCCACCTCTTTTTATTAAAAATTAAAAATTATTTTAAAAAAGAAAATGAGGGCAAAATCTAACATGGGTACTTACGATTCAGAAAAAAAAGTCATATAAGCAATAGGAGGCTACAAGATGGATAACCTAAGTGAATGGAATGTCACTGTGTTCTACAGTGTGAAGGAACAAAGGAGACTTTGAGAGCATCCAAGCAGTTTTGGACTTAGAGGGACATTCCGGCCCAAGGACTTACTAACTGGGTGACCTTGGGTGAGTTTCATCATCTGTTTCTTCAGTGTCAAAGAGATAATAATGCCTTGGTCACAATGTTTTGGGAGGATGGAAATGAAATGATACATGTAAACATGCCTAGCACAGTACCAGGAACATTTTTAGTTTCCTCTCCCATTAACTTATTACTGGAATTTGTTTACATACAGGGCGAGAATGTAGTCATAGTTCCCTAAGCTTTATGGGAAGAAGCTCAGATCCACTCTTGCAGCGGGACACCGTGAGACATCACTCCCAAGTGCAGAGGGACGGGGTGAGTCAATGCCACACCAACAATTCTAACACATACTTTATAGAGGCCTGACCCCAAAACACTCAAGGTGTCTGCAGATAAGTGTGCTAAAACTTTCAAAGAAATTCAGAGCCCTCGGCAGGGTGCGGTGGCTCGCGCCTGTAATCCCACCACTTAGGGAGGCCAAGGTGGGCAGATCACAAGGTCAGGAGTTCGAGATCAGCCTGGCCAATATGTTGAAACCCCGTCTCTACTAAAAATACAAAAATTAGCCGGGCGCCGTGGCGGGCGCCTGTAGTCCCAGCTACTCGGGAGGCTGACGCAGGAAAATTGCTTGAACCCAGGAGGTGGAGGTTGCAGTGAGCTGAGATTGTGCCACTGCACTCCAGCCTGGATGACAGAGTGAGTGAGACTCTGACTCAAAAAAAAAAAAAAAAAAAAAAAAAAAGAAAGTCAGAGCTCTCTGTAAACAATAAGAACAAAAAAAAATTGTAAAGGTCAAACAGATGGAAGTGAAGTTTTTAAAAAAAATTTTTTTTTTAATTTGCATTAGTACAATGTTATCTTCCAGAACAAACCTCTGAAAAAATAATACAACCTGGAATCCTGTTTCCAAAACCTTCCCAGATATGGGCAGGCAAAGTGACTAAGAAGGTACAAAGCCCCCAAGTGTCTGTGGTTCCACTGTACCAAATTCATCTTGGGATATACCTGACTCTAAGCCTACAAGCTGCTTCTTCAAAAAGTTACTATTTACAACTTGAAGGTGTCTATACTTCTACTTCTGGTACAAAACTGTAATCTAGTAGTAAAAAATTTATTTTAAAAATTTTGCCCAAGTTTCTTGAGGGCACAGCTAGAAGGAACTCTGTTAGTGTCTAATCTCCTGGCGGGGAATGAGGGAAATGCCAGGTCCAGCTGGTTGAGAAGCTGACAGTTAACTTTGGATCAGACAAACATTTGCTATCAGAGACACAATTTTTCTCTCTCTCGTCCCTTTCTCTCAACAGTGAGAGCTTCTTAATTTCTTCTTGTTATTGACTCATTCCCTATTACTGCTTGCTTCAAATGCATCCTCAGGTAGAGTCCTATCACTCAGAAATGGTCACCTCATTGTTTTGTATCGTTTTGGAGACAGTCACACTCTATCGCCCAGGCTGAAGTGCAATGGTGCGATCTCGGCTCACTGCAACCTCCGCATCCCGGGTTCAAGCAATTCTCCTGCCTCAGCTTCCTGAGTAGCTGGGATTACAGGCGCCCGCCACCACGCCAAGCTAATTTTTGTATTTTTAGTAGAGATGGGGTTTCATCATGTTGGCCAGGCTAGTCTCAAACTACCGACCTCAGGCTATTTGCCCGCCTTGGCCTCCCAAAGTGCTGGGATTACAGGCATGAGCCACCGTGCCCGGCCTACTTCATAGTTTGATTTCTGTGCCTCCTTCAGTCTCTCTGCATATGTAACATTTCCCTCTTTACTGTGTGGCTTCCTTTCTTCCTGCTGCGGGATGCCTGCATCTATGCCCTTTTCAGTGCCTATCTGCTAGTGAAAAGAATATCCACTAAAGCACTTGTGTTTCTTGGAATTAAATATTCTAAAATTATTAAACATAACAAAATTGGATATAGTTTTCTGAAATCTTCCTCCACTCCTGTTAGGAACTGAACTGTGTCCCTCCCAAATACATACTTTGAAGTCCTAACCCCCAGTGTGATGGTATTTGGAGATAAGACTTGTAAGAAGGATATCAAGATTAAATAAAGTCATATGGGTATAATCCTAATTCAATAGGACTGGGGTTCTTAGAATAAGGGGAAGAGACCCCAGGGGTGTTGTTGGGGCTTAGAAAACAATACCCCACCTCATGAGGTTTGGCGCTGAGTGCTTTGAACTAAAGGAGAACTAGTCTCTTTGACCTTTTCCTGGCCTTCTGTCTCTTGTCCCTTTTTCTCTCCCAAAGTGCAGTGAGAGGCATTCTCTGAATTTCCCTTATCTGCCTTGAGATCCTTCAGAAAGAACTCAATTGTCCTGCATCCCCCTCCACAAGAATCCCATCATGTAGGGAGACTGACTTACCACAGGAAAGAAGACCAAAGGTTAACATCAAATATCCGGACAGACTTTGTCACGAGTTGTCACCTGTTCTTCTGGCCCATTCTTTCTCTCCCTCAAATCATTTATGCTCCCCTAAGCTATCTGCATCCCTCCTTCCCTCTACCCTGTGATGAGAGCATATAAGCTTCTAAATCTCACTGCTTTGCGGATATTTTCTTTCTTGTGATGCCCCTTTTCTATTGTTAATCTGTTTACAGTCAGTTCATTTCATAGACTCAAATTACGGAACCTTCAGAGGGTGATGGGAAAGTTCCCTTTGCCCCGACAATGTGTATGCCCAGAGAAAAGACCATGGCAGGACACAGCAAGAAGTCAGCCATCTGAAAGCCAAGGAGAGAGGCCTCGGCAGAAGCCAAACCTGCCAACACCTTAATCTTGGACTTCCGGTTTCCAGAACTCTGAGAAAATACATTTCTATTGTTTAAGTCATCGAGTCTATGGCAGTTTGTTATGGCAGCCTGAGAAAACTAATACAGCTCCCAAAATGATAATTGTAAGAATAGATTTTACTGAGTGGCTAACATGTGACATGTACAGAGTGCTTTGGACTGAATCCCATTTAATCTTTACAACAACCCTAAGAGGTTAATTAGGATTGTGGTGCTGGGATGAATAAAGATGAATAAAGCAAGATGCAAGGAAGTTTAGAAGAACTTGCCCTCAACCATTCACTGCTCAGTGGGACCTGAATCCAGGTCTATTTGGTCCTACAGTCTATAAACCTGTTAAACCTGTTAAACATGTGACCTTATAGGAATGACAGAAAGCCTTAACTTTTCATTGGCCATGATAATGTAGAGAATGAGTGGTGTTCATAATCCATATGATGCCAATCCACAAATTATTTATGTTTGGAATTAGATGGGTTTTGTACTTAAATTTGATAGGAGTTCGAATGGTGTGCTTGAGCAATCATAGTATTTCATTCATTCCACAAACACAGAGGGCATTGTTTTAGGCAAAACAGACAAAACCCCCGACTCCCATGGGGATTCCATTCTTTGATGAGGGAGAGAAAAGGGAGGTAGACAATACATAAAACAAGTAAACATATTTCTCTCTCTTTTTTTTTTTTCTGAGACGGGGTCTCACTCTGTTGCCCGGGCTGGACTGCAGTGGCACAAGCAGAGCTCACGCCAGCCTTGACCTCCTGGATTCAAGGGATCCTACCACCTCAGCCTCCCAAGTAGCTGGGACTACAGGCAAGTGCCAGCATGCCCAGCTAATTTTTTATAGAGATAGGGTTTTGCCATATTGCCCAGGCTCAAACAATCTGCCCACCTTAGTCTCCCAAAGTGCTGGGATTACAGGTATAAGCCACCATGCCTGGCCAACATATTTCATAGTGTGTTACTGAAAAATGCTGTGAAGAAAAATAAACAAGGAAAAGATAAAAAGTGCTGGGCAGGGGATGAGGGTTCAATTTTAAATAGGGTGATCGGGCTGGGCGCGGTGGCTCACACCTGTAATCCCAACACTTTGGGAGGCCAAGGAAGGCAGATCACTTGAGGTCAGGAGTTCAAGACCAGCCTGACCAACAGGGTGAAACCCCGTCTCTACTAAAAATACAAAAATATTAGCCGGGCGTGGTGGCGCATGTCCGTAGTCCCAGCTACTTGGGAGGCTGAGGCAGGAGAATTGCTTGAACCTGGGAGACAGAGGTTGCAGTGAGCCGAGATGGTGCCACTGTACTCCAGCCTGGGCAATAGAACGAGACTCTGTCTCAAAAAAAAAACAAACAAAAAACGCCAGGCATGGTGGCTCACGCCTGTAATCCCAGCACTTTAGGAGGCCGAGGCAGGCGGATCACGAGGTCAGGAGATTGAGTCCATCCTGGCTAACACGGTGAAACCCCGTCTCCACTAAAAATACAAAAAATTAGCCAGGCGTGATGGCGGGTGCCTGTAGTCCCAGCTACTTGGGAGGCTGAGGCAGGAGAATGGCGTGAACCTGGGAGGGGGAGCTTGCAGTGAGCTGAGATCGCGCCACTGCACTCCAGCCTGGGTGACAGAGCGAGACTCCCGTCTCAAAAAAAAAAAAAAAAAAAAAAGGCCGGGTGCAGTGGCTCATGCCTGTAATCCCAGCACTTTGGGAGGCCGAAGCGGGCAGATCACTTGAGGTCAGGAGTTTGAGAACAGCCTAGCCAACAGGGCAAAACTCCATCTTTACTAAAAATAAAAAAATTAGCAGGGTGTGGTGGCGCATGCCTGTAATCCCAGTTACTAGGGAGGCTGAGGCAGGAGAATTGCTTGAACCCAGGGGGCGGAGGTTGCAGTGAGCTGAGATTGGGCCATTGCATTCCAGCCTGGGAAGCAGAGTGAGACTCTGTCTCAAAAAAAAAAAAAAAAAAAAAAAAAATCCAAAGGGTTTGTAATGACAGTTGCATCATTCATTTACCTATTGAGTCAACAAAGTTATCAATTAAATAAGGTTGAGTGTGGTAGCTCACACCTATAACCCCAGTACTTTGAGAGGCCAATGTGGAAAAAGAGCTTGATGCCAGGAGTTCGAAAGCAGCCTGGGCAGTAAAGCAAGACCCCGTCTCTACAAAAATAAATAAATTAGCTGGCGTGATGGCACATGCCTATAGTCCCAGCTACTTGGAAGGCTGAGGCATATGTATCCCTTGAGGTGGGAGTTCAAGGCTGCAGTGGGCTGTGATCACGCCACTGCACTCCAACCTAAGCAACAGAATGGACTCTGTCTTTAAAATTTAAAAAAAAAGAAATAATTACGTTGACTTGTAAAAGATGAATCAATGGCTTTCAATACTTTAAATTTTTACTGTTATACTAAGGTAGTACAGGATTCTCATTTCACTAACAAAGATGTGCAAGAAATAAATTTTTCTTGTTCTCCTTTTCCCTCCTCTCTCCTTCCCCTCTTGAAAAAAAAAATCTTTTTTTATTTTTTTTTTCTCTGAGACAAGATATCATTCTGTCATCCAGGCTGGAGTGCAGTGGCATGATCTCAGCTTACTGCAGCCAGGGCTCAAGTGATCCTCCCAACTCAGCCTCTGAGTAGCTGGGACTACAGGCATGTACCACTATGCTTGGCCAATTTTTTTTTTTTAATTTTTGGTAGAGATGAGGTTTTGCCATATTGCCCAGGCTGGTCTCAAACTCCTGAGCTCAAGCGATCTTCCCACCTTGGCCTCCCAAGGTTCTGAGATTACAGGCAAGAGCCACCACACCTGCCAAGAAATTTTTTTTTCTAACTGAATATTATTTTATTTTTCTTTTCTTTTTTTAATTTTTTGAGAGTCTCACTCTGTCGCCCAGGCTGGAGTGCAATGGCGCAATCTCCGCTCACTGCAACCTCCGCCTCCCGGGTTCAAGCAATTCTCCTGCTTCAGCCTTCCAAGTAGCTGGGATTACAGGCGCCTACCACCACGTCCAGCTAATTTTTTGTGTTTTTAGTAGAGGTTGGGTTTTGCCGTGTTGGCCAGGCTGGTCTCGAACTCCAGACCTCAGGTGATTCACTCGCCTCAGCCTCCCGAAGTGCTGGGATTACAGGCGTGAGCCACCGCACCCGGCCGTTTTCTTTTCAAATAGGCAATACATGCACATGGCAAAATGAACACAGTAAACAGGGAAAAACATCTCTCTCCATCCCAACCCGAGAAAATGTTTCCTAAAACCAAATATTGGTCACGTTGGCACCTCCCTCACCTCTCTGTTGAGTCAAAGTCCAAGTTTCTCAGGAATAGCGGGGAGTTCTCCATGTCATGATCTACTGGCCAGCATCAGGTAAGATGGCGTCCATCCCATCTGTAGTTCGTTATCAGTTGCACAGCTCAAGGCTGCAGGATTCTCCTCCTGGTACCCTCTTGGCAACACTGCCCCACTGGTGGCTGCAGAATAAGGTGCCTAATGGTTCCCTGAGTACTGCAGGAGGCTGGGGGGCTGGGAGGGTGTCTTAACCTGTCCAGCCACTACCTCCTTTAGCAAACTGCTGGGGATGCGAGGCACTTTAGATTTCTCGGCTGGCTCTCCCATTCATCTGTGGCCCTGTGAGAAAGGTCGGGGCGGAGGTTTGCTCAGCCACTGGTTTACTGACTTTCACTCCCCAACTTGATTGAAAGCTGAGGATGCCTCATGGGAAACAGCAGTATCTAACCTCATTCTCTGAGAATATCTTCTCCCTCTTGCAATCTGAGATGTTTGCTTGATTAGAGAATACAGAGATGGACTCTGCATATTCTAACCATTCTATTATCTGTGTCTTAAACTTTAAGCCTCTACCCAATGTTTGGGCTTTTGAAATTTAAAACTCCTAAACTCTTGCATCTCAAGGTGTTGTCTTGGGAAACTCCCCTAAGGCAAGGAATGAAGAGGATTTAAGGGAGAAAAGCAGAAACTAGAGGGAAAAGAAGAGGAGAAAATTCAAGGGAATGTCCTTCTCCACCAAACCTGAAGTTGTTTGGCCTGCAGTCTGGTTATGATAGTTATAAATTTTCAAACATACAATTTAAAATAAAGCAATGCCTAAAAAAAATTAGATACAGTAATTAAAATAACTTATGAAATGTTCTGTTAGGGAGAAAAAAACATTTTCTTGAAAAAAAGTTTAAATAAAACATTTCATGCAAAATTTTTTTTTCACCAAGTTATAGCCATGACCACAGTGCAAAACTTGGCGAGAGCTTTCGTGTCAATATTTATGAGGTTTCATTCTCAGGCTCAAATGGCCAAAGCATTCCAGGGTCCTTTGTGTTTAAGCTAAATTGGAATTGAGCAAAATCACTTGCAATCACTTGACAAGTCATATAATCTAGATCTTTCCTTGTTTCCACTTGCTGACTTCAGTTAAACAAAATTATGGGAGACCATTGTTTTGGCCTGTGCTCCTGCACTAGGCCCCAAGAGAGCAGACCAACTAAAATGGAATCACTTCTTCTAAATGCCCCATCATCCAACTGAAACTTTAAGGGAGAAGATAGATCCCAAAGCAGATCGATTTTCCCTGAAATCAGGAGATTCCAGTCTACCTGAGTAAGCATCATAAGGAAGTCCTTTCTGCTTTAATGCTTTACAAAAAAGTAGCCTGGGCTGGGCGCGGCGGCTCACGCCTGTAATCCCAGCTCTTTGGGAGGTCAAGGCAGGCAGATCACCTGAGATGAGGAGTTCAAGACCAGCCTGACCAACACGATGAAACCCCATCTCTACTAAAAATACAAAACTTAGCCAGGCATGGTGGCACGTGCCTGTAATCCCAGCTACTTGGGAGGCTGAGACAGGAGAATCACTTGAACCCAGGAGGCGGAGGTTGTAGTGAGCCGAGATCACGCCACTGAAATCCAGCCTGGGCAACAAAAGCGAAACTCCGTCTAAAAAAAAAGAAGAAAAAAAAGTTGCCTGGGACGGGCGCGGTGGCTCACGCCTGTAATCCTAGCACTTTGGGAGGCTGAGGTGGGTGGATAACGAGGTCAGGATATCGAGACCATCCTAGCTAACAAGGTGAAACCCTGTCTCTACTAAAAATACAAAAAATTAGCCGGGTGTGGTGGCACACACCTGTAGTCTCAGCTACTCGGGAGGCTGAGGCAGGAGAATCGCTTGAACCCAGGAGGCGGAGGTTGCAGCGAGCCAAGATCACAACACTGCACTCCAGTGTGGGCAACAGTGCGAGACTCCGTCTCAAAAATAAAATAAAATAAAATAAAATAATTAGTGGGGCATAATGGCGCATGCCTGTAATCCCAGATACTTGGGAGGCTGAGACAGGAGAATCACTTGAACCCAGAAGACAGTGGTTGCAGTGAGCCAAGATCACCCCACTGCACTCCAGCCTGGGCGGCTGAACGAGACTCTGTCTCAAAAAAAAAAAAAAAAAAAAAAGTAGCCTGAAGTAACCTGTGTTAACCAATATGATTTTTTTCCCTATTGTTCTGTTTCCTTGTTTTCCATCCTACAAAACCCACTGTTCGGCCATTGCTCAGTGGGAGCTCTCATTCCGTTCTGTGGAAAGGAGGCTGACCTGACTCATGAATTGCGAATAATAGCTAATTAGATCTATGATAAAATTTGTTGTAATGTTGTCTTTTGACATTTCTGACCTTAGACAGAACTTACTTTACCTCCATACCTCACATTCCTCCCTCACTATCCTGCACTCAGCTCTCTCTTTTCCCTTTGGGCTGTGATTTTATTTATTTATTTATTTTTGAGATGGAGTCTTGCTCTGTTGCCCAGTCTGGAGTGCCGTGGAGTGATCTCGGCTCACTGCAACCTCTGCCTCCTGGGTTCAAGCGATTCTCCTGCCTCAGCTTCCTGAGTAGCTGGGATTACAGGCACGTGCCACCATGCCCAGCTAATTTTTGTATTTTTAGTAGAGATGGGGTTTCACCATGCTGGCCAGGCTGGTCTCGAACCCCTGACCTCGTGATCCACCCACCTCAGGCTCCCAAAGTGCTGGGATTACAGGCATGAGCCACTGCGCCCAGCCTGGGCTGTGATTTTAAAGCAAGCTCCTGGTCTCACTGCTCTTGTCAGCTCCCCTGGGCCAGTGTCCCCTGTCCTAGAGCTCAGGGTGGCTGCTGGAGGCACTGAAGCTACATGCTATGATTAATTTTTCCTGAGACAAGTTAATGTAAAATTTCTTCCAGTTGGCTGCCATCTAATGTGTCTCATTTTCCAGAGACAAGTTTTTGTTTTTGTTTTTGTTTTGAGACGGAGTCTCGCTCTGTCACCCAGGCTGGAGTGCCCTGGCACGATCTCGGCTCACTGCAAGCTCCGCCTCCCAGGTTCACGCCATTCTCCTGCCTCAGCCTCCCGAGTAGCTGGGACTACAGGCGCCCGCCACCACGCCCGGCTAATTTTTGGTATTTTTAGTAGAGTCAGGGTTTCACCGTGTCAGCCAGGATGGTCTCAATCTCCTGACCTCGTGATCCGCCCGCCTTGGCCTCCCAAAGTGCTGGGATTACAGGTGTGAGCCACCATGCCTGGCAAAGAATATTGGAATATTTTTATACTTATAGACATCTACCAAGTATTTCTCAGCATCTATATACTTACACAGATTAATCTGTGTGTGTGTGTGTGTGTGTGTGTGTATACATTTTACATGAATGGGATAATTCTAAACATGCTTGTCTATAATCTCTTCTTATACTTTAGTGTCACAGACATCTATTCATGTGATGTCTAAATATAGCATCATTATTTTTAGTGGCTTCACAGTGTTCCTTTTTACATAATTTTAATTTACTTAACCAATTTTCTTTGAAGGACTTTTATTTTACTCTTCTCCACTCCCTATTTGTGTAATTATTTCCTTAGGGTAAATTCCCTGAGGTGGGATGCCAGAATAAAGGACGTGCACACGTTACACTTGACAAAACATTGCTAAGCTGTCTTTGGGAAGCACATCAGACAGAACTAGGTCCAGTTGAATGAGACAACATCCAAAAGGGTGGCTTATACAGACAGGCATTTATGTAAAAAAAAGAGGCATCCTGAGGCTGGGCGCAGTGGCTCATGCCTGTAATCCCAGCACTTTAGGAGGCCAAGGCGGGCGGATCACGAGGTCAGGAGTTTAAGACCAGCCTGGCCAATATGGTGAAACCCCGTCTCCACTAAAAAATACAAAAATTAGCCGGGTGTGGTGGCCGGCGCCTGTAGTCCCAGCTACTAGGGAGGCTGAGGCAGGATAATCAGTTGAACTCGGGAGGCGAAGGCTGCAGTGAGCTGAGATCATGCCACTGCGCTCCAGCCTGGGCAACAGAATGAGACTTCGTCTCAAAAAAATAAAAAATAAAATAAAATAAAATAAAGAGGCAGTAGGCAGTCCATAACCCAGGGAACCAGGCCCCTTTCCATTTGGGTTTTCCGTCACTTTCAGAATTTGGCTGCTTTTGCGTGGTACCAGATAGCTGCTGAAGTCCTAGCCACAGAATCTGCATTCTAGACAGTAGGAAGGAGGAAGAGATGAAAAGGGTCCAACTCTCACAGACTCTTCTGTGTAGTCACAGTCACCCCTTCCACTGCCATTCCCTTGGCCAGAATTTAGTCATGTGGCTAACTGTAGCTGCAAGGGAGGATGAGAAATGAAGTCTTTTTTTTTTTTTTTTTTTCTCTAAAGCCCAAGTGTTCGGCTAAAAGTCAGATAATTGTTTACTAAGGAAAAGAGAAAATGGATATTGGGGGCAACTAATGGTTTCTGCCACAGGAAGAATGTACTAATTTACACTCCTTGGGACATCACACAGAGGAGGCCTTTTCCCATGCCTTTACCAACACTGTTTTTTCAGACTGTTCCTGCTCTAAAAGCAATTCGTTACTTACAATGAAAAATATTTAACCCAACCTCAAATAACTTGTGTAGATTAGAACACCAATATCAATGATGTACATTTCTCCCCAAAAGTAAAAAGAACATGTAAATGTGGGGACACAAGTGTTCCTCTGCCTTAACTTCTTAAATGTTTATTTTTAAAAACATAATTTTTTTTTTTTTTGTAGAGAAAGGGTCTTGTTATGTTACTTAGGCGGCTCTTGAACTCCTGGTCTCAATGAACCTTCTGTCTTGGCCTCCCAAAGTGCTGGGATTAATGGCGTGAGCCACCACACCCAGCCTGACTTCTAAATGTTGAAGCTCTGTCCTTAGTGACATCCCTCCTCTGTCTAGGTAATCTAATCCAAATGGTTTTCAGTGCTGCAGAGTCAAAATCTGTATCTTCACTCTTGATGTTGAATCCTACTAAATTATGCAGCTGCTTACTGTGCACACCCACCTGTAATCCACAGGGGCAGTTTATACTCAGCTATAAAAAACTGATCTCATCATCTTCCCTTTGAAACCTACCTAGTCCACTTCCTGTATTCCTTATTTTGGTGGCACTAGTTGAGTCATTCTAGACTTTCTTAGCCTCTATCATCACAAAATATCAACTCCATGACTAAATTCTATTGATTTCACTTCCTTAATATAACTTGACATTCAACTCCGTGGTACTTTAGAGGATCATGACAAAATCTAATAAGAAAGCTCTCTGCCTCCATGGGCTTAAACTGATCCAAGCAATCTTCTACACAGCAGCCAAAGGCTGCTTACTAAGATGCTGGTGTCGATGTGATCCCTTTTTCTTCCCCATGGCCCAAATCCTTGGGGTGGCATAGAAGGCCAAGGAGTGACCCCTGTCCATCTCTCCTTCAGCATCATCTCATACTAGCCACTGACTATGCCCTACATTTCAGCACATCACTGTACTTCCCAACTATAGTATCACAATTCACTGACTGCTAAAATGAATCCCTCCTGCCTAGAATTATTCCAGCTCCCTACTTCTTTACTCTGTAAAATATAACTTTTGAGATTCATATCATATAGTCACAACCTACATAAAACCCTTCCTGCCTTACTTCCTTGCTTTGTGCCATTTTTGTATTCTATACTTGCTTCTTATTGTTATTTATTTACTTTTGAGACAGAGTTTCGCTCTTGTTGTCCAGGCTGGAGTGCAATGGTGTGATCTCGGCTCACTGCAACCTCCGCCTCCCGGGTTCAAGTGATTCTCCTGCCTCAGCCTCCCAAGTAGCTGAGATTACAGGCACCTGCCACCATGCCCAGCTAATTTTTTGTATTTTTAGTAGAGACGGGATTTCACCATGTTGGCCAGGCTGGTCTGGAACTCCTGACCTTAGGTGATCCACTAGCCTCAGCCTCCCAAAGTGCTAGGATTATAGGCATGAGCCACAGCGCCTGACTTCTATACTTGCTTTTAATCCAACAGCAAATAGGACTAATATTTATTAATGCAACAAATATGTACTGAGTTCACACTGTGCTTGGCATTGTACTAAAAGCTGGATTCATGACCATGTGCACGCTGAACATTAGGCTCTTACAGTGTTTAGTCTACACAGCTTACATTAGAAGAGGCTAATTTCCATTCACCATCTCTTGTTTGCTAGAAAAGAAATTGTCTCTCCTCTATCAGTCTTTAAGAGATGCTAAGAAACTGATGTTGCCTGTTGCTGATCATGTCGAGATATTTTCTTCAATGTCTTGTTGCTTATTCAAGTTTTTACCTTTGCTTTTATGACTCCATGTTGTTGGCTGTCACTATCCAGAGTTAACTGGATGTTTAAGACACAAAAATTTGGCTTATTATTTCCTAAGCTTTCTCCTCAAACTCACTCCTGAAAAAGGCCAAGTTAAGGGGATTCTTGGCAGAGATGCAGGCAGATCTAACAGGATGAATGACTAGGCAAAGATTGGGGAAAGCGTGTTCCAAGTGGAGGAGTAGCATAAGCAAAGGCTGAATGAAGGATAGAGGTGACAATGGGCGAGTTGAAAAGATAATTTTTACAAGGGGGTAGGACGAGCATAAACTATGCTGCAGAGGCTTAGCTCACAGCACACCTTAAACACAGCAGTGCATCAAGACCTGGCTTGTATCCACCTGGATCATACATGTCCCATGGAAGTACAGTCCTATGGTCTCAGGTACCTGCTTCCGCTTCCTTCCCTCCACCACAACCCCCTGGGGCCGCAATGCAAAGTTCTTACTCCTGTTTTACTTCCTTTTCATCCTCCCAATTACCAGTTTTGTCTTTTTTTTTTTTTTTAGATGGAGTTTCGCTCTCGTTACCCAGGCTGGAGTACAATGGCGTAATCTCAGCTCATTGCAACCTCCGCCTCCCGGGTTCAAGGGACTCTCCTGCCTCAGCCTCCAAAGTAGCTGGGATTACAGGCATGCGCCAACATGCCTGGCTAATTTTGTATTTTTCGTAGAGACAGGGTTTCCCCATGTTGGCCAGGCTGGTCTCAAACTCCTGAACTCAGATGATCCGCCTGCCTCAGCCTCCCAAAGTGCTGGGATTACAGGCATGAGCCACCGCGCCTGGCTTCCAGTTTCATCTTTTAATATCTATCCCAAACAAGAATATTTCTGAACTGAAAAATCTTAAGGATAGAGAAGAACACAGAAGGAAATCCAGGTACACTAAATTTTGCACAAATTAAGGGAGAAATTCATGATTTAGGTCAGGTGTGGTGGGTCATGCCTGTAATCCCAGCACTGTGGGAAGCCAAGGCGGGTGGATCACCTGAGGTCGGGAGTTTGAGACCAGCCTGGCCAACATGGTGAAATGCGTCTCTATCAAAAATACAAAAATTAGCCAGGCGTGGTGGCGGGCACCTGTACTCCCAGCTACTCGGGAGGCAAAGGCAGGAGAACTGCTTGAACCTGGGAGGTGGAGGTTGCAGTGAGCCGAGATTGCGCCACTGCACTCCAGCCTGGGTGACAGAGGCAGATTCCAGCTAAAACAAAGAACAAACAAACAAACAAAAAAACAGAAATTCATGATTTAAAAGAGAGGGTCAATGTGCATTTCAGAGTGGTCTAAAAGGCCTTGGTATATTCATAACTATCATGCTAAATGGGTAGTGTTGGTTATGAATGACTTACAAACTCTCCTTTACCTCACTGCTGTCTTCCTGTCTTCCTTCCCCCACTCTACTCCCAATCTGTGGCCCAATATTGTTTACCGCTTCACATCTAAAACAGAATAGTCATAAATCATATTTACCTTAAATTCTTTCTTCAATTAATTTTCTCTTTACAAAATCCAAAGATCTTTAGCTGTCTAAACCTATTTCAAACTGAAGTTTGCAAATCCCTAAATCCTTAAAGTTTATTTTCTAAATAAACCTAACTAAATTATTTATTAGTTCACACAAAAATATCAGTTTTGGGGCTGGGTGTGGTGGCTCACGCCTGTAATCCCAGCACTTTGGGAGTCCGAGGTGGGTGGATCACGAGGTCAGGAGATTGAGACCATCCTGGCTAACATGGTGAAACCCCGTCTCTACTAAAAATACAAAAAAATTAGCCGGGCGTGGTGGTGGGCGCCTGTAGTCCCAGCTACTCGGGAGGCTGAAGCAGGAGAATGGTATGAACCCAGGAGGCGGAGCTTGCAGTGAGCCAAGATGGCGCCACCACACTCCAGCCTGGGCGACAGAGCGTGACTCCGTCTCAAAAAAAAAAAAAAAAAAGAAAAAGAAAAAAAATACCAGTTTTGCTAGCCACTAACTATTGAAAATTTACTTTTCTAAATTTAAAGTAATAACAAAGTCTACACTTTTGGGTACTAATAAAAGAATTTTTTGCCTTAAGCCATTCATTTGATTTTCTCATGTTTAAAGGGGTGATACTATCTTCCTAGCTGGAATGCCGTAATATTTATTAAACAACTGTAAAGTCATAAATGAAACTGTTAAATAAATCCAAGTGTTTAATGCGGAATGTAAACTTGTCTAGGCTGTCTACACAAATCTCTCCTTTGTTTGCTAGCTTTATTTTACCTTAGGTTTCATTTCAATTCCTCAAATAGTGCTGACTCCTAAAATACAGAATATAGAAGTGGCAGTCTTTGAGAAGGGTGGTGTATTAGCCTGTTCTTGCATTGCTATAAAGAACTACCTGAACCTGGGTAATTTATAAAGAAAAGAGGCTTTAACTGATTCACAGTTCCACAGGCTGTACAGGAAGCATGGCTGGGGAGGCCTCTGGAAACTTAACAATCATGATGGAAGGTGAAGGGGAAGCTGGCCCCGTCTTACGTGGCCAGAGGAGGAAGACAGAGAGAAGGGGGAGGTGCTGCACACTTTTAAACAACCAGATCTCATGAGAACTCACTCACTATCACAACAACAGCAAGAGGGAAGTCCGCCCCCATGATCTAATCACCTCCCACCAAGCCCCTCCTCCAACACTGGGATTACAATTTGAACTGAGATGGGGGCAAGGACACAAATCCAAACCATATTTGGGGGAAGAATCTCATTCAGCAAACAGACACTGCTACTCTGTCTTAGGCATGGGATTCAATATCTAATCACTTCAGGGAGTTTTGAGGAATGGATCTGGGGAGATGTCTACATCAGTGGTTTGTCCAGGTTCAAACACACACATGGTCACAGCACTTCCAGCAAGGTTGCCCACGGGCCAGGGCTCCTGACAGCCTCTCACATTTCCAATCATGTGCTTTTTGAGGCTACTGGTGGTTTTGGTTTGATTTTTTTTTTTTAATTTGATAACCACAGCCACCATGATTTATGAACTCCAAACATCTATTAACTTGGCCTTGCACAGCCTTATTTATAGTGGAAAGACTCAGCTTCACACTGCCCGTCCCACAGCCCCATTTCAAGGGCTGACTTGAGCACACTTTGTTCTGCAAGTGACATCTGGCCTGCTACTCCAGCCACTGCTGATTGGACCAGGGTGGCCACCTGACCTGGACCAGTTAGGACATTTTCAGTTACAGGTGATGGAAAACCCTCTTAACCTGATTTGAGCAAAGAAAAGAGGCCTATTGACTTACCTAGCGGTAATGCCTAGCTGGCTGTGGAGGCTCAAACAGTGCCACAGAGGCCCCACCTCTCTTTCACCTATTGGCTCCTGTCCCTCCACATTGGCTGCATCTGTAGGTAGGTTGTCTCTGGTGCTGACAGCATGACTGCTGGACCCTGGTTAACATCACTACAACCAAGTTCAGGGATAAAGGAAGTGCGCCTTTCTTAAGCATCTCATTGGCTTGGATTGGGGAGTGGACCCATCTCTGCATTACTAGACACTGAGGATGGTGGATCCATATGAGACTATTTGGACCATACAAAATAAGGGTGAGGGAGGCATGGCTTTCCTGTGGAAAACCAGGGCACTGTAACCACAAGAAGATGGACAGAGGCGGGTGGTAAAAACATCAGCTCCTACCACATGATCCAAGGATGGGCAATAGACCGGCTTGACTGTGGGAAAAAGCTCCCAAACAGGGCAGAGTGGCTGAATGAGAGCGTCACATCCTCTCGTGAGAGGAAATGGAACTTGAGGCTCAGAACTGAGCCTTTGGTATGGGCAGCAAAAGTCGAGGGACGCGTAAACCCAGAGACGTGGTGGGAGACAAGTGGCCTAGCCTGTGGTGGAGCAGCAAGTAGGCACTGGTACACTTCTGCCCCTGTGGAGCTAGGCTGGAGCTGTCCTGGACCCCCCCAGGGCCTTCCCACCTGATGGTCCTGGAGCCCCTGGAAGCTGCTAGGCCTCAAGTCTATGATGCTTGGCTCAGCAGCCATGACTTCTAATCATGGTGATCTCCATGAATTTCTCAGGATACAGACTCACTCCAACAGGTAACCAGAATGAGGAACCCAAAGGTCCTAACCAGCATTTTTATGCAGGGTAGGTAAAGACACACAAGAAGGAAAAGAAATAAAAGGAAACAGAATGAAGAACTGAAGAGAAAGGGAAAGGGAAGACAGGACAGAGGGTGGTACACAGCGGAATGGCAGAATGCACTGCTATGCCATGTGCTCTTGGGAGCTCCAGCACAGGGTTGTGGTGCGTGGGGGAAGGACGCTGCCTCCTATTACCCATTTTACCTCTCACCCTTGATTTTATTTCTAAGTAGCCAGACAAAGAGGCCCAGCCCTATTCCACCTCCCTTTAAAGAAACCTCCTAAAAGTCCTTAGTTAATACTTAGCTTCAAGGTCACACTTAGCTGCCAGGGAGGTTAGGACACGCAGTCTTACTGGGAAGCATTAAGCCCATCTAAATTTTTTTTTTTTCTTTTTAGACTGAGCCTTGCTCTGTCACCCAGGCTGGAGTGCAGTGGCATAATCTCAGCTGACTGCAACCTCCGCCTCCTGGGTTCAAGCAATTCTCCTGCCTTGGCCTCCTGAGTAGCTGGGATTATAGGCATGCGCCACCACACCCGGCCAATTTTTGTATTTTAGTAGAGACAGGGTTTCGCCATGTTGGCCAAGCTGGTCTTGAGCTCATGACCTCAAGTGATCCACCTGCCTCGGCCTCCCAAAGTGCTGGGATTGCAGGTGTGAGCTACCGCGCCAGGCCTGAAAATTTGGGTTCTCTACTAAAAGGTGAGATTAATTGTGGAGAGGCAACTTGCAGCCTCGAGTGAGAGTAACAAATCCCCTCCTATCTCCCCTTCCCCACTGTCATGTCCCTTCTCTATTTTTTTTTTTTTCGCCTCTCCTGGCCAGCAGTTTGCATAAACTTCAGAATGGCCACTTCGAGCTTCCTCTGGACCTATTTCAGTTCCCTGAAGCTACTCCCCACAGCTATATTCTTCTGTGTCTTAGTCCCCATTTTCTTTTTTGTTGTTGTTTTTTTTGAGACGGAGTCTCGCTCTGTTGCCCAGGCTGGAGTGCAGTGGCACTATCTTGGCTCACTGCAGCTTCTGCCTCCTGGGTTCAAGCAATTCTCCTGCCTCAGCCTCCCGAGTACCTGGGACTACAGGCGTGTGCCACCACACCCAGCTAATTTTTTGTATTTTTAGTAGACACGGGGTTTCACCGTGTTAGCCAGGATGGTCTCGATCTCCTGACCTCGTGATCTGCCTGCCTCGGCCTCCCAAAGTGCTGGAATTACAGGCGTGAGCCACCGTGCCCGGCTTCGTCCCCATTTTCAAGAAGGGGCTCCTCTTTCCACACCAGGCCACCCAAGTCCTATGGCTGCTGGTCAGTCGGTAGATTCACTGCGCTAGAGTCAGGTGTCTATCTTTGGTCCAGTGGCAAGCAGTAGGCCAGGGGGATTGTGCCAAACAGATGGTGATTTATCTCAGGTGGAGGCTTGGACAGGTGTGAAACGAGCAACACACCCAGGCAACTCTATTTTCCCACTAACATATTTAGGCGAATCAAGTAGGTGGGCCACAAATAGCTTTACACACTCAGGACTGTCATAACAAAGGACCACAAATGGGGTGGCTTAAAACAACACGAATTTATTTCTCACGATTCTGGGGATAGAAGTCCAAAATCGCGGTGTTACTAAGGCCATGCTCCTTCCTTCTGAAGGGGAAGAAGTCTCTTCTTAGCTTCTGCTAGTTTGCTGAAAATCTTTGGCAATTTTTGCTGCATCCCTCCAATCTCTGCCTTCATCATCACATGGCTTTCTGTGTGTCTGTCTTCACATAAGGACACCAGTAGTATTGGATAAGGGGCCCATGCTACTTTAGCAGGATCTCATTTTAACTAATTTCATCTGCAATGACCTTGTTTCTAAATAAGGTCACAGTCTGTGGTACTCAGCGTTAGGACTTCCAACTATCTTTTTGGGGGGAGACATAATTCGGCCCCTAACATATATGTACACGGGTTATACAGCCTACAGCCTATCTTCCATAAATCAGATACACACCTAAGCATTACGGCAGAATCACTCCTGAATGCTCCTCACCGCGGTACTATTACATGGATGTGCCTACTATGTCTTTACGTATCCATCAATCGCTCTTAGTTACGCTTTCAATAAAGTAGTCTTGGTGTTACCAACCACCCTCCAAAAAAGAAACAAGGTTAAACAAAATCCGTGTTTAAAAGTCATATTTAGGAATAATTATTTCACTTATATAAAAACATCCTTTAGTCACAGCTTAAACAAGCTCCACTAATTGGGAACAATTAGTTTGACACAGTAGGCAGAATGTAAAAGCATTAAAAATGTTGCCAATGGCTTCTTAGCCTTTTTTTTTTTATATTTTTTTGAGACAGGGTCTCACTCCAGCGGAGCAGGCTGCAATGCAGTGGCGCAGTCCCGGTACACTGTACCCTGGACTCCCGGGCTTAAGCAATCCTCCCACCTCTCCTCCAAGTAGCTGGGACTACGGGCCTGCGCCACCACGCCTGGCTAATTTTTGTATGTTTTTGTAGAGACGTGGTTTCACCATGTTGATCAGGCTGGTCTCAAACTCCCGACCTCGGGTGATCCGCCCACCCTGGCCTCTCAAAGTGCTGGGATTACAGGCGTGAGCCACGGCGCCCGGCGGTTCTTAGCTCCTATAGGGTCTCGAGGAGCTGCTGTAAAGGCTAAGGTGGCCGCCATCTTCAGAAGAGGGAGCCTTGGGGAACCAACGTGTGGAAGACAGTAAGTAATAGGGGAGCAGAGGCTTTAAAGGGTATTAATGTGGAAACGACTTTTCCAGCCAAATGCCAATCTATTTCTCTCTCTTTTTTTGAGGCAGAATCGCGCTCTGTCACCCAGGCTGGAGTGCAGTGGCGCCATCTCAGCTCACTCCAACTTCCACTTCCCGGGCTCAAGCGATTCTCCTGCCTCAGCCTCCCGAATAGCTGGGATTACAGGTGCACACCACCATGTCCGGCTAATTTTTTTTTTTTGTATTTTTAGTAGAAATGGGGTTTCACCGTGCTGGCCAGGTTGTTCTTTTCAAAAAATGCTGAAGAGATACTTTAATACAGTTTTAGACAGGAGGAAGACTCATCTTGGGACGAGAGGACCTTACCACGATAAAAATGTAAAATAGGGCAAGAAAATGTGCAAAAAAATTGTATATCTTACCTCATATAATCCTTGAAACATTATTACGAGGTAGAAAGTTGTATCTGTTGGGCCGGGCGCGGTGGCTCATGCCTGTAATCCCAGATACTTGGGAGGCTGAAGCAGGAGAATCGCTTGAACCCGGGAACCGGAGGTTGCGGTGAGCCAAGATGGCGCCATTGCACTCCAGCCTGGGCAACAAGAGCGAAACTCCTCAAAAAAAAAAAAAAACAAAAAACAAACCAAAAAAAAGGTGTATCTGTTTTTTGGGGTAAGAAAACTAACCCATCCGGCTGGGCGCGGTGGCTCGAGCCATCTCCACAACCCCATCTCTACAAAAAATACAAAAATTAGCCGGGCATGGTGGCGGGGCATGATGGCGGGTGCCTGTAATCCCAGCTACTCGGGAGGCTGAGGCAGGAGAATCGCTTGAACCCAGGAGGCAGAGGTTGCGGTGAGCCGAGATGGCGCCACTGCACTCCAGCCTGGGCGAAAAGAGCGAAACTCTGCCTCGGGGGAAAAAAAAAAAAAAAAGGTTTTTTGGGGGTAAGAAAACTAATGCATCCGGCCGGGCGCGGTGGCTTGAGCCATCTCTACAACCCCATCTATACAAAAAATACAAAAATTAGCCCGGCATGATGGTGGGGAATGATGGCGGGTGCCTGTAATCCCAGCTACTCGGGAGGCTGAGGCAGGAGAATCGCTTGAACCCAGGAGGCGGAGGTTGCGGTGAGCCGAGATGGCGCCATTGCATACCAGCCTGGGCGACAAGAGCGAAACTCCACTTCAAGAAAAAAAAAAAAAAAGAAAGTTGTATCTAACCAATCCGGTCTGGCGCGGTGGCTCACGCCATCTCTACAACGCCATCTCTACAACCCCACCTATACAAAAAATACAAAAATTAGCCGGGCATGATGGCGGGTGCCTGTAGTCCCAGCTACTCGGGAGGCTGAGGCAGGAGAATCGCCTGAACCCAGGAGGCGGAGGGTGCGGTGAGCCGAGATGGCGCCATTGCACTCCAGCCTGGGCGACAAGAGCGAAACTCCTCCTCAAAAAAAAAAAAAAAAAAAAAAGAAAGTTGTATCTAACCAATCCGGTTGGGCGCGGTGGCTCACGCCATCTCTACAACCCCATCTCTACAAAAAATACAAAAAATTAGCCGGGCATGATAGCAGGTGCCTGTAATCTCAGCTATGCGGGAGGCTGAGGCAGGAGAATCACATGAACCCAGGAGGCAGAGGTTGCAGCAAGCCAAGATCGCTCCACTGCACTCCACCCTGGGGCGACAGCGTGAGACTGTCTAAAAAACAAACAAACAAACAAACAAACCAAAAGATACTGATCAGATAAACATATAAGCAAAACTAAGATGTCCACCATGGTAAGTGCTATCAAGAAGAGAGACCTGTGCTCGCTTCACCAGCACATATACTAAAAATTGAAACGATACAGAGATTAGCATGGCCCCTGAGCAAGAAGAGACACCCTTTCCCTTCTGAGTCTGCTTAAAAAAAAAGAGAGAGAAACCCATGTGTTCTACAGTGTGTTATGCAGGGTGTGGCCTTGGTAAGAAGGTCAGGAAAGGCTCCTCAGAGGATGTGAAGCTTGACTTGAGATCAGGAAGATTGGGTGAGTGGAAAAAAAGCCAACACTGCTGAAGCAGGGAGAGCCAGGGTGGCGAGGCAGAGGCCAGGCTATGCTGGCTTTGTAGAATACGGTAGGAGCTTTGTCCTGATACTGAGAAGATGAAAAGTTATTGGTTTTTATTATTTTTTAAATTATTATTATTTTTTTGAAACGGAGTTTTGCTCTTGTCACCTAGGCTGAAGTGCAATGGTACAATCTCTGCTCACTGCAACCTCCGCCTCCTGGGTTCAAGTGATTCTCCTGCCTCAGCCTCCCGAGTAGCTGGGATTACAGGTGCCTGCCACCACACTCGGCTAATTTTTGTATTCTTAGTAGAGATGGGGTTTCATCATGCTGGCCAGGCTGGTCTCAAACTCCTGACCTCAAGTGATCTGCCCGCCTCAGCCTCCTAAAGTGCTGGGATTACAAGCGTGAGCCACCGCGCCCAGCCCAATTATTGGTTTTTAAGGAGGTGAGGTGGTTGCCGCACTATATTCCAACGATTGTGGGACACTTTTTTTCTTACAAAATCGCTGAAATCGAAGTTTAATTAGCATTGTTTTCTTTCTGGGCTATATATAAAATAATGATATGACCTATAGTCAGGGGCGTTTTAGAGGTGGTGAGGTTTGGTGATTACATTTGCAATTTTAGAAGTTCATGTTAGATGTAATATGGAGAATAGATTTATGATCAGCTACATGGATCAGGCTTAATTTTATAATAAAATGCAGAAATTTAGTATTGATGCTGAGTAACACTAATGTTTTCATCTCAAATCTTTTTTATTTTTGAGACAAGGTCTTGATCTGTCACCCAGGCTGGAGTGCAGTGGCACAATCACGACTCGCTGTAGCCTCATCCTTCTGGGCTGAAGTCGTCCTTTTGCCTCAGCCTTCCAGATAGCTGGGACCACAGTTGCATGCCACCACGCTTGGCTCATTTTAAATTTTTTTTTGTAGAGACAAGGTCTCTCTTTGTTGCCCAGGTTAGTCTCGAACTCCTGGGCTCAAGTGATTCTCCTGCCTCAGGCTCACAAAGTGTTGGGATTACAAGTGTGAGCCACCGTGCCCAGCTTGAAGTTTTCTTTTTATCACAGTAGTTCCTTTGTTCTCATTAACTTCATAAGTAAATATTATTAATCTGAACTTATAAAACAATCTATCTTTATAAAATGCCCCTTTTAATAGATAAGCATAAATTTACATAGATATTTGTAAACAGATACAGATAAAATCTGTAAAGAATTTTTCTTCATAAAAGTGTTCTGTTTTAAAAAGTTTGGAAACTGCTGGTCTAGGTAATAGGGATTCATTAGCCAAGGATTTTTGCACAGGAGAATAAAATGATTGAAGTTGTAGGATAGAACTGTGACTCTGGCCACAGCAATATAGAAGCATGATGGGGAGAGACAGGAAGGTGCTGTGAGAATGGAAGAGAGGGGATGAGTTAGTTTTTTGTTTGTTTGTTTGTTTTTTGAGACGGAGTTTCACTCTTGTTGCCCAGGCTGGAGTGCAATGGTGCGTGACCTCGGTTCACTGCAACCTCTGCCTCCCGGTTCAAGCATTCTGCCTCAGCCTCCCAAGTAGCTGGGATTACAAGCGTCCACCACCACACCCAGCTAATTTTTGTATTTTTAGTAGAGACGGGGTTTTGCCATGTTGGCCACGCTGATCTTGAACTCATAACCTCAAATAATCCACCCGCCTTGGCCTCCCAAAGTCCTGGGATTACAGGGGTGAGCCACCGCACCTGGCCTTCTGATCAGTATCTCTATCTCCCACTAGGCTGTAAGCTCCATGAGGGCAGACTACATACTTTTGCTCCTCAGTGCTTGGCACAGCACATGGTAGCACTTGATACACAGAAGATACTTGAACATTTGGTAACGGAATGAGCTGAAGTCCATTTTTTAAAAAATGATTCTTGCTGCTGATTTTAGGATACCCTTCAATTCCAAGGATCCAAAAGATCCACTAATGTAAGGACAGGAAGACTTCTGTTTCAGAGTTGAATCGTTAACAATATCTGCCAAATTCTTATCTCCTTATCAAATACCAAATTCAGAAAAAAAGCATTGAAAATTACTATGTGTTAATACTCTCCCTAGCTCGATATTATTATTATTATTTTTATTTATTTACTTATTTGAGACGGAGTTTTGCTCTTGTTGCCCAGGCTGGAGTGTGATGGTGCGATCTTGGCTCGCTGCAACCTCCACCTCCCAGGTTCAAGAGATTCTCCTGCCTCAACCTCCCAAGTAGCTGGGATTACAGGCATGCACCACCACATCTGGCTAATGTTTGATATTGTTATCACACGGTGGTGTGTTTTTGTGAACTGTCAATGTTCCAAGATTTTGTGCTGAGCTGGTGCATCTGAGACTCTTATGATTTTCAGGCTTACTCTCTGCTCCAATTATACCTGCTTTGTATAGGCACAAATCCAGGGGGTTGGTCAGAGCTGAGCTTTCCCAAACAATAAAACATTTGTAAGAAATTCTACCATATTCAGTGATGACAGATGCTTTCCTCTGTGGCGTGCATCAAAACATGTTCATCCAGATTGTGGAGGCACAAGTTAAGACGTTAAACTGTGGCATATAACACATTTGAGGGTGCAGGTATTTTCTTTTGGATTATTAGTTTAAAATATTTCTAAAGAGGAGGTTAGAATAAAATGGTTGCAGAAACTCAGCAGCACATTTATTTGTAAAACCAAAGGAAAGGCTGAGCGCAGTGGCTCATGTCTACAATCCCAGCACTTTGAGAGGCTGTGGTCAGGAGTTCAAGACCAGCCTGGCCAACGTGGCGAAACCCCATCTCTACGAAAAACATGAAAATTAGCCGGGCATGGTTGCAAGTGCCTGTAATCCCAGCTACTTGGGAGACTGAGGCACGAGAATCATTTGAACTCAGGAGGCAGAGGTTGCAGCGAGCCAAGATCACGCCATTGCACTCCAGTCTGGGCAACACAGCTCTGTCTCAAAAATAAAAGTAAAAATAAATAAGGAAAATGAAACAGTCATAGAAAAGGTAAAGTCTGACTGATTTGGTGCCAGTATTTAACATTTCTTCAGCATTTTCTGCTGTGTACCAGGCAGACTGCTGACTGGTTTTCCAAACAGCATTCCAGTCACAGCCCCTAAAGATGCTCAGGGAAAAGAGGGTGCTGTGGTCGTAGGAAAAGCTCCACTCTGCAGTAGTCTCTTGGAGATTCATGATGCAAAATAGGATTTTATTTTATTTATTTATTTATATTTTGAGACAGAGTCTCGCTCTGTCGCCCAGGCTGGAGTGCAGTGGTGCGATCTCGGCTCACTGCAAGCTCCGCCTCCCGGGTTCATGCCATTCTCCTGCCTCAGCCTCCCGAGTAGCTGGGACTACAGGCTCCTGCCACCATGCCCAGCTAATTTTTTGTATTTTTAGTAGAGACGGGGTTTCACCGTGTTAGCCAGGATGGTCTCGATCGCCTGACCTTGTGATCCACTCGCCTCAGCCTCCCAAAGTGCTGGGATTACAGGCGTGAGCCACCGCACCCGGCTGCACAATAGGATTTGAAAGGCTCTGAGAAATTTCAGAGAAAAGAAGGAAATATAATTTTGTTTTACTTAGAATTTTCCAATCTTTTCTAATCACAAAACTTTTTTTAATGTTTGTGTATTTTTTTTTAAAGGGGGGCTGGGCACGGTGACTCACGCCTGTAATCCCAGCACTTTGGGAGGCCAAAGCGGGCAGATCACCTGAGTTCAGGAGTTCGAGACCAGCCTGGCCAACATGGCAAAATCCCATCTTTACTAAAAATACAACAATTAGCTGGGTATGGTGGTGCGCGCCTGTAATCCCAGCTACTAGGGAGGCTGAGGCAGGAGAATTGTTTGAACCCGGGAAGTGTGGGTTGCAGTGAGCTGAGATGGTGCTATTGCACTCCAGCCTGGGCGACAGAGCAAGACTCCATCTCAAAAAAATAACAACATAGAGGGGGTCTCAGTATTTTCCATAGGCTGTACTCAACTCTTGAGCTCAAGCTTTCTGCCTCAGCCTTCTCAATAGCTGGGACTATAGGCTCGCACCCCTGCACCCGGCTCATGATGCTTCTCTTTGAGAAATACTGGCCTGGAGTGCTTGTTACATACATCTGGTTCTCACTATATTTGTGAAGTAGCCACAACTTAACTTTACAGAAGAACAGAATGGAACATCAGGCAGGTTACGCCAGGTCACACAGCTACTAACGCACAATCTTTGTGTGTGTGTGTATATGAGAGAGTTTTGCTCTTTTTTTGCTCTTTTGTTCAGGCTGGAGTGAAGTGGTATGATGTCAGCTCACTGCAACCTCTGCCCCACCACCTGGGTTCGAGTGATTCTCCTGCCTCAGTCTCCCGAGTAGCTAGAATTATAGGACTCTACCGCCACGCCTGGCTAATTTTTGTATTTTTAGTAGAGGTTTCACCATGTTGGCAAGGCTGCTCTCGAACTCCTGACCTCAGGTGATCCACCCGCCTCGTCCTCCCAAATGGATTACAGGTGTGAGCCACCGTGCCCAGCCTCTAATATACAATCTTCGATGCAAACTCAATTTTTTTCTTTTTTTGAGACGGAATCTCGCTCTGTTGCCCACCCAGGCTGGAGCGCAATGGCGCAATCTCAGCTCACTGCAACCTCCGACTCTTGGTTTCAAGCGATTCTTCTACCTCAGCCTCCTGAGTAGCTGGGATTACAGGCGTGCATCACCACGCCCGGCTAATTTTTAGTTTTTATTAGAGATGGGGTTTCACCATGTTTGTCAGGCTGGTCTCCAACTCCAGACGTCGTGATCCACCTGGCTCGGCCTCCCAAAGTGCTGGGATTACAGGCGTAAGCCACTGCGCCCGGCTATGCAAACTCAATTTTTCTGTAAGAAAAGAAAAGAAAAGAAAAAAACAAAACTCCAGTGCTTTTTCCAGTATAAAACACCACTTTCTTTTCTTTTCTTTCTTTTTTTTTTGAGACGGAGCCTTGCTGTGTTGCCCAGGCTGGAGTGCAGTAGTGCGATCTCGGCTCACTGCAACCTCCATCTCTCAGGTTCAAGCGATTCTCCTGCTTCAGCCTCCTGAGTAGCTGGGATTACAAGTGCGCCACCATATCCAGCTAATTTTTTTTTTGAGACAAAGTTTCACTCTTCTTGCCTAGGCTGGAGTGCAATGGCGTGACCTTGGCTCACTGCAACCTCCAACTCCCGGGTTCAAGTGATTCTCCTGCCTCAGCCCTCTGAGTAGCTGGGATTACAGGCACCCACCACTACACCAGGCTAATTTTGTACTTTTAGTAGAGACTGGGTTTCTCCATGTTGGTCAGGCTGGTCTCGAACTCCTGACCTTAGGTGATCCATCCGCGTCAGCCTCCTAAAGTGCTGGGATAACAGGCGTAAGCCACCGTGCCGGGCCCTGGCTAATTTTTGTATTTTTAGTGGAGACGGGGTTTCACCATGTTGGTCAGGCTGGTCTCGAACTCCTGACTTTGTGATCCGCCCACCTCGTCCTCCTGAAGTGCTGGGATTACAGGTGTGACTACTGCGCCCAGCCTAAAACACTACTTTCTTAGCTGGGCATGGTGGAACGGGCCTGTAGTCTCTGCTATTTTCAGGGGGCTAAAGTGGGTGGATTGCTTGAGCATGGGAGTTGGAGGCTGCAGTGAGCTATGATTGCACCACTGCACTCCAGCTTAGGTGACAGATCAAGACCCTGTCTAAAAAAAAAAAAAAATATATACACATATACAAGCAAAAAACCAAAAGAAAACAAAAGACTACTTTCATGTGAAACAGCATTATATTTTATTTTTTTGAGACTGAAGTCTCACTCTGTCGCCCAGGCCAGAGTGCAATGGCACGATCTTGGCTCACTGCAACTTCCACCTCCCAGGTTCAAGCGATTCTGCTGCCTCAGCCTCCAGAGTAGCTGGGATTACAGGCATGCACTACCACACCCAGCTCATTTTTGTATTTTTAGTAGAGACGGGGTTTCACCATGCTGGCCAGGCTGGTCTCGAACCCCTGATCTCTTGATCCGCCTGCCTTGGCCTCCTAAAATGCTGGGATTACAGGTGTGAGCCAACATGCCGGTCGTGAAACATCATTTTAGAGTTGGGATAAAGCTTAGTGATCTCTTAGACTAGTAACCTTCTTATGCTGATGAGGCAAATAGGGCTCAGACAAATTAAGTGCCTTGCCCCAGGTCAAGAGCTTGCAGACTGCAGGAGGAATGAAAGGATCCGTGACTCAGTGACTTCCAATTAAGTGCTCTACTGCCCCATATAATTATGAAGCAAATCTGTGTCACTGTAGGGTGAGACCAAATTAACTGCCCAGATTGAGCAGGCACTCACAGGTACCAAGTGAACAATTTACCTGGGAAAAGGTGATACTGGAACTATGTCCAGCTGTCATGTGATTTTGAAATGAGGATTTAGGAGCCACTTGACTAGACTAACTAAACAGTGAATACTGTTATTTTTAAGAGTTTAATCACCTTACTTGGATCATGCCATCCCTCTCCTCAGAAAAGTGCCATATGCCACTTAAAAAAATTAAAAGAAATTAAAAATTTCTGACTAAAAGGGATTTCACAACTTAAATTGGGCAGATCCTGGAGTGTCACAAGACACAATGTTTGGGAATCATTTTTCTGAAGTGTGTCAAACATGAGGAACAGAAGAATAATGCAGTTTATTATTATAAACACCTGGCCTAACCTGTAGGGCAGGGAAGGGAATGTTTGCGCACTTGCTGCCATCAGGAGGAGCAGTGAGGGGGTAAATGACAGCAGGAGGGAAAACCACAGCACACCTCGAGGAGGGCTCCAGCACAGCTGAGCTGGGCTGAGGTTCTCAGGTGCAGTGGCGAAGGGGTAAAGCATCTCTCTTTTGTTTTTGTTTTGAGACGGCATCTCACTGTCGCCCAGGCTTGAGTGCAGTGGCGCAATCGTGGTTCACTGCAACTGTTGCCTCCCAAGTTCAAGCAATTCTCCTGCCTCAGCCTCCTGAGTAGCTGGGATTACAGGCGCCCACCACCACACCCAGATAATTTTTGTATTTTTAGTAAAGACGGGGTTTCACCACGTTGGCTAGGCTGGTCTCGACCTCCCGACCTCAGGTGATCTGCCCACCTTGACCTCTCAAAGTGCTGGGATTACAGGCGTGAGTCACCGTGCCCAGCCTAAAGCATCTCTCTTAAGGGAAGAGGGAAGAATAAGGGACTGTGAAAGAAAAACAAAAAGACAGCTGAAAAGAGGAGTGTAAATCAACACAAACAACAGAGATGAGGAAAGTAATTATTTTTCTGTAAGATACAGGGTCTCATTCTGTTCAGTGGAGTGCACTGGCACGATCATGGCTCACTGCAGCCTCAAACACCTAGGTTCAAGTGATCCTCCCGCCTCAGCCTCCTGCGTAGCTGGGACTACAGGCTCATGTCACCATGCACAGCTAATTATTTTTAAAAATAGAGAAGGGGTCTTGCTATGTTGGCCAGGTTGGTCTTGAATTCCTGGCCTCGAGTGATCTTTCTGCCTAGGTCTCCCAACGTGCTAGGATTACCTGTGTGAGCCACCACGCCTGGATAATTTTTAGATTTTTTTGTAGAGATGAGATCTCGCTATGATGACCAGGCTGTGGAAATACATAAGCACAAGTATGATACTGACTTTTGGAATTTAAAAGGAGCAGCAGTAGTTCTTTCTGTGTGGAAACATTTTGGCTGTGGACGGTGGTCAGTGGGCAGAATGGGCATGATAGCTTAGAAGTCTGCAAAATATTCTTTCTTTTTTTGAGACAAAGTCTTACTCTGTTGCACAAGCTGGAGGGCAGTGGCGTGATCTCTGCTCACTGCAACCTCCACCTCCTGGGTTCAAGCAATTCTCCTGCCTCAGCCTCCCGAGTAGCTGGGACTACAGGCGTGCGCCACCATTCCCAGCTAATTTTTTTGTATTTTTAGTAGAATGTTGGCCAGGCTGGTCTTGAACTCCTGACCTCGTGATCCATCTGCTTCATCCTCTCAAAGTGCTGGGATTACAGGCATGAGCCACCGCGCCTGGCTGTGTCTTTCTTTTTCTTTTTTTTTTGAAACAGAGTCTTGCTCTGTTGCCCAGGCTGGAGTGCAGTGTCCTGATCTCAGCTCACTGCAAGCTTCGCCTCCCAGGTTCAAGCCATTCTCCTGCCTCAGCCTCCCCAGTAGCTGGGACTATAGGCGCCCGCTCCCACGCCTGGCTAATTTTTCTATTTTTTTTTAGTAGAGACGGGGTTTCACCATGTTGGCCGGGATGGTCTTGATCTCCTGACCTTGTGATCTGCCTGCCTCAGGCTCCCAAAGTTCTGGGATTACAGGTGTGAGCTACCATACCCAGCTCCTTTAGTTTCTCAAAGGTAATTATTACTTATATTAAAAAGAAAAAGAGGCCGGGTGCAGTGGCTCACGCCTGTAATCCCAGCACTTTGGGAGGTTGAGGCGGGCGGATTACTTGAGGTCAGGAGTTTGAGACCAGTCTGGCAAACATGGTGAAACCCCATCTCTAATAAAAATACAAAAATTAGCCGGGCGGGGTGGTACATGCCTTTAGTCCCAGCTACTTGGGAGGCAGTGAGCCAAGATCATGCCACTGCACTCCAGCCTGGGTGACAGAGCAAGACTCTGTCTCAGAAAAGAAAAAAAAAAAATGAAAAGAAAAAAAGGTCAGAAGTTTCTAGACACTAAATCCTCCTTAAGGATGGGTACAGAAATTCATGCTTGTAATCCCAGCACTTTGGGACACAGAGGCGCAAGGATTGCTTGAGCCCAGGAGTTTGAGGCTGCAGTGAGCTGACTGCACCACTACACACCAGCCTGGGGGACAGAATGAGATTCTGCCTCTAAAACAAACAAAAACACCAAAAATCCTCCTTAAAATTTTGCAAGGAAAATTGCAAAATTAATCATTAATCAATTTGCACTCTAAAACTGTAGAATTAGAATTATTTTCCTTCCACAAAAACAGCAGGAGTTTGGGACACAGCTATCAAAGCTATTCAATATTCAATATTCAATATTCAGCCTCAATATTCAATGAGGGAGGTGGGTGAAAGGTGGTGCTGGCCCAATAGGGGGAATACAGGCAGGACACCACCTCAAAGTAACAGTTATCCATTTACACTTTCATTTTAAATCTTTATTGCTTTTCTCTGATTATAAAAATAAATGCTCATGGTAGAAAATTCAGATCTTCCAGAAATATGAATGCGGAGAGTAAAAATCTGTAACTCTTAAGAGTGCATCATTCCAGCTTTTTCTTTTAAGAATTATTTAAAACCTCACTAACATTTATTTAAAACACTTTTTTAAAAAAGTAGGATATGCTATGTTTAATCCAGCAACTTGCTTTTCTTGCTAAAGATTTTATTTGGTCTACTGAGTAAACAGAGATCCACCGCATTGTTTTTGAAAAGTTGGATAGTATTCTATGGCATGAATGAATCACAGTTTAACCACATTTCCTCTCATGGAAAAATGTTTTTACAATTATTGACTTTGGTCAATAATCTTGCTCACATATCCTTGTGCACATGTGATAGCATTTTTGGATATCCAAATCCTAGAAATGGATTTGCTGGGTCAAAGGGTGTGTGCATTAACATTTTTATTAGACTGCATTTACATTTTAAATCTTCAAAATTGGTCTGCAGTATGAAATGGCACTAGCTCAATTTTTTGTTGTCTCTCGCCCAGCCATCACCAAGTCTAGTTTAATTCTTTTGTCAGAAGTCATTGAGATGACAGCTTCCTGTCACAGGCTGGCATGCAACCTCAGGTGTTTTCAGTCTTTAGTGCCACAACTCTAATGCACTTCAAAAATAATTGCCATTTTTTTTAGAGGGGTGAGCTTTTTCATTTTTTTTTTTTTTTCAAATGACACTAGCTTCATATATCTTTTTGGAGCTTTGGATAGGATTTAGAAAAAGAGATAAAACAAGACGAATCTATTGCCCAATTCTTCCTTCTTTCATCTGCTGGAGTTAACTATAACATATTGGTGCTCTTCGGACAACCACCTGGGTTATTGGCTGCAAGAGGCCGTATCTGCCAGTTCCCATCTACTTAGCATACCATTATTCTCTTTCTAACACTTTTCCAGTATTTGTCACATTAAACCTAAGTTAACTGTTCTGGCCACCTAAGCAACACTTCCATTTTGAGAGGACAAAGAAGACAACATTTCAAGAGTACAATACTGGTAACAGTACCCTCCTGGACCACTTAGAATAAAGTGATTTTTTGCTTCTTCTAAACTCATAGATTTTAAAACACCTGCACTCATTAACTTGCCAATTGGTCATGAACTTCCTTTGGAGTTAAAAAAAAATACAACATATAAAAGATTAGTCATTAAAGTGTTTTTACAAATCAAATACTAGCTACATTCTCCCCACTATAAATAGGAATATATATGTGTCATGAAAGTACAAACTAAATAATATTCAAGATTCTTTCTAGCCCTGGCCAGGTTTGGTGTCTCACCCCTGTAATCCCAGAACTTTGGGAGGCCAAGGCGGGCAGATCACTTGAGGCCAGGAGTTCAAGATCAGCCTGGCCAACATGGTGAAACCCCATCCCTACTAAAAATACAAAAATTAGCTGGGCATGGTGGCGGGTGCCTGTAATCCCAGGTACTCAGGAGGCTGAGGCAGGAGAATCACTTCAACCCAGAAGGTGGAGGTTGCAGTGAGCCGAGATCACCCCACTGCACTCCAGCCTGGATGACAGAGTGAGGCTCTTGTTGCAAAAACAAAAAAAAAACAAAGATCCTTTCCACCCCTAACACTTTATTAATCTACTGGTTTTCAAAGAATTAGAATCCAATATAAGAAAATATATGTAAACTACTAGAGCTAGAGTAAGAATAACAGTATTTTTTTTTTTGTTTTTGAGATGGGGTCTCACTCTGTTGCCCAGTGGTGAGATCTCGGCTCACTGCAACCTTTGTCTCCTGGGTTCAAGTGATTCTCCTGCCTCAGCCTACCCAGTGGCTGGGATTACAGGCTCATGCTACCATGCCCAGCTAATTTTTTTATTTTTAGTAGAGACAGGGTTTTACCATGTTGGCCAGGCTGGTGTTGAATTCCTGACCTCAAGTGATCCACCCGTCAGGCTCCCAAAATGCTGGAATTACAGGTGTGAGCCACCACACCTGGCCAAGTAAATCTTATTTATTTATTTATTTATTTTAAAGACTGAGTCTTGCTTTGTTGCCCAGGCTGGAGAGCAGTGGTGTGATCTCAGCTCACTGCAACCTTTGCTTCCAGGGTTCAAGCGATTCTCCTGCCTCAGCCTCCCGAGTAGCTAGGACTACAGGCGTGCATCACCATGCCCAGCTAATTTTTTGTATTTTTAGTAGAGATGGGGTTTTGCCATGTTGGCCAGGCTGGTCTCGAGCTCATGGCCTCAAGTGATCTGCCTGTGTCGGCCTCCCAAAGTGCTGAGATTACAGGCATGAGCTGTGCTCAGCCCCCCCTTTTTTTTTTTTTTTTTTTTAAGAGAAGGGGTCTTGCTATGTTGCCCAGGCTGGTCTGAAACTCCTTAGTTCAAGCAATCCTCCCACCTGAGCCTCCCAAAATTCTGGGATTACAGGTTTGAGCCACTGTGCCCAACCCTTGAGTGAATCTTTGATTTAGAAAGCAGCGCACTATTTTTTCTAAAGCTGGAGATCATCATTATAAAGATCAGCTTCGAGAAACTAAACTGACCCCAAGCTGTAATCCAAAAGTTATTTATTTGAATAAAACCCCTCTCCCAAGACCCAAAACAACATGGTATCAAGCAGTAAAAGAGAAGTGCCTGTATAAGCATACAGTATATTTCAAATGTTACTATATAAACAAAGAAAATGTTTATGTATAACATTTATATTCTGGACTATGTCAGTGGTGGTATGACACTAATGAGAGAAATATCTGCCCTCAAATCCATGTCAAATGTGCAGTTATTTGGATTTAAGGCCAACGAAAAAGATGCAGTGAAAAAGAGACTAAAAAACAGAATCAGCATGAAAGAAGGATTCATCTAAATCTGGGGCATAATTTGGATAATATACAACATTAAAAAAATAAAGACAGGAGAAAGGGGAGGAAATGTACAAGAAATAATTTTAGAAAGTCATTCCAGAAAAAAAATCTATCTTATAAAACATATTTTAATGCTAGTCTTTTAGTACTTATTTATGTCAGGCCACCTCTTACTGGATGTTTGGTTTCCTGTGCTGAGACTCAGAAAAATTGTCTTGTGGTTAGAAAATAGCATATTCTCAAGGCAGTTGACTGAAAAGTATATTTTTTTGGCATGCCATTTTTTACAACAAATTTTACTTTAAAAAGAGGGTGAATTAATTAGCTTGGAGATTAACTCTCACTGGTAGAAGTGTAGTGGATTTATTCAGCATGCTTAAAAAAGAAAATGGATCAGAATTTAGGATTTTATATATATGTAACTGACAGAACCTGAGATAAAGGAGAGTTTTTCACTTGCAAAAAATAAAAAATAAATAAATAAATAATAAAAATAAAGAAAGAAAAAGAAAAATTAAGAACACTGAAGGGATGGTGGGAAAGATTTCTTAAAAAAGAGTAGTTAGGGCCGGGCGCGGTGGCTCACGCCTGTAATGCCAGGAGATAGAGACCATCCTGGCTAACACGGTGAAACCCCATCTCAACTAAAAATACAAAAAATTAGCCGGGCGTGGTGGCGGGCGCCTGTAATCCCAGCTACTGGGGAGGCTGAGGTAGGAGAATGGTGTGAACCCAGGAGGCGGAGCTTGCAGTGAGCTGAGATTGAGCCACTGCACTCCAGCCTGGGCGACAGTGCGAGACGCTGCCTCAAAGAAAAAAAAAAAAAGAGTAGTTAGAGGAAGGCATGCGCCTAAGTTAGACTTGAGAGCAAAGTCTGAAGAACACCAACAACAGAATTATTCTTTAGGAAGCCGAATGCCAGGGAGCACTCCTAAGGATAATTTACTAAAATAAAAAGGTAACAAGATACTCAGCCTGGTGAGGCTTACAAATGAGAGAAATGAAGCATACTTGTAAAATACCAGACCTTCAGGGGAAAGAAAATGCAAAAAAAGACAAATTTTTAAAGGCTGTAAAAATTAAAACATTCTAACTTACTTGAGGTAGATAAAAATAGAAAATCATGTAAGATTAGAACAGATTATATTTTTGACCACTCATGTTAGGAGGTGAAGAAATGTTAGGATCATAAATCTTAAAGCCAGCCAGGCTCGGTGGCTCAAGTCTATAATCCTAGCAATTTGGGAGGCCGAGGCAGCTGGATCACCTGAGGTCAGGAGTTGGAGACCACTCTGGCCAAAATGGCGAAACCCCGTCTCTATTAAAAATACAAAAATTAGCTGGGTGTGGTGGCGCACGCCTGTAATCCCAGTTACTCGGGGGGCTGAGGCAGGAGAATCGCTTGAACCCAGGAGATGCGGAGGTTGCAGTGAGCTGAGATCGCGCCACTGCACTCCAGCCTGGGCAACAGAGGGAGACTCCCTCTCGATAAATAAACAAACAAATCTTAAAACAAATGGAAAAATCAATAATCCGTTTAAAAAATGTACAAGGCCGGGCGCGGTGGCTCACGCCTGTAATCCCAGCACTTTGGGAGGCCGAGGCAGGCGGATCACGAGATCAAGAGATCGAGACCATCCTGGCCAACATGGTGAAACGAGGTCGCAGTGAGCCGAGATCGCGCCACTGCACTCCAGCCTGGCGACAGAGCGAGACTCCGTCTCAAAAAAAAAAAAAAAAAAAAAAAACAACACCAAAAAAAAAGTACAGAAAAGGATACCTTTCAGTATTTCATACATCACTAAATGTGCAAAACCCCCTAAGAACAGTTTAATTAAAAATTTGAGTCTGACCCTGGGCCCACTGCCTATGAATTAGCCCTGCTCCGCAAGGAGCAGTACTGTTTTAAAAAAAATTTTTTTTGGACAGGCTGATTTTACATTTGTAATATTTCTAAATCTTAAATTAAAAAATATATATTAACATTTATATTTTAAAAGATGCTTTCAAAAATATAAAAAAATTAACTCATTACCTATTTTGTTTAAGGGCTCCTGGAAAAACTGAGGGAATGATCAATATGCACACCAAAACAAATATATACAAACTTCTAAATTTCATTTTATAGGAATAGTATCTATTGAAAGGGCAGGGTGCATGAATAACTCAGTGACAGGCGTAAACTCAGCCAGGATTAGAAACGTCTTCCCAATGGAGGCCCCGCTCAAGTTGAGAATTTCATGGACACAGTAAATCATCCAAAAGCCCACCTTCAATAACCAAAGTAGGCATAAAAATAGGCCGATGGTTACTTTGGAGATAATATAATCCTCGGTCTTATTGTTGTGGAGCAGATGTCATTATGGGTGGGGCTGAAGCGCAGAGCAGCTGAAACATTTTTATACCACCACCCGCACACTTTCAATGGGATAGAAGGGACTCCAAAAGGTAAGAGCTCCCAATCGTCAGTTGCTACTAGAAATAACTAAGTTTTGATGTGGCCGTGGCACGCGTAAAGGCCACAAAGAGATTTATAAAATTCTCCATGATTAATTCCTATCCTGGAAAAGAGGCAATCTCCTTTTCCCCTCCCTAGCCGGCTCCTCCTTGGGACACTTGGCTGAGTCGTTCTTTCCCTCCTTCTCACGCTGAGGTGAGGCCGCACGCAAGCCGGAGACGCCCGTTTTCCTCTTCGCGCGGAGGAAACTCTACGGGTAAGAAGCCGGGGTGGCGGGAAAGGAGCACGCGGCACCGCGGGGAGGCAGAGAAGGCTTGCCAGGGACTAGCCGGGCTCGGGGAGAGCAGGGACACGCGGGCCGTCGGACCGAGGAGGCCGAGGTGACGAGGAAAATCTCCCGGCGCGGAGCCGGGACTGGGCGCTTCCGGCGGGCTACGGTTGCTCTTGGCCTAGCACAGCCTGCGTCCCGGGCCCCAACCGGGCCAGGTAGGGAGTTAGGAGAGAGGGTAAACCGCGGCTCGCACTTGCCTGAGACCGGGTGACCAGTAACTGGTAATAGTCTTTGCTAGGCGGCGGGCCTTGTCCTACAGTTTCAAAGAGAGTCTCCGGCAGCCACGACGCCATCTTGGGACGCCACCGCCGTCGCTAAGACAACCAGGAAGGGGCGGGGCTTGGTTGGGGTCAAGGGGCCAAAACCCTAGTTTAAATTGAACCACGCTTATGAGCTGGCAGAAGGATTTCTAACTTGGGGCGATCGTCCCCTCTTCCAAGGGTCTTAGGGAACCCTGATCCGTGAAATTTCCAGCTCCAGGTCCCGGGTGACCCGAGGGGGAATTAGTTCCTGCTACCACGGAGGGGAGGGGGTGACCCCGGCGGAGGGATACCAAGTAGATCTCCACAGTCCCCTTCCTGGTCCCTCGAAGGGATCGGGCGGAGATCGGAGGCTGCTGAGAGAGTCGAGCCGGGAGGCGTGGGAGGGAGGGGCGATGTGATGGGCCGCCAGTAGGCAGCGGTGCCGGTCCCGCGGACGAGCCCGTAACCGGAGCCCGAGGACAAAGTAGTTCCCCGAGGGTGTCAGAGCAGGCGGGGAGGGAGGCGGCACGGGCGGAGGCGCACGCCGGGCGCGGTGCTGCGGCTCAGCTGATAATTGAAGGAACCCGGAGCCGCCGCCGCCGCGCCGCTGGGGGGGGTGGGGGGAGCTAGTGGAAGTTACTGCCGCGCCACCGAGTCCGGACCGGAGACTTTGGGGCCTAACTAGGTAATTGGGGCGCAGCTCTGGGCGGCGGGGGCAAGCCTTGGGGGAGGGGGCCAGCTGAGGGGTTGGGGGGGCGGGGGGAGGAGCTGGAACAGAAAGTCCCAGGAAGCCCGGTTGTGTCATCGCCGCGATTCGGCCCCCGCTTGGCCTGCTCCCGGCGCCGGCGGCGGCGGGGCCGCGGAAGGACCGGGCCGGGGGTGGACGGGAGAGACGCTCGAGGGCGGCCGCGGCCGGAGGGACCGGGGCCTGGCGGGAGGTAGGGGTCGCTGGGTCCCTCCTCCGGCTTCCCGCAATGAGGAGGGCCCTTCACAGAACCGGGGTAAGGCTTGCGGGTGTTGGGGAGCTCGGCGGGGACCAAGGGGGGCCGGAAGTGGGCTTTGGAGCTTGGAGGGTGTCTGGGAAGAGAGAAAGTGGGGGGCCGGAAGTGCAGGTGGGGGGTGTGAAGACGGCAAGGGTTCCCCGGAAATGGGACGAGGGGCCCGGAAATCGGGAAAGGGGAGGCTCCGGGGCCGTGGACGGCCCGGAAATGGAAACTAGGAAGCAGCTCCAGTGACAACAGTTGTGGGAAGCGAGGGTCAGAGAAGGGAGAGGCCAGAGAGACTTTAGACCGCAGTAAGGGGTTTCCTGCCCAGGGGGACGGCGAGGGACGGTTGAGGGAGGGCGAGCCCGGAGACGGGGTCTGCGCGGGGCAGTTTTTTAAGCCGTGGGAAGTTGAGGCTGAGGGAGGATGATGACGAGGGGGGCATGCAGGGAGGCCTAAAGAAGCCGAGAAACTTGACTGAGAGGAATAGAGTATCCTTTTAAATAGATCAGAATGGAAATTGGTGGTAGGTGGGTTTAACTAGGACTTGGGGGAGGGAGGTGGGCCAATTGTCACCCCAATCGTATTAGCATTCAGAGCGAGTCAGGCGATTAATTTATTTATATGTGGATTACATAAAACCTATTATTTACAACGTTTGTCCATCAGTTCAGCCCCTCTCCTTCCTTCTCCATAGTGAGTGGGTTTCTAGTACAGGAACAAGTTAGAGGGGAGTTCGAATAACGAAGGTAGTAAAACCTCAAATCCTGTCTTCCTCGGCGTCTCTCCCTTCCTCAGAATAAGAAATCCTTCATTTCCTAGACGGAAAAATGCGGAAAAACATAAAAACACATGTAAATCGGGGGGAAATCACACTTTGAACTCCTGGTGGGGGACAGGAGGGAATTGGTTACCTTACGTGGTGAGGAGATAACGGAAGGGGCAGCTTCCAAACCCTTAAGACAAATGTTGTGTTTTTTTGATAATGCTGTTTTACTTTGGGGGAGGTTTAGCCTAAGCATCGAGTCTGGTGGTGGGCATAGTTTAATTGCTTCTTTAGTTAATTGGGGGAGGGAATGTGTTTGTGTGTAAAGGTTGGGCCGGTGCGGGGGGAGGCGGGTACGGTTAATAGCGCAGTGAATCCGTTCTAAGTGGACGTCTAACTGCTCTCCTGCTGTCTCCTTTCCTAGTCGCGGTCCTCGATCTTGCCTGGGCTGCCAGATCACCCGATCTCCGGGCTTTACTCCGTTTTGTAGGCCCTTTAGTGATGTGTTTAACTTTATGTTCCTCTCGAGAGTCTCATTAGGTATTTTTGGCATTTCATTTTTTAAAGACCTAGCAAGTTGAGTCTCAGAGTCTCCTCTTTAAAAACAAAACAAAAAATACGGGGTAGAAAGTTGAAAGAGCTATTGAGTGGGGTAAAACGACGCTCAGAACAAAGGTCCTAGTTGTGTTAGAAAAAAAGGCAAGAGGCCTGTATATGAGGCCTGTGTGTGTCGCATTTACACCCCGGGGGGGTTGAGGAATGGAATTAGCAGAGGTTTAGAGACAATAAATTGTAGAGGATTTTATTGAGGCTGATTTTCATATTTACCACATGCAAAGTGATCAATATTAAGTGTAAGTTTTAAAGTATACAGAATTTCTAATTCTTTCTTTTGACACTTCCTGCTGTGTGTTCAGCCCCAGAAATGTTGAACTGCTGTGACTATCTTTGTGAGATTGAGGGAGTTTTATTTTAAGCTTAAGAGTACATAATATGATTGGGGTTTGTGGGCTTTGTACATGTCTGCCTTTCTATGAATGTGCCAATATCCATAAGAATTGGAAAACTGTAATTAAGATTATCATTGTTTCCATTCAATCCCCAGTTTTTCTGGAGTGTGAGCAGTTTTTAAGTCTGTTCAGCTGACATTTATACTACTTAGTTTGAGTCTATGAACAGGCTTTATTTTTCTTTTTTTTTTTCATTTACTTTCAAAAAGTTTGAGAACAATTTTGGCAGTTAGGTTCCAGAAGGTGCTAAACTAAAGTAGTTACATTTAAAAAACGAATGGGATGCTAGGTAGATCACGGTAAAATCAGTACTTTCACCTGGCAAAGTAAATTTGTAGTAATGTATGATTCCATGTATGATTCCTTTCCCATTGTAACTTTTTTTTTTTTTAAAGCAGAATCTTGCTCTGTCGCCTAGGCTGGAGTGCAGTGGTGCAGTGTAGGCTTAATGCAACCTCTGCCTCCTGGTTCAAGCGATTCTCCTGCCTCAGCCTCCTGAGTAGCTGAGATTACAGGCACGCGCCACCACGCCCGGCTAATTTTTGCATTTTTAGTAGAGACAGAGTTTCACCATGTTGGCCAGGCTGGTCTCGAACTCCCGACCTCTCAGGTGATCCGCCTGCCTTGGTCACCCAAAGTGCTGGGATTGCAGGGGAGAGCCACCACGCCGGCCCCAGTGTAACTTGTAAGATTATTGTATTTATGTTATCTAGACAAGGTTTTAATATCCTGCTTTATTTTAAGGTTTTCATCTTAGCAAGGAAAACATCACTGGCTTGGAAATTCACACACTACCAGTTAGTAGCTTTGTGACCTTGAGCTAGTCACTTAACCTATCTGGTCTTCATTTATTTTATCTGTAAAATGGGAGTGGGTAATCTCTATTTTACCTCACTGGGTGGTTGTGAGACCCAACAGATGTAATGACTGAAAAAAAACAACATGCTAAATAAATTAATTTTAGAAAATTACATGAGCTGTTTTGAGGTCATTTTTAAAAGATACAGCTTCTCATTAGTCGTGGTGGTCCATGGGGCAGGGGAGAATTAATGTAAACTAGGTTGAAGGTACAGAGTTATAGAACTTCATAATTTGAAATTGCTGCTTAATTGGTAGTAGAATTTGGGTCTCATTTTTGTCTTTTTAAAGTTACCTTCTTTTTTTGGTATCAGCATGCCAGATACTTGTTTGCCATACATTCTACTGAAAAAACTTGTTAATATGTTTAAAGAAACTTCAAATTCATTTACGTTTTTTATTGACAAAGTACCTGTTCTGGTTTGTGACTCTAATGAAATTGACTTAATGTAAGAGATTACAATTAGGGAATAATGCTTCTGAATCTTGGTCACTGTTTTCTTTACAGAACCTAGGGAACTTTCCCCCCTTTTAAGTGGATGGGTAGGGATCTTTTTGAGCAAATGTGATACCAGTTGCTCCTTTATTTTTTTGTTTGCTATTTGATGGACTCAAGTCAAAACAGCAACCTACTTGGTTTTTTAATCTTCACTGAAATCATTCCTTGCAATTGCCTGTTTGACATGGACTTTTCCCTCATTTAAATCAAGCAAGCACCCACTATGTACAGAAAAACATAGAAGATAAAGGATGTGAAGAACAACTTACAACTCATGTCTTCAGATCACTTCCTCGAACAAGTTTCTACCTGTGATCTTTGTATTTCTGATTAACTGTACTTGCTTCGTTTCTGCATTACAGTATTGCATTTGTTGACATGTGTTGCTTTTGTTTCCCTGATTGGACTGTAGGCTTCCTGAGGGCAAGGATGATTTCATGTCAATGTGGTATGTGTGAAGGTATACTAATAAACCTGATTGGTCTGGGTGAGGTGGCACTGGAGGTGAGGACGTGGGAGGATCGCTTGAGGCTAGGAGTTGTAGCCCAGGCAACATAGTGAGACTGTCTCCACAAAAAAGAAAAAAAAAGTTAGCTGGGCATGGTGGCATGCATCAGTAGTTCTAGGCAACTTTGGAGGCTGAAGCGGAAGTATTGCTTGAACCCAGAGATTTGAAGTTAATAGTTATGATCATGCCACTGGACTCCAACCTGCTTGGAAGGGTTCTTTGACCCCAGCAGATTCTTCAGAATGCTTTCTCTTGGTTGGTTCAGTGATCAGGGCCTCTTCACATCTCCCCTGACTAACGTGCCATTAGAGTGCCTGGATGGATATCAACTGTCACTGCCATGTTTTAGTGTTAAGCCAGTGGATTATTCTGTGCCACTTTTTTCATAGGCCAAGCTTTAGTTAATAAGGCCAAGCCTGAGGAGAGTCCAGGCCAGATAGGGTGGAAGAGTAAAAATCTGGTGGATGTTACAGAATAAATATAATTTTTAGATTGTTGTATATAATCTTAGTGCTTGGTAATTTTTTTTTTTTTTTTTTTTTTTTTTTTTTTTTTTTTTTGAGACAGAGTCTCGCTCTGTTGCCCAGGGTGGAGTGCAATGGCGCGATCTTGGCTCACTGCAGGCTCCGCCTCCAGGGTTCATGCCATTCTCTTGCCTCAGCCTCCCGAGTAGCTGGGACTACAGGTGCCAGCCACCACGCCCAGCTAATTTTTTTGTATTTTTAGTAGAGATGGGGTTTCACCTTGTTAGCCAGGATGGTCTTGATTTCCTGACCTCGTGATCCACCCGCCTTGGACTCCCAAAGTGCTGGGATTACAGGCGTGAGCCACCGCGCCCGGCCAGTGCTTGGTAATTCTTAACGTGTAGTGTAATGTAAGCTTTACTTGTGTATTTTCTTTTGGTACTTGTGTATCATTTCAGCAGCTGTGTTACAGACTTGAAGACATAACCTCAAAGCAGTTGTTCTCTACCTCTCTGCTGGGTTTCTCTGTGCATAATGGATGCTTGCTGTTATTTGTAATAAATAGATAAGTATACCGATGCTAGACCTGTCCCTTGATTTTTCTTTTTTTTTTTTTAAGTAAAATTTAACTCTGCTAATGTCTTGGGTTTTTTAAAAATGTAGTTCTTTAATATCCTAACTTACTGATAGTTTTAGGTTATTGGCAAAAAGAGGTTTCCTAGACTGAAATAAGTCTGTTCAGTCATTTTTCTCTGAGGCCTTTTAGATTTTGGTTGTTTATTGTGATTTCAGTGATTTCATTAAACTGAATTGGATAGAAGAAAAAGGAACTTACCCATTATTCAGGCTTACCTGCTTTGTCTTGAGAGTGCAGAAGCTATTGGCAGTAGTCAGTTTCATGGTTATGCTTGTTCGTTTGTTGAGACAGAGTCTCACTTTTGTCACCCAGGCTGGAGTGCAGTGGCGCGATCTCGGCTCACTGCAACCTCCACCTTCCAGGTTCAAGTGATTCTCCTGCCTCAGCCTCCCAAATACTGGGATCACAGACGGGCACCTCCACACTTGGCTATCATGGTTATGCTTGATTTAAAAAGTCATTCAAATGGTCTAGAGTGAAAAATACCTGCTACTGTGTGTTTTCCTTAATAGCACTGTTCAAGTGATTATCTGATTTGAAGGCAAGACTTAGGTTCCAATCCTGGCTATGCATTTCCCATCTTTGTAACCTTGGGCAAATAATTTAACTTAGTACTTTGTGAGCTTCAAGTGCCTAATCTGAAAAATTTGATTATTACCACCTAATGTAGAGTCAGTTGTCATTTATATGCTAGACATTCTGTATTTAGATTAGGCTCCACAGATGAATTGGAACACAAGGCCCTTTCTCCACTTGTTTACAGTACTGTGGACCATTGCCTCATTTGTTAAAACTCTTTTAACTCGAACATACCTCTGTTATATGCATAGGTATCCTACTTGAAACATTTGACCCAGTGGCTCATGCCTGTAATTCCAGAACTTTGGGAGGCTGAGGCAGGAGGATCACTTGAGCCCAGGAGTTTGAGACTAGCCTGAGCAACTTAGTAGAGACCTTGTTGCTACTAAAAGTAAAAAATTAGCTGGGCATGGTGGCACATGCCTGTAGTCTTCAGCTACCTGGGAGGCTGAGGTGAGAGGATTGCTTGAGCCTGGGAGATGGAAGCTGTGCTGAGCTGTAATTGTGCCACTGCACTCCAGCCTGGGTGACCGTGAGACCCTGTCTCAAAAAATTTTTTTTTTTTTTTAGTATACAATAGTATTCCTTAGTTGATTATGAATTCTTTAAAGTCTTTAGCCCTCACCCTTTTTTTAACTTTTATAAGGACACTAATCCCAAGTAGTGTCCCTTTTTATCTCTGCATCTAGCACAGTAGCTGGCCCATGATAGGGATTAAGCGTTTGTTGACAGAATAAGTCTTGTGAAAATAAAATAAGATACTGTAAGTGGAAATATTTTGTAATGGCTTAATGTCCTATTTTTAAAATTTTGATTCTTATTTTGCATCGTTAATGCTAAAATGACTTTGAGACTTTTAGTCAGTATATATTTTGGAGACTGCAAGTTACTTTAAATCATACATTTTAAAAAGAATTAGGGCAAGCCATTTTGTTACTCTTTAATTGACCATTATGTGCATGTAATAGTTGATAAAGTACATTGAGGACCTAAATAAGTTTTTTTTTTGAGATTGAGTTTCGCTGTGTTGTCCAGATTGGAGTGCAGTGGCGCAATCTTGGCTCACTTGTAACCTCTGCCTCCCGGGTTCAAGCAATCCTCCTGCCTCAGCCTCCCGAGTAGCCGGGATACAGGTGCCTGCCACCACACCCAGCTAATTTTTTGTATTTTTAGTAGAGACAGGTTTCACTCTGTTGGCCAGGCTGGTCTTGAACTCCTGACCTCACGTGATACACCCGCCTTGGTCTCCCAAAGTGCTGGTATTACAAGAATGAACCACTGTGCCTGGCCAATATGTTTTAATGCAGTGCTAAATGATTAGTGTTTCCAATTTATAATAGTATACATCATTGTAGTTTATTCTGTTTGTTTCTTTTTAGAGAGCATGTACATATTTCTATAAATATGGTGTTATTACCCATACATGGATTTTTGAAGGCTATTTATAAGCCTAAGTGTCCATCAACAAGCCTTCAAGACTTGAAGTTACAGCATTTCAGTGTGTATTTTAATCAACTTGTTGGCTGTCATAACCAATGAGTTCTACCCTGACTTCAAAACTCCTACTCACTCTAGCCGTGGGCAGTGCTCTGAATAAATAGATGTACCTTGTGCTGTGTTCTTAAGGTCAGATGAACTTAATTTAAAGATTTTATACTGGTAAACATGTGCGATGCCCTGGAAACCTAAAGTGAGTTTTCACAGTAGCCCATCTCTTGAAATTCTCTCTTCAGTTGTAATTTAAGCTACTTTGTGTCCTTAGAGAGCAGGTTCATAGAGATCATATGAATGTCCCCTACTTTTTTTGATTCTCAAAAACCAAGTGCTTCTAGTAGCCTTGTAAATAGGAAATATATGCAAATGCTGTCAACTTCTCAGACCCCAGTGTTTCGTAATTCTGTTTTACATCCTTGGCTGCAATCAGATTGAACTGTTTCTTCCTCTCTGAACACACCCAGCAACTTTTTAGCATTTTTGCTTTGGTTTTTTGTCTACTTGAATTGACACCCCCTCTCACATCTTGTATCTATTATTTTTATTATTATTTTTATTTTTTGAGGCAGAGTTTTGCTTTGCCGCCCAGGCTGGAGTGCAGTGGTGCGATCCCGACTCACTGCAGCCTCCACCTCCACCTCCTTGGTTCAAGCGATTCCCTGCCTCAGCCTCCTGAGTAGCTGGGATTGTAGACTGGTCTCCAACTCCTGACCTCAGGCAATCCACCCACCTCGGCTTCCCAAAGTGCTGGGATTACAAGTGTGAGCCACCGCGCCTGGCCTGTATCTCTTAGAAATATATATACTTACACTTAACTTTCTTCCAGTGACTCCTTTAAAATTTTTACTCCTTACTCTCCTATTCTCCTTCTGTAACATATTTCAGGATGACTTTCACGTTCTGTCT